>NC_000007.14:120688597-120991627 GCF_000001405.40 Homo sapiens | reverse complement strand
TAAATTACAAACAAAGTAGGAATCACACAGAGTGAACAAGGGGAGTAAGAAAGCTGTAAGTTCATGAATAAAACCTTTTCATTCAAAATTCCTAGCAAAAATTTTAGGCATTAAATAAGAGCAAGACTATCTCAACTATTTTTTAAGAAATTGCCTTTCTCAATGTTGAAACTAACAAGAAATGACTTTAACAGTCACAGTTTACATCCATTGTAACTGTGATGTAGTCAGGAAAAGAAAAAAGTTAATGCTAGTATAAATGAACAACAACAACAAAAATACACATTCTTCAATAACTTTACTGTGCCTAAAAATAGATGTACAATTTCAGTTGCAGTTTCATTTTAAAGTGTTTCAACTTATATTATCTACTATTCTTTGTCATAAGATAGTTCTTGGTCAGGATGTTTCCTGGCATTACGGATAACAAATGAAGTCACTTAAAAGTTTAAAATTTTCCTTGTTTTAACTTAATGTTATTTTGTATTTCAGTAAGTTCTTGTAGTTGTGGTTTCAAAAATTATTACAAGGGCTTTGAATTGACTTTTATTTGGAGCATCAGCCCTGCAGTAGGAACCAAGCAGCTTGATAGCTATTGCTCTGGGGATGCATCTTGTCATAATGCTAACCATGTGACCTACCTAAATGGCACTGTCAGGCTCCTTGTTCATAAAATGCTAATAATCCTATCTACTGTACCTGTCTCACAGGGCAGTAGTCTGAAACGAAATAAATAAAAGAGTTTTTAAAAGAAGTGGTGCTGGTCAATCGTGGAGGTTTTGGTAATAATGGTAGCAACGGAGCTGGTGTTCAAGTAGAAATTCTACTTCAAACGGTAACCGGCATCATAAGATCGACCAGAATCTACTGTAGATATAAGATGCTACTTACAGAGCCCTCTATTTTGTTGCTACAATACTACTTGTTGTAACATAAAATTTAGTAGCTTTGCCACCATGATCTTTTTTGCATGGATTTTTTTTTATTTCTTCATGTTCTGTTTTACACTTGACTATGTTACAGGTCATTATATTACTGATAGGCATGAGGAGAGTGGTATATTAAAATAGAAATCCTGTGTTACTTTGTGTGCTTTTTGTGTTTTTTTTCAATATTTGACAAGTAAGATTAGTAAGTTTATCTGAATAGTATAAATATAGAATAATCTGTATTTCCCTGATCCTATAAACAATAAAATACATTGTATCAATTCTTTTGAAGAAACCTATTATCCTATTATTTTAATGCTTTCGAAGTAAATATATTGCTTTAGAAATGTGGTCACCAATTAAGAATCAATCTAGCTAGTTACAAAATGAAACTTTGGAGAATCTTTGAGTCTGGAATGGTCTGGGCACTCATACTGACTGCCTTGAGAAAAGAGACACTCAAGGTTTATCAAAGTTTTTGAAACTTTGATTTATGTTTTTGAATTGTAAATCCTCAGATCTCTTAGAATACTGATATTTTAGAAAGAATCCACATCATTTTATGCCTCCTCCAAACTGTCTACTTCATTCCACTGAAATGAAGTGAAATCCTAAGAGATAAAGTAATGCCAGAACTTTCTGGAAGTAACTATAAGAAGTTGAAGCTTATGTAACGTGTTTCCCAGTCATCAGGTCACTCTCTAGGCTGTTTACACTCTGGATCCCTTTCAGACCTCATGGAAGTTAATTTTAGTTTTATAGAAAGGACAGAGAAGCAGATTGCTGTCTTTGCAGAAACTGTCTCCGTTAAGCTTATGAGAGTCTTACCTTTCTGGTTTCCTGGGCATTACCAGAGAGAAGGAAGCACTGTTTGTCCTGAGAGAATCCTTTCTTGCATCTGCTTGCCTGGGTTTCAGTGGATGTGTGTGGGACAGCCCCAGGGGCAGCGGCTGTGAGCTTCCTCGACCCTCGGAGGGTCAGAGTCTGGTAGAAGAGACAGATTGCCACCACTAAGCCCACCAAGAAGGGTCGGGGGCAAAATCGCCGACGACAAGGGAACACTGGGCGACAGACCATGACCAGTTCAGCTTCACTTGGCCCCTGTCCACGTTGCGGGAAAAGTCATAGCAGCTATTTTTTGTCAGCATGAAAAATACTAATCTGTCTTCTTTTTCCCCAACTCCAATCAAGTTTGCTTCATCCCTGCTTAAGAATTTTCCAAAAGGTTGTGCCAAAGAATCATAGGTCCCGAAAGTCTGAGGCTTTTAATAAGAGCTCTTCCATGGATGACAGTCAAAAGTGGATGACCTGAGTTTAAAAAAAGACATCAAATAATAATAGTTGTAACGAATAACCTGAGTGTACCCCAGGCTGCCAAACTGTTGCTTCCAGCAATGCCTTATTCTCACATCTTTCAACTCACAGTAAAGGAGTCCGACTCTGCCTCAGCTTTGCAGGAAGAGAGAAAACAATACCAAAGTATATCTGGAGTCTGAAAACAGCATTGAAGAACGCAAAAGATTAAAACCCAAAGTGCCTGTTGCACAGCTGAACTCAGGCCAGGTTGCCTTAGCAGTTCCTCAATTTTCCTCCGGTTTTAAAGCAGTCTTGCTTTCAGCCTTTTGTATGCTTCCCTTCATTTAGTTTTAAATTCCCACTGTCCTGTAAGTATTCACGGCTTTTAACATAAAAAGGGCATACGCAATTTGAATGGACATGGTTACTGTCAGGGTTTTTGCTTGAATTTGTTTCATTCCGTCTCAAGTTCAAAGTTCTATGTACTTACTCAGTTTTCATCCTTTTAGCCAGGAAAAAAAAAGTTTCCATGATTTCCTAATGGATTGCTGATGAAAACCACTCGGAAGGAAACACCCAGTCGTATGACTCCAATTCATCTCACACACACACAGAGAGAGACACACACACACACGCACACAGACACATAAACACACGCGCGCGCGCCCGCTGCACGCCCGGCGGGAGCAGAGGACCTCGGCATCGCAGCCACCCGGGGCCGGGCAGAGCGGGGCGGAGCTAAGGCCGGGTTCCTCTGGCCCTGGGGGCTGCTGGAGCAGCGCTGTCAGCCCTGTGTCCGAAACCGTGGGCTTCCCCACTTTGGAAACAGCAGCTAGCATTTCCCCAAATGAGGCTGCCCACCCAGAGCTGCAGAATTTAGAAACGTATCTGATGTCTGATCCTCTGTGCAACTTCTTTTTCCTAATACAGAATTGGAAAAACAAATAGCCTTAGCCAATTGGTGACAAAGGTCGAGAATGAGACTAAAGTGAACTCCATGAGTGAATTGGGATATTCTTCACTCCAGGGAATTGTGGTTACTCTTCTGAGGATAAGAGGGTCACAAGTACTGTCTGGACCTCAGACAGCAAGCACCAGAATAACTCAGTCGTCTCTCTGTGTCTTAGTATGGAACTCAGATCACAGATGTTCTTATTACTCCTTTCCTGGACTAATTAATTGGGTCTTTCAATGATCTGATGCTTCATGGCCTGACATTTTGCTCCTAAAATGAGTCGATTATAGCAGGTGTTGGGGGTAACTTTTGCCCAGTAGATAAAGGTACACAGTGGGCTTTGTCCAGAATCAGCTCAGTCTAATTCTGTGCAGACCTTCGGGTGGACGCTGCTAATAGTGCAATTCTGCAAACCCCCTTCCACTTTTGCTGAGGCTGTCAAGGCGAAAGGAAATCAGTCCTTGCTTTGTGAACTCTGGATACCCAGGGCTGTCTTAGCGCATAGCAGGCATTATTTAAAGGCTCTGGACCTGAAGAGGTTTTCAAACTTGTTTCTAAGCCAAACTCTTGTGGGTTGAGGTTCTCCGTGAGGCCACACCCCTAGAGTGAGCCTCACCCAGAGGCACGCTGCTGTCAGCCCCTTGTATTTTGAGAGACGGAGCGCCCCCTAGGGGTGCCCAGCTAGCACAGATTCAGAGAAATGGGCATCTAGAGTTCCTTGCTTGTGAGAAAGAAACCCTTTTAACATCCTATAGAACAAATTAATTAACACATTACAGAAGAAATATTCACACGGAAGCTGGATTTATCCCAAGCCCTTGCATGTATCGCCTCCAGTGGCTTTAATATTATTTTATGTATAGGTTCAGAGTCCTTAATCTTATGACAAATGGGATAGAGAAAAATAAAGTGATGCTTCACTTTTAGAAGCCAAAAGAGTTTTAAGAGAAAATGGCTGAACAGTGGTGTTGTAGGACATATCGTTTTGGTGGATGCAATGTGATTTGAGAGATAATAAGAATTGTGAGATTTCTAAATTGGAATCCAGGGTGTGACAATGCTGTTACTGAGTGATAAGGAATAGGCAGACAGTTCTATTAAGTTCTGTTAAGGCAAGAAGTCTGAAAAACAGAGTTTGGGGAATCTAAAGAGTCATTCTTATGCTTTATTAAATTGTTGAGAACAAGGTACAGAAGAAAGTAAATCAGATGCTAAAATAAAATTGCCATTCGGTTGGGAGAAATGAAAGACAACAGTATTGAAAATTTTAAGATAATATAGCTAGACTTCAAATAATGGGAATTGGGAAGAAGGTGGAAAATTAGTATCCCAGAAATGATTCTAGTAGATTAAAGAACCCCATTTCCCATTTTAACCACTGAGTCCAAGGGAGTGGAAGAAAGCAGTAAGGAAATATTTGCAAGAGAGAGAAAAGAGGTAGCTTGAGAAGGTGCAAACAAGAGGTGGAAAGGAGATATAGCAGGAATTATCACCAAATAGACTAAGGCGATACACAAGCATCTGATTTTAGAGTAAACCCAATCTGGATATGATTCATGGCACTGCCTTTTATCAGCTGTTCTTAAACAAGTGGTTTGACCAAAGTCTCAGCTTTCCTCATTCGTGATATAAGGATACTAATGTTTCCTTTGAAGTGTTGTTGGTACAACTAGTTGAGATAATATATGGAAAGCAACTAAGCATTCTGTATTTGCTGGATAAATGAATGCTGAATGCATGTATGTTAAGGTTTGAATCCTGAGGCTGTGCTCCTTCCTCACTGAGTTTATGGGAGATGTGGTGTCAGACACGTAAAAAGATAATTATCAAATAATGAGTCCCGTGGAACATCTAGACACCAAAAGCAAACATGAGCTCTTAGTTCTCTTCCTTTCCCTCTTTGAGATAGAAGTGCACCCACCAGCAGATGCTGGTTTGGGAGGACAAGGGCAAGGGTGGCATGAAAGCAGCATGTGGAGACTCTACCTGAGAGGTATTTACACCTGAGCAGTAGGTTACACACATTCGAATGGAATGACAGAGCTTGAAGGAGTCAGAAGAGTGAATGAGGCCGGTTGCGATGTCGCTCACCTGTAATCCCAGCACTTTGGGAGGCCAAGGCGGGAGGATCACTTGAGCCCAGGAGTCTCAGACCAGCCTGGACAACATGGCGAAACTCCATCTCTGCAAAAAATTAGCCAAGCCTGTTGGTGTGTGCCTGTGGTCCTAGCTACTCAAGAGGCTGAGGTAGGAGGATCACCTGAGCCCAGGGAGGTCAAGGCTACAGTGAGCCATGATTGTGCCACTGTACTCTGGCCTGGACAACAGAGTGAGACCATGTCTCAAAAACAACAAAACAAAACAAACAAACAAACAAAAAAATAGGGAATAATAAAGACAGAGAACAAGTTAATTTAGGGATGGGGTTAGAGGGTAAATATTCACGAGAAATACGAGGCTGTAGATTCTGGCAGTATTTCAGACTAAATGCTTTTGTGCATATAATTTCATAAAGTACACTTTACACTAAATAATTTCAGTATTCAAGGGCCTGTATTTAAGCAGATTAATCTGGGACAATAGATTAACAGGCCTTTCAGGATCCTATCATTTCGAGCTTGGACAAAACAGAACAATCTTTCTCCCCAAACCTCTCCAACACAAAATATACGCTCCCTTCCCACACATTTCATTTGGTCTTTGGTATGGAGTAGGTGTAAGAGGAAAGTATGCACTCAAATAATTGTTTGAAGAAGGTATTTTTTTTAAATTTTTTTTAACTAAGGGAATAAAAATATTCTTAACATAAAATTCCAGTGTTGGATTAGGAACTTTGGGGAAGTAATATATCTCTCTATCCCTCTGAGTCCCATCTTTCTCATAAAACAGGAGTTTCAGGGATCAACTGATGACCTCAAAGGTCACCCTAGGCTACGAAAATGTATGCTTTTAGGGATACATTTTGACATGGATTTCCTCTCTGTCTTCAGATTCTGGGCTCTGTTGCTTTCCTGCAGGGAACAGCCTTTCCCTTTCAAGATATTATCTGACTATGATAAGGTAAAATCCAGCTGTAGTTACTAGCAGTGACGTCATGGATTAAGTGCTGGAAGTCTTATCAGCAATGCCTGGTCTCTAACCTTCCAGTCCCTCTTCCCTAGAAAGTTTGACAGCCCTCTTCTCAGCTCCTATCACCTCTTATCTAATGCTGACTCTAGAACTTGCCCCATAAGCTATGAACTTAAGATGAGGTTTTTAAACCCTGAATGACACATTGAATCTCTACTATGCAGAAACATCATCCTAGGTGCTGGGAAAAACAGAAGACATATGACAAATACTATGAACAACTGAAATATAAGAAACACACTGATGAATGGGTCACAGCAGGATAACTGCTGAAACAAATAACTGTAAAAATAACCATAAAATTTCATTGGCTTGATACAATAAGAGCTCATTTCTCACTCACAACATTTTTAAGTGTTTGTCAGTTTTCTCTAAGACATTTGGTACCTAAGGTCCTTCCACCTGGTGACTTTCCATAACCTAGAATCTTGGATACTCATTGGGATCCTCTGCCTCCCATTAGCAGACAATGAATGAGAAAGGGCATGGTGAATTTTGTGGGAGGTCTTTTATGGGCCAAGCTTCAAATTGGCATATACCTCTTGTGCCATGTTCTATTGTCCAGAGCCTACTCACATGGACCCACCTAACAGAAATGGAGTTGTGAAATGAGATCTAGTTACATGCCCAGGAGGAAAAGGAAATAAGGCTGATAAACAGATAGCAGTCCCAGCCACAACTAAGATGGATATATTCCAAGCAACATGGAGAATCAAAATAAGGAGTTCACATCTTTTGAGAGGTGATAAGAAAAAAGTAACCACTTCCCAACTGGGCCCTAACAAGTCACAAAGATTTCAACTACTGCAAGAGGGAAAATAAAGGTCTTATGTCTTAGTAGGAAACCACCGAGATATAGCCGAAAAAGAGTGTTACGTTTAGGTACAGATCAAGGAGGGCTATCATTTCCAAGTTTAACAGTTTATTTAGCCTTTATCTGCAGACAGTAGGAATCCAAAATAATTCTTTCCCAGATTTATTAATGAAGATATGGTAGTTTTCAGGGTAGGGTGACCATTGTCTCCAATTACCTGAGAATATTGTTATGTTACTATTGTCTTCTATTGTAAACTCACAAAGCAAAATCTCCTAGTTTTATAGGTGGGAAAAGAACAACATGAGTCAAATACATGTGCTTATTCTATTGCAAAACACATGTAAGATTTAATTTTAAAATCTGTGTAAAATGTCAGATTCCTGCCTTAGAGTCCTTAACTGTCCCTTAGGAGACAAATGCTGTATTCAATTAAGGTATATGCAAATACGCCTGATGATGTATTATTTCAGAGTTATGTATACACAGAGTGTAACTTTTGTACAGACTATGGACTTCAATTTAAGACGCCTGAATCTTTTATGATGCTTTCTATGCATTTTTTTAAAAATGAATATTTCCTGACCCAGCCATCCCATTACTGGGTATATACCCGAAGGACTATAAATCATGCTGCTATAAAGACACATGCACACGTATGTTTATCGCGGCACTATTCACATAGCAAAGACTTGGAACCAACCCAAATGTCCAACAATGATAGACTTGATTAAGAAAATGTGGCACATATACACCATGGAATACTATGCAGCCATAAAAAATGATGAGTTCATGTCCTTTGTAGGGACATGGATGAAATTGGAAATCATCATTCTCAGTAAACTATCGCAAGGACGAAAAACCAAACACCGCATGTTCTCACTCATAGATGGGAATTGAACAATGAGAACACATGGACACAGGAAGGGGAACATCACACTCTGGGGACTGTTGTGGGGTGGGGGGAGGGGGGAGGGATAGCATTAGGAGATATACCTAATGCTAAATGACGAGTTCATGGGTGCAGCACACCAGCATGGCACATGTATACATATGTAACTAACCTGCACGTTGTGTACATGTACCCTAAAACTTAAAGTATAATAATAGGAGCAAAACCTTGGCATATCAGTATGGAGCAATATTTTAAAATAGACTATCCAATAGACTATTTTAGTGAAACATTAAAAAATGATAATCATTATGATAAATATAATTTTTAAGAGTCAAAAAAAAAATTTCCCTCTTCCTTTTCAGTGGTCCTAAAACCACCCTAGGCTGTGAAGGGTGGTAGCAGGATATGGCAAAGGTCCAGGAATTGTGTCAAAGGGTGATAGGAAGAATGTCCAGGACTCCCCTTGTGCACAGCATTTGTCCAATTTACATGTGGAAGTACAATGCCGCACTGAAAATTCTTCATTTTGCTACTATTCCTTTCTTAGTTTTTGTTTGCCAATCTCTTTGTAAGTTTCTAGATGAACAAACAGTCCAGATAGACCAAATCCTCCAAAGTAAATGCTTTTAATCTTAGATTGTACATCAGACCTGTGTTTCTGAGCATACAAATCACCTGGAGTTCCCCTATGCTAACACTTGGTGCTGCCTGTTTTAAATGGGACATACACATTTCAGTTTTCCACTCTTTTCAATGGGTCACTTTATTTTTCACAACTTACTCTTTTTAATAGGCATTTTGAATTTGCTTGCACCAGTACCAGAATTGTTTTCATTACACTTGTGCTGTATTTTAGTTACTAGTGTACTTATAATCTTTTGCCATATAAACTGCTTACAATGGAAGATTTTACTCGCCTCCATCCCCTGGGAGCATCTAGCACCCTTGGCAAGTGATTGTTTAAAAAATTTATGTTTATAGAATTCTACACATCAAAAATTCAAATATTTCCCATTATTATTTGAATTTTTCCACAAGGTTTCACATTATGGTAACATTTAACTAAGTAGAGGCAGTTTTGTCCCCCCAAACAGGAGACATTTGGTAATTCTAGAGATATTTTTGGTTGTCACAACTGGCAGGGGGTGGTAAGGCAGTGGCAGAGATGCTACTGACTCCTAGTGTATAGAGGCCAGGAGTGCTGCTAAATTTATCCTCCAGTCTACAGGACAGCCCCCACGACGAAGAGTCATTTGGCACAAAGTGTTGAAAGTGCTGAGGTTGGGCAGCAAAAGAAATAATCAACAAACAGACAACCTGGAAGTGAGAGAAAATATTTGCAAACTATGCATCCAACAAAGAGCTAAGATCCAGAATCTACAAGGTACTCAAACAACAACAGAAAAACAACCCCATCAAAACATGGGCAAAGAGCATGAACATTTTTCAAAAGAAGACATACAAGTGGCTAAAAAACATACGAAAAAATCAACATCACTAACCAGAGAAATGCAAATTAAAACCACAGTGAGATACCATCTTACACCAGTCAGAATGGCAAAAAGTCAAAAAACAAAAGATGACCGAACATGGTGATTCATGCCTGTAATCCCAGCACTTTGGGAGGCTGAGGCAGTTGAGCCCAGGAGTTTGAGATCAGCCTGGCCAACATGGCAAACCTGCATCTCTACTTTCTACAGAAAGTAGCTGGGAATGGTGGTGCATGCCTGTGATACCAGCTACTCAGGTGGCTGAGGCACAAGAATTGCTTAAATCCAGGAGGCAAAGGTTGCAGTGGGCTGAGATGCACTACAGCCTGAGCATCAGAGGGAGACTCTAAAACAAAACAACAAAACAAAAAACAGAAAAACAAAAGGTGTTGGTGAAGATGCAGAGAGAACAGGGAACCCTATACACTGTTGGTGGGAAAGTAAATTAATGCAACCTCTATGAAAAACCCTATGGATATTTCTCAAAGAACTAAAAACAGAACTACCATTGGATCCAGCAATCCTATACAGGGTATCTTCACAAAGGAAAAGGCATCATTATATCAGTCTACAGCCATACGACCCTGAACACACTTGATCTCATCTGATCTCAGAAGTTAAGCAGGGTCAGGCCATCAGGCCTGATTATTCCTTAGACAGAAGACACAATTAGTCAAAAAGATACCTGTACTCCTATGTTTATTGCAGCACTAGTCACAATAGCAAAGATATAGAATCAATCTAAATGTCCATCTACAGTGGATTGGATTTAAAAAATGTAATACACACACACACAACACACACACACACCATAGGAGTACTATTCAGCCATTAAAAAAAGAATGAAATAATGTCTTTTGCACCAACGTGAATGGAACTGGAGGGCATTTTCCTAAGTGAAATAAGATATCAAATACCACATGTTCTCACTTATAAGTGGGAGCTAAACAATGGCTATACCATGGACAGACAGAGTGGAATAACAGATATTGGAGAGCCCAAAAGGAAGGTGGTGAGGTGGAGGGGGACTGAGGGTTGAAAAATTACCTATTGGGTACAATGTTCACTATTTGTGCAACAGATACACTAAAAGCCCAGACTTCACCACTATGCAATAGAGCCATGTAACAAAATTGCACATGTACCCCCAAAACCTATAAAAATCAGCATTTATTTAAAGTGCTAAGGTAAAGAAACTCAAAATTAACTGAACAAATAGCTGTTGCACATTTTTTTTACATACGGCTACCTGAAATTTGTCTGTTACTAAAGTTACAATAGTGAGTGCCTCAGCAGCTTATGGCAATGACATGATTAACTTCCTTAGAATTTTAGCCATTTCCCGAATGTGTAATTATACTGCTCCCCAAAACAAATGCAACTTTGGGCATATAATTTCCTTTAAGCCTCTCAAATTTGTTTTTGAAATTTGCATCCTCTAAAAGATTATATATACAGATATAGAGATACATCTGTATATATGTATACACACATTCTAAAAGAGAGACAGGTAGAATCACTTCAATTAGTGGGCACACATGTAAAATCGGGGCAGGTGGGAGGGATGAGGTAAACATTTCATTGGGTAAATGTTTAACCCAATGAATTATACTATTTTTTTCATTACTTTCTTCAGGACATAAATTTATACCTTGGTATGGAGCCAGAATTTCTGCTTTAATCAGTTCAATAATATATAAAACATGAAAATATTTAACTTTCATTTGTTGTATGACAGATCAAACAATGTTCTCCATGAAGAATCTCATGTGTCTTCTCTGTAAACCTGCAAAACAAGATTCTTGGAAACTGTATACATTTTTGTAAATGACTCAAGATAGCCACATAATTTAGCTTGCTTTCTTATTTTCTTTTCCTTTTTTCTTGCTTTCTTTTTTTAATGTATTCACAATTCAGACAGTCATTTCCATTTTCAGAAAATAAAAGGCATTTTAAAACTTTTATATAAGTGTCATTTGACTATCTGAAAATTGATGTGTGTGATGTGGATGGGAGGGAGAAAGCTTTTGTCTCATCACTTCAGTGAATGCTGGCATTCACATAGCTAATCTGGCTGGGTAAGAAGGAAACATTCTTTGACTGAGCATAGCCCTTTGGTCACATTCCACCACATGAAGTCAAAAGGTTCCTTCTCTATCTAATCTAAACCGTATGATCCCTAACAATATATAAGCTTTTTTTTTCTTTTTTCAACAGATCACTCTTTTAAAAACATTTATGCATGGTGACCACTGGTAAAGTGAAAATGTGTTTTGGCACATTTGGGAAACCCACAAAAATTATCTTTACAACCAGTTCCTCAAAGTATTCAAGAAAAAAAATGAATGACCATATTAAGATAAATACACAAATACTTCAAGGATATAATCATAAACTTTGATAAACTCTAATGGGATATATACCAGGGAGGTCATATCCCATTAGAATTAGATTTTACTAATACCTCATATTTACCTGAGCATAAATATGAGGCAATCCATTAGAATGATTTTACTAACATTTTAACTAGTTTTATTAAAACCAAATAGTTTAAATATTAAAACTAGTTATAATATTAAATTGTTCTAATGGATTGCCTCATATTTATGCTCAACTCAAATGTATGGGGCATTACATTTGACTTATACAAATAACTTGATACCTGTTACAATTGTTCTTATTTTAGCGCATCAGTATGGAGGGTTCCTGTACTGGAGCAGACTTAACAATGCAAAAAATAATTAACATATGAACACTAACTTTATTAAACCTGTAAATGTTTTAAATTAGTCCATCCTCAAAGACTAGCAGCACACTAGTATACACCTTCCTAAGTAGAGCTATTCGTATGAATTAACGTAGGCAGGTAGAGGTGGAGAAAGTGAATAAACAACACATCAACAGACACACACAGCCACACTCTCACGTCCCACACTGGCAATAAGTTCCATCAAATCTTGAACTTTTAATAAGCAGCAGAAAGATGAATGATTATAATGTTCTCTTCTGTAATTTAACAGTGAAGAAAGTTAAAAGTGGTACCTGATTAACTAAAAACTGAATTATATAGCTCTGGAGAATTTATTAAGAAATTATTAAATTGCTTTCAAATAAATATTTTAATAATGCGTAGGCATCTAACAATCTATTAGTTAAAACACAGACTTAGAAGGTATATGAGACTTACTGCTTAAAACATAAACAACTGGCTTGGCACAGTGGCTCATGCCTGTAATCCCAGCACTTTGGGAGGCCAAGGCAGGCAGATCACAAGGTCAGGAGTTGAAGACCAGCCTGGCCAGCACAGTGAAACCTTGCCTCTACTAAAAATACAAAAATTAGCTGGGCATGGTGGCGCGTGCCTGTAATCCCACCTATTCGGGAGGCTGAGGCAGGAGAATCACTTGACCCTGGGAGGCGGAGGTTGCAGTGAGCCAGGATCATGCCACTGCACTCTAGCCTGGGGAACAGAGCAAGACTCCATCTCAAAAACCAACCAACCAACAAACAAAAACAATTTAAAAAAAAAAAAAAAACAGCTAGTTAAGGCCAGGAGTTCAAGACTAGCCTGGGCACACACACTTAAGGCCAGGAGTTCAAGACTAGCCTGGGCAACTAAGTGACAGCCCATCTCTACAAAAAATATAAAAATTAGCCAGTGGTGGTCCATGCCTGCTGTCACAGCTACTCAGGAGGCTGAGGCAGGAGGATCGCTTGAACCCAGGAGGTAGAGGCAGCAGTGAGCTGTAATTGTGCCAC
Source organism: Homo sapiens (assembly GCF_000001405.40). NCBI lineage: Eukaryota > Metazoa > Chordata > Mammalia > Primates > Hominidae > Homo > Homo sapiens. The sequence goes on along the minus strand of NC_000007.14, from coordinate 120,978,360 downwards.
TGTACTCCAACCCTGGTGACAGAGTGAGACACTCACTCAAAAGAAAAACCCAGAAATCTGAGGTTAGTTCATCTTTAAATCACTTTAATTTCTCTGTAGCAGAATCAGATCATGAATATTAAGATCCTGGATCAGAAACTACAAACTAGTTCAGCAGTTTTGATTTTATTATCCAAATAAGGAAATCTAAAAATCTTGACTAGCAGTTTTGTCTTTCAAAAATCAAGGGAAAGATCCACCTAAATTTAGCATTTTCCAAGTTACAGATTAATTTTAAGTCATCCCTACTTTATAATCTTAATAAGGGAACATACTTAAATCAGTGATTTCATTGAACTGTTAAAATAATCATAACTACAGTTAACCAACAATATGTAAATGTTACCCTCGACTCCTATAACAAACAATTCCTGCTCTTCATGAATAGACTCTTGCTGGCTTTTGGTTTCTTTCCCTGACACTGTCTACCTGCCTCATGGCCACTCTTTCCAGACTGCCTTAAGTTCCAGAATGCATGTGGCCTTGAAGAGTCTCTTCTGCCTTGAAGGCCATCTCTACTACATCTGTCTTTAGGACTCAGTTCAAATGATAGCTCTTTTGTTAAGTCTTCTTGACTATTTCAGTAATCAATTTCCCTGCCTCCCAGTGTTCTCCCAGTGCTTTGTGTATCCATTACAGCATTCATCAAGATAACACATTTAACATGTCTGCCCCCACCAACTCCCCCCACACACACATATAATACCTTCATCTGTATATTCTCAGAATCTAGGTGCTTAGTATTTGTAAAGTTAAAGAATATTTTTAAGGGTCTTTTTTTCTCTTAAAACCCATCTGCTAAAAAATAAATGTATTTTTATCTGTGAGAGCTGAGGGGAAACCATTGCAATGTCTACACATTAAGGAGTATCTTATACCCCTTTATAACCCAAGTTTGTTAGACATTTATTTGCATAAGATTAAAATAATTAATTAGGTCAATAAGACCATTCCTAAAGTCTAAAGACAAAGGGCACTAATATTGCACAAACCTAAGATGGTTAAAAACCTAAAACGTGGAATTTGCTTTAAAGGAGAAGAGAACAAAAAAATATAAACTGCCCTTGAAAAGAATGATTGTATGCTTATCAAACACTCAGCCTCATTTTGGCATTTAATTAAGCCATTTATTGCTTCAAATGTGTCACCATGAACATTTTGATATACACTCCATAGCAGTAAGGCCTCAATTTTCACCACCTGTGAACTGTGAACCCACATTTGGATATTTTGTCCCAACTGTTACATGAGTTTTGTACAACAGAGATTTTGAATGTGTATTTTATAATACCAAAAATACTTACTATGCCCCTTGGTGTAAATGTCACAAAGAATATTAATAGTTGGCCACATTTTTGGGGGGTTGATGAGGTAGTTCCATGTTTGGCCCCATTATATATGACTCAGATATTAACAGGTTCTACCCATTACTAAATACCTGCACCAAATTTTGGTTTCTTTCTTTACACATGCTTCATAAAATATTCAGTGTTTGAGTTTAAAACTTGTCAAAGTGTTTTCTAAGTGATTTGGTAAGGAGTGGAATTCACACTGAAAGGGGATGTAGCAGCTGGATAACAGGATGTTCCTGACTCAGACAAAGAACTTTCTCTTCAAATAAGGCTGTACATAAGGCTTTTTCCTTTGACCATTTCTATAAAATGAATGAGTTTGGAATAGTCATAATATATAGAGGATGTAAATGATACATGTGAGCATTTCCAGGCAATATACTTTGATAAACGAATTGAATACTACATTATTTATCACTTCTTAAAGGGTTATAAAATCTCAAAATATTGAGTATCATGAAATCGTGATAATCATGATATTATGAAATGATGAGTACTCACAAATGAACCTAACTTGTTTAGGGAGCTGGTAGAGTTGTATAATCAGACTGTGGCAGCTCAGAATCATGGGATCTCAAAGGTGGAAGAGATCTTTGAAATCCCCTATCTACCTCACACCCTTTGGGTAGCACTGCATAGATTTTACACTGTTATCTGAATAAGTTCTAAGAAGCTCATAAGTGGTTTAATTAAAGCAGAAATCTGATGGACCCAGTAAGTTTCAATATAAAATATATATGATATATTAAGTATCTTAAAAGTTAAGGATTTTTCTATCGACCAGACTCAATATTATACTTTAAATAAAACCTCCACTATGCAAATTTATAATTTAAATAGCACCTTAGAATAAGATCTATTCTGCAGTCAGCATCACCCTGGTGTAGTAAGGCCCAGAGTGATACAAAATTTGAATTAACTGTCATATCAGTAAGTGGTAGAATCAAAAATAGCTCAATTTGGAGCTCCCGACCAGGGGGGTCTCTTTACTCTATTTGGCTACATTGCCTCCAGTCAAAACACCCATAACCATTATTTTCGTTTTAACTGCTATACTTACACTTCTTTCATGTCTTTTAGACTGAAGGAAAAGCCAGATGATGTTCTTAAAAAAATACATTGGCATTTCAAATTTACATTAAAAATGTCTTTCCTGTATTCTTATATCACAAACTCTAAACATCATTAAAGACATCACAGATTACACAGTATTCTGTGTCCTGGGTCTCTGATTCTTTTTAGATTATGAAAGTTGAAAGTTAATTGGAATTCAGAAATTTTCATTATTAAGTATGTAAAGTATAAATACAAGTAATTTTTTAAAAACTTTATTTTAACACCTAATACAATTGCAATTTTAAGGATTACTTGCACAAAAAAATAAACACATTTGGTATAAAAATGTATCACTTTAACGCCCTTTCCCCTTCAGTCCCCCGCCCCCTCCCTCATGAACTGCACTCTATCTGGATGCAGAAACATAGAAAGACTAATGGCACAAATTACTTTTTACCTACAGGAGTTTCTGTTTATGTACCCAGGTACTCTAGAGGATACCAGCCCACATTATCACATGAACCATTTCCTTCAGCCTGCTGAATTAGTTTCACAAAGAAACAAAGCTTATTATAAAGGCATTTTAAAAACCATTATCTTAAATTCTTTTTAGAAGCACTGACTTTTTTTTTTTTTTGCAACCATTTATATACAGTGTTACATAACAGCTCTGGAGTACAGTACATGCAGCAGAATATACCTGTTGAATATAAAATACTTTCCTTAAAATCTTCATCATTGGAATTCCTTGAAGTCTAAATCATAGAATGCCCATTACTTTGAGAAAATGGTTGAGGAGTACAAATGTCTGCATATGTTGGCCACTGAAATAATCCAAGGCTAACTGGAATAATATTCATAGCACACCAGGAGTGCATAAATAATTTACTTACATTATTAAAATACAACCCATAAAATTCAAGTTCAAGATCTTATAGGATTGTCTATGTAAATCCTTTAAGTGGTTGCCTGGAAATGCATTGTTTCTTCTTTCTCTTCTCTTCTTTTTAAAGTCCTATATAAAATCTTCAGCTGAAGTTTATTTCTTCATCAAACAAAAGGACCACCTTTATTTGTGTCTGCTGCCTCTTCTCTTCATTGCAGCAGTGCACTGTGGACAGTACCATTTGCCTTTTGGTGCCTCTGTCAATCCAACGCAGCCATAATGGAACCATTCTATAGGGCACTAGAAAGCAAAATTGCAAAAAACAAGTTTTCAGTACTTCTGAAGACAAGAGAGTATATTAAAATATGCTCAGGAGACTGAATAATCCATTTAATTTAACAATAATTAGATGTGTGACATCAGAATTTTTAGATCTAGATTATTTAGACATCATTTAGACTAAATGATAAGCTTCAGGAATGAGGAAATGAAGGCACAGAAAAATTATGCATCTTCAAGAATCCTGAGGTCCATGTAATCTAGTCCCCTCATCCTAATGAATGAAAATTCACTAGTTTTCAGCTTTCAAGGGCAAAAAGAAGTGGGATGAATCTTCTATGTAGAAGGTAAATATAACTTAAGATTTTATTTAATAGTCAGCCTTATTTGCTGTCTCATAAAGTAGAATAAGCTGATTGTAATTAAAGACATTAATTTATGTCTTATGCCCTGCATTTCCTACGTGGGTGTTTCTATTCCTTGAAATGTAGAGAAAAATTATTCCTCTTTGAAACATATTAAGCAGAAAACTCTTTCATGAAAGTCTTAGCACTCAGAAGAGCACAACTGGGAATAAGAAGAATCAGAGAAGCATGATGCTGGTACTCATAGAAATCTCATTCATCATTTTCACTAACTGCCCCAGAAGAGTTTACAGTGATGTTCTTGAAATGGTTGGGCAATATTGTTTTTGCAACAACCACAAACAGCCTACAAGGGATTCTAGACAGGGAAACAGAAGGAGGCTCTGTCCCAATCTACGTGAGCATGTTGCTGTAACCCTATCAGGTCTAGGAAAAGTACACATTTTAATGCACCTAGCCAGCTCCCTCAATCTTCAGATTGTTTTACAAATTTAAAACTCTTGTTAATCTTAGGATCCTGTCACTACTAAATAAGGAGGGAGTCAAAATTACTAGACAACAATATTCTCAGTATTGAATAAAAAACGTATCTCTAACTAAAATTAAGTCTCCTAAAAACCAAGAATTCCTTCCTTTCAAATTTCCTTTACTTTTTAGATCAGGGGTGGCTCTTATCAGCTGACACCTGCAGAGTACAGGAAAAAATATTATACTCATGAGAGGAAGATAATCTCACATTAGATCCTCAATTATCCCACCCTTCACTTTAGCACGGTGCAGCCTGAAAGAATGAATTGTTTTAAAATTCCATTTCTTCAATGTGATAAATGAACTGGATTCTAGTAAACACAGTATTTTTTAGTAAAGGGAAAGGAGGGTATTTATAATTTTCATACAACATAACACTTCTGAGACAATCTGCACATAAAACCATAAAATTAGCTTTAAAAATTAAAATAGGGAACACATTAAGGGACACTACCCTATTTTGAAGAGGAATATTCTAGCATTAGCATAATATAACTAATATACCTGCAAACCTGTTTTCTTAGACCAAACCATACAGCAAATAAGACAAATATTCAAGTAATAACAACCTGTGATTTTTTTCATTCCTAAATAGAAAAATGTAATACTTACATCTTGGTTATCACATCCCACCATCTCACCATAAGATACCTAGTTAAAAAAAATTAAATGTCTTTATTATGACTATGTAACAAACACCTAGATACCAATTAACTGTTTATGTATGATACTGCTGGAAAATAAAGGGAAATACACTGAATATACAATTACATTGAGAATCAAGGTATAATAATTTTTTCCTGAAATACTCTTTTGGGCAGGGTGGGGCAAGGGTGGGAAGAAATGCACAGGAATTATCTGCCCTTCAGAAGTCTGGAAGAACTTGACATATAAATCACCCGGATGAAGGAGTCATCTTTCTGGGTAGTTCTTATTGTAAAAATTTTAAGTTCCTTTCTTGATTATTTACTTACTGAAAGTTTTTACTTCTTGGGTCACATTAGGTCATTTATATTTTTGCAATTAATAGTCTCCTTCCTTGAAACTTCTAAACTTATCTATTTTATGTCCTTTCTCATTTTTCTTTTGCTCTTCATCACCAGCACTTTAGGGCATAACTTGCTAATTCTTGAGTTCACTGAAGTTCTCAGTGGATTGAATAATTTTTCAGACAGGATTAACTAGATGGCATATCTTCTGATTCTCTGCATGAGTGAAAATATATTTACATGGTCCTATGCAGAGAAATAACTTCTCTGAATATCAAGTTTTTGGGGGCTCTTAATTTTTCCCTGAAAGCTCTACAGACATATTCCATCACCTTCTAGTTTTTTAGTGTTACAGAGGAAAACTCTAGGTTCAGTCTGATTTTGTTCTTTTGCAAGTAATCTACTTTTGTTGTCAGGATACAGGATATGCTTTTCTATCATTTGTACTGAAAAATGTTTATCGGGTGATAGTGGAACAGCTAACAAATTGTTAAAATTTTTAAAAATCAGACTGGCAACTCATACTGTTAGACACAATAATCTGCTGATAGACTAAGTCTTAAATGTGAAGAAACTGAAGCATGCAAAGAACTAGACAAAACCATATAAAAACTAGGAGAAAATATTATACAAGACAATTTTTTGTAGAAAGAAGAGCCAAAGAGAAAGCCCTTCTAAGTATATAATCCATGGCTTGCTTCATAAAAAAAAATTAACAGTCATAACTACATAAAATTAAAATTTTAGAATTATTTTTAAAAAACTAAATCAAGCAAATATTTAGAGTACATAACAAAAACAATAGAAAAATCAGCCGACACCATTAGGAGTCGATTCATAATGTAAAAAACAAAAATGGTCAAAAAATGTCCAACTTCAATAATACTAGTGTATTTAAAACAATCATAATATAAAACTACCAAATTGGTACTTAGTTTTTAAAAGAAAATAATATCCAGTGTTGGACAGGGTTTAGTAAACCGGTATGTTTATTAATTTTTGGTAATAAATTTCTAGAAAATATATTTTGGTGTCTGTCAAATATTTACAGCCTAATTTTATTTCTAAAAGATTATCCAAGAAATTAGATGTATAAAATGGATTACATTTAAAAAATGCCTATCGTAATATTATCCCTAATTTCAAACAAATTAAAACCACTAATATAATCTATAGCTAGGTATTGGTTAAGAAAACTACACTGGATGGCATAAGAGATAACTATGTGAAAATTAAAAATATGATCTTAAAGAAAAATCATGTTCGGTATACCTGATTTAGAGAAAAAAGCCAGTAACAAGAAAGTATACACTGTGGTTCCTACTGACAAACTTATACACACATGCATGTGCAAATCTGCATAGACACGTGTTATGAAATGCAAGCTTATGTCTCAAAATCATATGTTGAAGCCCTAACCCCCAACGTGACTATAATTGGAAACAGGGCCTGTGAGGAGGTGGTAAAGGTTAAATGAGGTCATAGAGTGGGGTCCTACTCTGACAAGGCTGGTGCCCTTATAAGAAAAGACACCAGAGCACACTCTTTCTCCCTCTATCATGTGAGGACCCGGTGAGAAGGCAGCAGTCTCCATCTAGGAAGGGAGCCCTCCTCCAGAACTGAGTCAGTGGACACCTTGATCTTGGACTTCCCAGCCTTCATACCTGTGAGAAAATTATTTTCTGTTGTTTAAGCTACCCAGTCTGTTGTATTTTATTAAGGCAGCCAATGTGCACATGAGGTATATGGTAGTGGTATACCAAAAATGTTTAGTTACAGGTTGTATCTGAGGGCTAGGATTATGGGTAACATTTTTCTTTATACTCAGTATTTACAGCAAATGTCACTTTTGTAAGAAGGGGGAGAAAAGTATACAAATAAAGCAAAGGTATTTTAAGTGAGTTTAAAAAAGTGCTTAAAAATGAAATAGTTCTCTTCCTTCTAGTTTATTCAGATTATACTTTTATAGATATAACAGACTTTTACCTGATTACAAATGCAGTATCGAGGTTCATTTGGGTCGTAAGTCCAATCAACCTGACTATTTGAATCAGATTCTGGCACTACAGTTGTTTGTTGAGAGATTTCTTGTACAACAGTTGATGATGAAGAACACGATGATAAGGAAGAAGAGGAGGAGGAAGATGATGACTGCTGGCTTGAAGACTTGTTGTTGTTTCTGAAAAAAATAGTATAAGTTTTATTTGCTCACCATCCAGAAGTTAACTGAGAATAACTCCTAAATAAATAGTATAAAATGAAATGACATCAAATGTATAAATTAAAGTGTAAGCTAAAGTAATCCGGATTTACCAATGACTTAAATTGTAGGTAGTACTTTGAAGAATTAACATAAGTTCTGGCTACTTTACAGACATTATTTGTATTTTTTTTTTTTTTTTGAGATGGAGTCTCGCTCTGTTGCCCAGACTGGAGTGCAGTGGCGCGATCTCTGCACACCGCAAGCTCCACCTCCCAGGTTCACGCCATTCTCCTGCCTCAGCCTCCCGAGTAGCTGGGACTACAGGCGCCCGCCACCATGCCTGGCTAATTTTTTGTATTTTTAGTAGAGATGGGGTTTCATCGTGTTAGCCAGGATGGTCTCGATCTCCTGACCTCGTGATCTGCCCACCTCGGCCTCCCAAAGTGCTGGGATTATAGGCATGAGCCACCCCGCCCAGCCACTCATTATTCGTATTTTTAAGTAAACTGAATACTCTTCATCAAAACCTAAAGCACACACACACAAAAACATTTGATGAAAGTGGTTATAACCATCAACTGATGTGTGAATACCTACCATGAGTATGGCAGGGAACCAAGACTGTAAAAATTCACAAGTAATTTACTGCTAAGCCCTATGCTATTTAAATTCTAAAAGTATAGAACTTTATCATAAGAAATTACATTAAACTTGTACCATTAAGATGAATTAATTTTTAAGATGTTTGACACTTCTGTTGTGGTTATTTCATATTGATCGTTCTTTAAGGGATTAATTCACAAAAAATATAACATATTTTAAAATACAGAAAATATAACTACTAGGTAACTAATTATTTTGGCCTAGCATTTGAACTTTCATTATGTATAAACACCCAGCATATTCAGTTACCTGGGATAGACAGTGATAAATGCTATTAGGTTTTCATATTTAAAGCTTATACAGTCATCCCAAGTCTCATATACAAAATCTAGGGATATTTTTACACCATCAGTTTTTGGGACCCAAGACTAAGAATGAAGACGCCTTGCTTGCTGTTAATCAAAATGAAAAATCTTGTTTAAAAAAAAAAAATCACCAGGATATAATTTGCATTGCATTAATTTACCTTGAAACACATGGCAAAATAAAGGGTAATAAATGAAAAGCAGTTCCATAAAATGATTTATCTTAATGAATAAAAGAAGATAAAAAGAAGTCATGTATTAACAAACTCAATTTATGACTCTAGAAAAATTAAAAACAACTCTAACACTTTTTAAAGACTTGACACCTTCAAAGTATGGCACTATAAAATGAAAACCGCATGTCTCCCTACCTCTGCAAGGTTAATTTTAATCCGTTATATCCTGCCTTTAACATAGAGAGGCCTGGCTGAAGTGTCAAGTAGACCAAGTGTTCAGTAAAGGTATAGGGCTACTGTAACAATAAAACTTACTTGCTCTTTCGACCACTCCGTGAGTCGGCTGCTGATGAACTGGCATTCTGTGTTAATGTTGTCATAAGTGCCGAAGATGATGAATAGCCAACTGTTTCCCTGGCCATTGAAAATTCTTTTCCCAACTGAAAGTCATTATTCTTAAATGCTTCATAACTGGCTTTTAAACTTGATGTTCTTCGTCCCTCCTTCATCTTAAATAGACATTCATTGATAGCATCAATATATGTAAATATGTAGATTTTCTTTTTCAAGTTTTACAAATTATAGTTTTATTTTGGTTTATCAAATGTTAATTTATATTGTTTAAACTATTATTTTCATCACTGGAATTTAAGCTTTTTTTTTTTTTTTTTTTTGAGGTGGAGTTTCAATCTGTCGCTTGGGCTGGAGTCTAGTGGCACGATTTTGGCTCGCTGCAACCTCCACCTCTCAGGTTCAAGCAATTCTCCTGCCATAGCCTACCGAGTAGCTGGGATTACAGGCACCCACCAGGCACCCAGCTAATTTTTTTGTATTTTTAGTAGAAATGGAGTTTCACCATGTTGACCAGGCTGGTTTTGAACTCCTGACCTCAAGTGATCCACCTGCCTCGGCCTATCAAAGAGCTGGGATTACAGGTGTGAGTCACCATGCCTGGCCTAACCTTTTTCATTTAAAGATTTAAAATAAGATTTTACACAGTTAGAATATAAACTATGGGATGGGCAGCTTCTTAATTTGGAATATAGGCAAACTATACAGAAGTGAACAAACTCAAGATGACCTAAGTCCAAGGCTACAGGGGAAGCCTTGGAACTGGCAGAAAGAACGAAGAACTATGCTAGCATGTGCTGTGGACTGCAGTCAAGAACATGGGCAACATGAGCAGTTATTGTGAGAAGGGTCTGCATGTAATCCGCATGATAAACCTATTTTTTAGTTTTCATTATCAATCAGGCAATTCCTATGTATTATTTCATTAAATAAAATATCACATATCGTGAAATCATGACTTAAAAATGAAAATATACAACGTTAGAAAACTATTTGTTCACATCCCGTTATTTCTATTAGGTTTCCAATGATTCCGACAAAATGTAACATTTTGTCTCTAAACCCTTTACTTTTTACCTGAGCTGTAGCCTGAACTGCTTGAGCAGCTGCCATGGTAATTGCCCCTGCACCAGTTCCTGAAGATAACGAGCCAATGTTATAGGATCCCAGAGGTTGGGAGGAATTCACATTGTAGGCATTGTTAGAAGAGGCTGTGGAATTATTATTTCGACAACCTGTGTAGATGTAAAAAAGAAATAAAAATGGTTGCAGAGAACATAATGTTAGTGAGTCTAAATTACATTATTTCCCAGCACAGACATATAATCATTAAAATTTTTAATGTCACTTGTACATTAAGTCAACTGAATAATGTATTTGGTTTTCCTTTTTCTTCTTTCTCCATATGTATACTTTAACCAGGTAAAGAAACTGTATGATTCATTAATCCTGAAACACTTTATTTCCCCTTACTCTAACACAAACAAACAAAGCAATCATATTTAAGAAAATTAACTTACCTAGTGTATTTTCCTTAGAGGCATCTGACGTAAGGGTGGATAGAAGAGCTTCAGATTTAAATTTCTTTTCAGGAATATGATCTGTTGTCGTATGGTGAGAAGTTGGATTATATTTCCTTTCTAAATATAAATAAAAAATTCATGTGTTTTTAAACTTTAGAGAACTATGGACAAGGCATAATACTTATATCCAGTTAAAATGTGAAACAGTATGATCTGGGTTCCTCATAAAATACAGAACATGATGTTTCCTCAGAAGGCAGGACAAGCAGAACTCTGTGTCACATGTTTATTAAGAGTAGACTTCTCCACCATTTAAAAAACTTCTAGCAAAGTACTAAAGATAACCCAAGATACACCATGGGCTCACATACAATGTGAGGGAAATTTTGTTTTCAAAACACAATCTACCACTTAAAATAGTTTCCCACCAAATTGATGTGTCAAAAGATGTACTGATATAGTCATTTTTTGACTGTTACCAACCAGCCAGCCAGTCATCTAACTAACAATTCATCCACTCACTGACTTACCAACCATTCAGACTTAATTATATGCCAAACATTAGGTTAAGCACTGGAGAAGCAAGGATGAAAAAGACAAAGGGCCTATTACAAAATAGCTTATTGTTTGGCTCAGTTGAAAAGCTCCCTAAGGAGAATGCTCAGTTGAAAAGCTCCCTAAGGAGAATCAGGTATGTGTATGAAGGGAATATATGCTATTAGTACTATACATTCTCCTTCTACGCATTTAAGAGAAAACAGAATACTCATTTCCGAATCACATATGCTCCCCCCAAGGAAAAAGACAAGTCTGCCAGTACTTGCAATGAAAAAAAAAGAAGGGATTTATTTCTCAATTGGTTGTGTAGAGTTAAAAAAAGAGAACATATAGGTGATATAATAAGGTTTTCATTGTTTTTAAAACTTAGCTGCACTACACCAAACTTACTTTCCACTGGAGTATGTGAATGAGCATGGTGATTGTTCACTGGCTGTGAAGGAGTGTCTAATTCCAAAGATCCTAAAAGAAGAGAGGCACAGAGATACACCACCATTAAATGTCACCGCAGAACTTCACATGTCACTCAACTACAGGCAATGAGTTCCCTTACCCAGCAGAGGACTAGCAAGTTCTGATGCATATGCCTGTATTTATTTTAGCCAGACATGTTAGAGGATCACCACTGTCCATCCCACACTGAGTTATCCTCTCTCTAAACAATAAGTTATCCTTTTCCCAATATTAATCTTAAGTACAAAATGGCTCAAGGCATACTCGTGTCTAATTAGGGAATTCACCATAGTGGGTGCCATATAAATGGATGAATGGACATTGTAATCTCATTACTGGTAAGAGTCAACCTAGTTTTACTGAGTTGAAGACCTTTTAATGGGAGATTCTGAAGTTCTACGTGATGGGGGACATTACTATATGAAAAAAATTATTTGATCATTAAAATGACATTATGATAATAAAGACTTCCTAAAAGAAGTTAGGGATTTTGTTCGCAAAAAGTGAGGAATAGAATCTCTAACACCAAGCTTTAAAATACCTCTAAATACATTTTTCTGGGTTTATTTTTGATCCCTTGAGATGAAATTATGGCAGGGCACAGGGTGGAGCAGTTTTTATAACTTGATCCAATTTTGTTTCATATGTCTGTGTCCTTAGAGAGGATGCTTTATTAACCTTCCTGCAGTACTGAATAGGCATGAATTATCATTACTCACAGCTATCATCAGCATTTTTAAAAAATCAAAGCAGATACAGAATTTTTAATTTTGTCTCAAAATACTTATTATCTTTATATAGGGTTCCTCCAGAAGAAAAGTATCACAAATAAATAGGATGATTATCTAAAGTGATGGATCTACTTTTGAACACAAAAATGCAACTATGGATACCAAGACAGATCTGTGATTGGCTTCCCTAGCTGACTTCTAGTGAGTAGAGAGATACATAGATTGGCACTGTAAAGAAATCTTTCATCTGTGTGTAGAAACAGGTACATATTCTTACTGTTGAAATGCACCAAGAAAAAGAAGGTTTGTAAGTTTTAATTAAATTCTAGTAGAAATTAGCCATAATATTAATTTGGTTCAATTAACATCTAGTGAGTGCCTACTCTACACCTAGTACCACACTAACTGCTTTTATGTACATTACCTATTTAGGTTGAAGAAATGCTAAATTAGTTAAGGAAACAGTGCTCATGCTTCCATTTTTGGGAAGTCACACCAAAGAAGTGACAGGGGTAAGTTATAGCAGGAGATCAAATAGAGCCTTGCAAAGAAATATCAAAATGGTTTCTTGCTGCTAAGGGAAAGAAGAAAACACTTCTTTAAGAAAAAGAGGTAGTGTTATGAAACCAATGTGAGTCTTTTTCAGTATATGCAGTTAAGGAAAAGCCATAAAGTAATTCTTAAGAAGAGAAACTAACAACTTTCCTCAAAGCTTAAGTGTATAAAGAGGCAGAGTAAAGTCAACACACTTAATGCAAGATGGTTAATTTGTCTCCCGATGGTTACATTTCTTTAAATTTGTTCTTACCACTCAACTTACTAGTATATGTGGATATAAAATGATTTAATATGTTGTTTCATAAAGAGTGAGTGGATGATATCCTATATTATCTCTCTCAGTATGCATGACCCAAACATTTCCAACTGTTAGGGTCCAAGCTATCTGGCCTGGATGCCACCATCCATTGAAGGGCAGGATTTCAAAAGCCTCTGTGGGACAAGGTCTTCTCAGCGATTTGCACATGTACTGTCCAATATTGATGGAAAACTGTAAATTTTACTTACGCCTCTCTAATATTTCTGTAATTCCAGCATTATCAGCTTCCAGCTCCATTTTAAACTTAGCCAGTTCCTGATCCAGCTTTCTCAAGTGTCGATCTACCTGTTTCAAAGAAGATCAAAGATAACCACCAAAATTTGGGACACTGTTAAAGTGTCAGCTTAATGAGGAAACCTAAATTTTTGTTTCTTTTAGTGAATCTGCTTAGTATCCTTGAGCAAGTCAATTAATCTATGCCTCAGAGGTTTTTAATCTATAAAATGAGGGTGTTAGGCTAAATAATCTCCCAAGTCTCCTTCAATAAATTTTAAGTTCTAAGACCCAGACTCTCAACTTGTTAGGAAATGTTCTATACTCCATTTTCAGAAGTCAGGACATGAAAATTAAAGCAAAACTGATTAGGGATTAGAGAATGGGAGGAGGGGATGGTGGAGGCTGGTCACTTTTCATAATATGCCCTGTGATTACTTAGAGCCTAATCTCCTCCTGCTTATAAGGCCATCATCCACACTGTCATACGATAAAAGCTATTATTTAGAATGATGAAAGATCCTCAGTCTACAAAGAAGTTCCTATATTCTATACATCTATTACTCTAAGGCATGAGAGTGAATCATAATGCTTGTAAACATTTATGTGAAGAGGTGAAACAAAAGGGATTGTTAGCCAGAAAACTCCATTCCTCAAAGGATCTGGTTAAAATTATTTTATTTATAATACTATTTCCCTAGTTAACTTGGCAAAATTTTATTTTGTCACTGAGAGATCTTTTGACTAATTTCAGAAAATTATATGACACTTCAAACTAACAAAAAATGTCTTAATGTATTTTTTAAACTTAATATTAAATATTTTAATATTTTTTCAAACTCATTACTTTGAAGTGAAACCAAAAAATACACAAATTCTTTGAAAAATATTCATGTCACATTATTGATAACATCCTTTTCTAAGTCTAGTTTCCCACTGGATTACTGCTAGAATTAGAAATAACTTTCTTACAGATATCAACATGTGCTATGATACTCTACCAGGGCAACATTTTAAGTAAGGTTTAGAATTAAATAATGTGTAACTAACATGAGGAAGAAGGGGAGAAAGGTAGCAAAACACAATGTGCATGGGTTAGATGCCTATGAAGAGGAGGTAATGTGCTTGACGCATCAGATGACCTATCTTTTCTAGCCCTCGATCTGATCTTTTGAAGTTATTACTGTCTCTACTTTATAGGTGAAGAAATTAAGGCTCGGAAGGGTTACTTAAGTAATATGCCCAAGGTCATATAGCTAATGCATTACAGAAACCAAATTTAACTTTATTTGTAACAAATTCTGCTTTGCCATTTACCTGACATTGACCTCTGAACTTTCTGCATGCAGAAAACAACTGTTTTTTTTTTGAAAAACATTCTTCAGAATAATATAACTCAAGTATAAAAACTAGTAATATTGTCCTATTATTTGTATTTTATATATTAACAACAATCATTAGGGTGTTGGTTTGTGATTTTTTCAAAAACTGAAAGCCAGTTTTCCTTCTACCTTTACACACACATTACTTTTCAGAGTTCTAGAATATTTAAAAACCTATAACATCACATATTATGGATACTTGCTCCTATTCAAAGAATCTGCAGGTAATTGAGCATCCTTTAATGGAACTTCCTTTCCAATAATAGTGTGAACACAGACGTCTGTTATTTGAGCATACCTCTTTCATTGTCAAAATTTAATCTCAAGGGAAATCAGAAAAAATATTCATATTTAAGTTCCAAGACCACTAATGCAACGAAAACACTCCATTGCTTTTTGTACCTACAATTATACTAATAATAAATATTGAGCTATTACGTGCTTGGTGCTGGATTAAATGGAGGATATATGAAGAATGGAAGAGAATCATTGCCTTCATAGGAATTAGAATTTAGCTGACAAATCAAGATTTATATATGATTTTTAATATAATAAGGGATAAAAATATAGTCTAGATGTCACAAATAAGCAACAGTTCAAAAAGAGTCAGAAGTTGTACATAAAAAAGTAACACTGGTAGACACGAAGGAGGTACGAATTAAGACGGTGAAGATGGATTGTATTCAAATAGAAGGAAAAAAGGAATCACAATAAAAAATGTAGAGACAGAAAGACAAACAGTATGCTTAGAGAAAAACAAAGTATGATGTAGCGTGTAATATGTATATAAAGCACAGTGAGCAAGAATGTTAGGTTGAGGGGGTAGTGTTAGGGTGAGATAAAGACCTTTCTTTTTCATACCATACACCTTGCCCTAACTCACTTCACCTCTGCATTTAAGGATTGTTTCATTTTATTAAATATATTATTGATAAAGTTCACTACATATGAAAATGTTAAAAATAATGACAAGACTTTCAATACTAGATAGCTCAGAAAAGGCACTAGAACCTAAAGGGTTAATAACTCTAAAAACCAAATTCATAGTTAAAATAAACAAAGACAGAAAAGCCTTAACCACTTGTGGTAGGCATCTTTATAAGACGGCTTCCAATCATTCTTACTTCCTCATATGTAAAAGAGATTATGACCTGATTAATATTATAAGCAATTATTAGGCAATGAGCATTATTTTTCTTCTATTTACTACTGCTGTACTAAATCAAATTAGAAGTTGGAAAGTCCCATTGACCACAAGAATTAACTTAAGCTATAAAGCACTAGGATATTTAAACAATATTAAACAGCCATAATAAGAGCTGTGAACTTGCCTGAAATCCATCATGTGCATTCCCTCAACCTACATGATTCTGAACGGTTACAGCACCTCTTCTAGCTGATCACCATGTTGTCCCCACAGGCATCAAGCAAAGCAAGGATGTAAGTTACCTCACCCTTCCACAAACATCTGCTTTCATAAGACTGATTTACAATAGTAAAGAGGGTACTGATCCAATTGAGAGATTTTCCATTAGCCACAGATTCCTAAAACAGGGCTAACCACAGAGTCTAATTATTTCTTTTTTTCCCAGTTAATGTCAACAAGTGCTATAAACAAAGTTTCCTTGCCCTATAATCCCAAATCATATTCTACAACCCCAAATCATAACAGCTTTAAGTTTAAACTCCTATAATTTTTCTAGCCTCTTTAAAGACAAAGGATATTCTACCAACATTACTTGTTAACACACTCATGATCATAGCAAATTTAAGTCATACTTGGCCCCTCTGCACAAAACAAACAAAAAATCCTTCATCCTATAATATTTGCATAGAGTTGTAATCTTTGACTCTTTCTTTTTTGACTCTCTGGTTTTCTAATATTCACATTTAAAGTGTATCACTAATGGACCCAAACAAAACTAAATACAGCTTTTTTAAAGTCTCTACATGATCTACTGCTTCCAATACAATCAATTTATAAAATTTAGATGTCTAGCTTGCCCTATCGGAAGAGGCAATCAAGTCTGTTACATTCTAAGTTGAAATAGACAGCAGTAAGTTAAATTTCTAACCATGAAAAGGTCTAGTAATAGCGAGTAAAGAGGGTAAATTGGGGAAGAAGAAGAAACCATGATAGCAAAGTATTTCTCAGATAACAGGTCATGAAAATGATTCTTTATATCTCTAAATTAGATTTAAACTAGATGAAAATGTGACCTATTGTTATGCTGAAACAAATACTTGAGAGGCCTTAGCATATAACTCTGTCTAATCATCTTCCTGAAAGACAATAAGGACAGGACAGAAATCAAAAGGTCAAACTCACATATTTCCTTAATTAGAGTATCAGATGAAAACTCTCAAATTTATAGGTAAAATGTGCATCTGAAATATAACCATCTCAGGAACAGGCCAGGATATAAAAAAAGAAGCAAGTTCAAGGGTATTGAGCACTGCAAGAGACTGCTAAAATCATTCAAGCATTAACTAAAAGCTCAAATTTTATCAGGGTATGTATAAATCAACTTTATTAGGTATTGCAATCCAATACATCCTTATGACAGTGACATCTGGCTGAGAAACACAAATAAGTATTTAACAACTATTTATGAGTATCATGCTTCTAGAACAAAACTATTTTAACAGGATAGATTTTTGTGTGTGTTAGTCAAATTTCACTAAAACGGCTACTAAAATAAACTGTCAGTTTCTTCTACCGGAACCCTAAAACAAATTTCTTCATTGATAATATGTTGATAATATGTAGTTTGGTTTATTCCTTAATAAATGAGGTGACCAGTGCAGTGATGGTCACAGGAAAAAAAATGTTTACTACTGGTTTAAAAGTAAATAAAATATTTCAATGAAAAAATACAACAAAATGCAACGCCATATAAAACACTGAGGGATAAAATCAAACATAATTGCATACTATGGTGATGTACCATAAATTCTGTAAAAGTAATACATGCTTATTTAAAATTCCTATAATATAATGTTTAAGCAAAGGCATACCTACACAAAATCTCTTTTAAGGTCTATATTCCACGCCTCTGTTTAAAGTCCTTCACTGGCTTCCCACCGCTTTAGACTAAGAATCACTCTCCTCCTAGACTGGCTCGCAAGGCCCCCATGCATTAGCTCCTGCCTGCTTCCTTTCATGCTGCTCCTTTCCCATTACAGACCACAGACCAACCACCCCGGCCTCTCTCTTGGTTCAACTTGCCAAGTCTTTTCCACTCCAAACTTTGCCCTTGGTATACCACGTGCCTGAAACATTCTTTCCTTAGCTTTTCCAACAGGTGGTTCTTTCTTATTTTCCAAGTACCACCTCAAACGTCATCTCCTTAGACTACATTCTTAACAGCCTTCGCCAGTTATTCAATTGTCTCTCCCTTTCTCCCCCTTCCTCTCTTTCTACAATGTTTATTTCCTCCTGTGTACTTATCGAAATCTAAAATAGTCTTTATTTAATAGTTTGCCAGGCCAGGTGTGGTGGCTCACGCCTGTAATCCCAGCACTTTGGGAGGCCGAGGCGGGCGGATCACGAGGTCAGGAGTTCGAGACCATCCTGGCTAACACGGTGAAACCCCGTCTCTACTAAAAATACAAAAAATTAGCCGGGCGTGGTGGTGGGCGCCTGTAATCCCAGCTACTCGGGAGGCTGAGGCAGGAGAATGGCATGAACCCAAGAGGCGGAGCTTGCAGTGAGCCGGGATAGCGCCACTGCAGTCCAGCTTGGGCGAAAGAGTGAGACTCCGTCTCAAAAAAAAAAAAAAAAAAAAAAAAAAAAAAAAATGTGAGGAAGTGACAAGGAGTATAGGGTGACTTTCAGTGCCCTAATCTGAATGACTACAAGGTCAGTGTGGTTCATGTGAGATTTAGAAACAAAAAGTTGGTGATGGGGCAGGGGAGGGTAGTTAGAGAAGAAAAAGGAGATGCTTTGAGTTTTAAATTTCAAAACACTGAGTTCTAGGGCCTGGGAATAGTCAGCTAAGATTAAAAGACTCAAAGAAACAGCTTGGGCTTCAGGAATAATTAACGTATAATTGTTAACACTAAGAGAACACATGGAATTGCAATAGAGGAGTGTCTCTCAACTTGGGTGGTGTGCAAAGGTTGGGGATAAAACTTGCATTTGAAAGAACAGGTCTTTACGCTGTGGAATTTGTTCTTCCTGGCCCTCTTGGCAGGTAGAAGAGGGGAAGACAATCACCTTCATGTGAGAACCACTTGAAGAGTAAGAAACCATGTAGGTCAAGGACAGAACCCTGAGGAACACCATCATTATGAGCTGTACCCAAGAAGGAGACTAAGAAAGGTCACAAAGGTGGGAGCATCTAGAGCAGGCAGTCACATGGTAATACAAGGTCAAGAATGGCAAGACAAAACGAATGGCAATAAGCATTAAATTTACCAATAGGGTCAGTTAAAAAGAATTGAAGCTGTCTGATGAATTTAGCAATAAAGAATTCATTAAATGAAGTTATAGAGGATTAGTAAATAGAACCCCAATTGCCATAAATTTAGGAATAAATTGAAGGTAAGGGAGTGTCAAAGAGTCTGAATGAGAAATTAAGGAAGACTACACTAGCTAAAGCAGAGTCACGGTCACGACACGATTTATATTAGATTGCCTGAGTTCTTTTTAAATATGAGGAAGACCTGAGCATGTTTAAATGCTGTGGTATAGAAGCCAATAGAAAGAAAAGAGGCTAAAGATGAAAAAGAGAAGGCATAAGTGATGAAGCAAAGATGCAGCAAGTAAAAACATGCCCTAAGGCAGCAACAATGTGGAAGGTACCTGTAAGAAAAGTGGTCAAGAGCTCAACCAGTCTCTTGATTGAATAGGAAAGGGCTGATAAAATAGGAGGAAGTGTAGACGCAAGAAGTATCAGAGGCAGGGCAATTCCAAGTGATGATCAGGTTCAGTCTGTGGCGACTGAAGTGGATTAGCATTTACAAAAGCCAAAGAAGTAGATGACTAGGTAGTATAAGATGATTGCAACAGAGAACTGTGAACCGGGTACCAGTTTTTCAATCTGAGCCTCACCTAGAAGCCATTAAATTATAGTGATAAGAGGCAGAGGGTAACTGAGATGATTATCACTAAGTCTGAAAGAGAAGGGATTTTTTATATTAAGGATATAATGTTCACCTGAAATAGGATTAAAGTATTTAAAAAGAAAGGCAGGGAAGGAGAAAGGGAAAAAGAAAAAAAATAATAAAAAGGAAGAGGGTAGAGCAAAGGTGGGGGCAGAAAAGAAAGGGTGGGGGAAGAAAAAGAAGAAAAGACAAAAAGAAGCCTCAGAGATACTAGGAGAGTGAGAGACAGCAGCTTCCACTTGGCAGAGTTGAAAGGGAAGCAGTGGCTTCAGGAAAATAGAAAATTCCAGTTCAGGAAATGAGATGGACTGAGTTCTTAAAGAAGGAGCAAATCCTACTATCTGCCAAACTAATAGCATTGTATGTATTCTAATGCAAACCCTTCAGTAAGGTATAAATTAATATTGCTTTTTTACAGCAGGAAACTGTGGTTCAAGATTAAATAACTTTTCCAAAGTCATGGTGTCAGTGAAATGGCTGAGCTAGGGTTTGAACTCACATCTGCATGGATCCATTATGGACACTTGCTTTCTGTTGTATTTCTTATGCTTTATTAAATTTACTACCTCGCCTTTATTACTTCACTCTTTAGCCTTGGAATCTATCCCTTCTCAATTAATTTCTGAATTTGTACTTTCCTTCTGTTTATGCCATTATCTCTGAGTGAAATGCTTTCCCCTCAATACAATACCTAATTCAGGACCTTGACTTTCTAAACAAACTCTGTTCAAAACTCTTCCTATACCCTCTAAGAAATCAGTAAGTAACTCTGCATGACTTACTTCAATGTTTTTCAGTAGACACCCCTTAATATTCAACTGGTTAATGTTTATTACATGTTTCTGTATGGATTCTCCACTTTAGTTTGCAGGTATGTCTGCCCCACAACAGTAGTTTACAGACACCTTGAGGACAAGAGCCATTTCTAGTATTACTTTTTTTTTTTTTTTTAAGACAGAGTCGCTCTCTGTCGCCCAGGCTGGAGTGCAGTGGCGCGATCTCTGCTCACTGCAAGCTCCGCCTCCCGGGTTCCCGCCATTCTCCTGTCTCGGCCTCCCGAGTAGCTGGAACTACAGGCACCCGCCACCAGGCCCGGCTAATATTTTTGTATTTTTAGTAGAGATGGGGTTTCACCATGTTAGCCAGGATGGTCGCGATCTCCTGATCTCGTGATCTACTCTCCTCGGCCTCCCAAAGTGCTGGGATTACAGGCGTGAGCCACTGCGCCCGGCCTAGTATTTACTTTTTATTCCTCCATTAGACCCAGGTACAGCTCCCTTTTTTCAGGCACAGAGTGGATGAACAGTGTGGTTTTTAAATAAGAGATGAATACACACACACACATATTTAAAAAGCATATATTTATGTTATATTTTTTCTAAATACACAAAATATCTTTAGTAAAGGTCTAACAAGCAATAAAACAACAAAATAATAAACAAAACAAAGAATAGAACCAAAGAGCTATATGAATTAAAAAGCAGGCAGTCTCTAAATAAGGACTGATACATACAGTCATTGAATATGAGGAAGAATGTTACTAAACAAATTAGTCTAGATTCAAATGTAAATGCCTTTTTCTAAGTTTATAGACATAATTAAAGACTGAAACAATTAAGACCTTTTTTTTTTTGGTTTTTATTCCACAGTAAATCAAGCTACAGCCTATTCTACCTATCTTTAGGCAGTGTCTTTTATGAAATTTTTTTCAGAATAACTCTATGAACAAAAGAGCCCAGGTTGTTAGCACCATTAAAATGTGTGTACTACATAAAAACAACTAGACATTTTCCATGGCTCTACATGACACATTTTCAAGTTTGTGGTATAAGCATTTACAATTCACACCATATGTGGTGTTCACCTTTTATCTTGTGTCCTGCTCACCAATGACATTTTACTTACACGTACTTGTTCAGTAATAAATCTGTACCCAGGAAAGACAACATAAGTATGAAATCTATACACTGAAGTTAGCCAAAAGTGAGCATGTGTTTTCTGCTTTAATTTACTTTAATGCAAAAACAGAAATGACTATTTCTTAAAGTGTATATTTTAGGAGAAGATGTTTCAAATGAAAAAGAGCACCACAATTGCATCAATATGAGAAATAGTGAATATTCTATCTATCTTCTTGGTGTTTTCAATCTTTTAGAAGTGCTGCTGCAAAAAAAGAATCTTGTTTAAAGTTTGTCATCTTGTATTGCTTAAACAACTGACACAGCTGTTACATACGATCTTTTAACATCACTCACATAAACACTGATTCAAATGATTCTTCTTCATTTTAATCAGACTACCAAGAACTCTTGTCAAAGCAGTCTTCTTAGGTGTATTTTACCACAGAAACAATCTCAAAATGATGTATAAGGCAAGTAAACACACTACCTTAAGAAGACAAGGATTAGTAAAATAAAGTTAAACATTAATTCTTGTTTAAAAAATATCTAACATCAGAAACCACCTTACCGCCGTATAGACTTGCTAAAATGTACAGTTCTCACCACATTAACTAACCACTCTGACTTTTCCACAAAGAAACCATAAAATGGACACTGAAATGTCAAATTAGATGTGATCAAGAGAGCAATACTTCAGTTTTAGTTGCTTCTTCCTACTACATTTAAGCCAATACAATTTAAGATATAATCTGTTATTCAAGTACTTATGGCACAGTATGCACATTACTTTTACTTACCAAGTCATATATCTGGTTTGCCAACTGAACCTTCTCATCTGCATCTTCCAAAGCTTTATAGTAGTCCTGAATGAAAACATTTTCATTTCAAAAATAAATTAATCATTTTAAAATATTCATATGCAGGACATACAACTGCATTTTCATTATCATATCTTGTTATCACAGTCATCCTACCTTAGTAATAAAAAACCTGTTAGAGGCCAGGGGCAGTGGCTCACGCCTGTAATCCCTTTTGGAGGCCAAGGAGGACGGATGACTTGAGGTCAGGAGTTTGGGACCAGCCTGGCCAACATGACAAAACCTCATCTCTACTAAAAATACAAAAATTAGCCGGGCATGGTAGTGGGCGCCTGTAATCCCAGCTACTCAGGAGGTTGAGGCACAAGAAGTGCTTGAACCGGGAGCCAGAGGTTGCAGTGAGCCGAGATTGGGCCACTGCACTCCAGCTTGGACAACAGAGCGAGACTCTGTCTCAAAAAAACAAAAAACAAAACAAAACAAAAACCTGTTAGAAATAGGGTGGGGATGGTATAGGATTAGAAACTATGCACAATGGCCAAGAGTAAAAGGGAGATGTTCAGAATTTCTAGAAAGGATATAATTAAAAGTAAATGCCATTGTAAGTCTAGAAAAAGCTATATGAGTTAATGAACAGTATTTAAAATAAAAAGTTAACTAAAATTGATCTAACTTGTAAAGTACATTTGCATTCCATTAAAAAATTTTTGTTAAAGTTCAGCTATTGAAAGGATTCTGATCTGCATTTCCCCATTTTCCAGTTGTTCTATAACTCCCACTTTAAATTAGGTATATATTCATACAACTCAATCTGTATTTTAGATTTTGCCTCAACTTATTAAATTTTTTTTTAAAAAAGAGGGGGAAAGAAGATGATACTATGAATTTCCATGGAGTACTAGACTTTTCAGGGTATACTTAAGGTGCACTCCACAGGTTAAAGAAATGATTAGTGACTCTGGGATGTGGATATAACATGTCTTTACTCACAAACACATGTCCCTCCAGGTATCTTCCAAGCTAGGACCACTTCTGTTATAGATTATGATTTTTTTTTTTCCTAAGAGAAACAATCTTCCCTCCATGTGGTAGAATAAATAACATATCATAACAGAACTACTCAATTTGTAGTTTCCAAATTTCTTCCTTAGTGGACCCTTTTTTTTTTTTGAGACGGAGTCTCACTCTGTCACTCTGTTGCCCAGGCTGTAGTGCAGTGGCGCGATCTAGGCTCACTGCAACCTCCACCTCCTGGGTTCAAGTGATTCTCCTGTCTCAGTCTCTCGAGTAGCTGGGATCACAGGCGCCCACCACCACGCCCAGCTAATTTTTGTATTTTTAGTAGAGACGAGGTTTCACCAGGTTGGCCAGGCTGGTCTCGAACTCCTGACCTCAGGTGATCCACCCGCCTCAGCCTCTCAAAGTGCTAGGATTATGGGTGTGAGCCACCACGCCAGGCCTCTTAGTTGATCCTTGAACAATTCTATGAACATTGGGTTTAGGAAGGCATTATTATTCAGAAATATTAAGATTTAATGTCACACAGCTAAATAGCAGAATCATGACCAAACTCAAGTCTTTTAAGTTGTTTTTCCAATGTATCCATCCCTAAATGAACTCAATCATACTTTCAAAGCAAACTTTGAGATGTACGTGTATACTCATTCAATTCTGGAAGACAGCTATAGCCACTATAAAACTAACAAAACCTCAAAGAATTCTATGTTTCCAGACCAATTCGTGTGCAAATTTAGAGTTTAAACTAGAAGGCTTTCTTAAATTCCTTCTAACTTTTAAGATTTCGTTCTTCTGTGGGTCCACTAATTTAAGTACCTAGCAATATATAAAATATTCTTCAAGGTCTGCTCATGTTTATTTACCTAGTTTGTGGCCAAAACTGGAATACAGTACTCTATCTCAACTAGAATAAAACAAACTAATAGAAAAAAAAGTAACTTTTAAATGGTCTGTCACTTTCTAATACTCAGTAATTATTGAAACAATATTTTTAATTACCAAAACGCTTTAATGACTAAAAATCCCTATCTGAAGCTCTAAACCACAATAAATTATTTATATTCTAAGGAGTCATTGATAATATTCTCTCATTTTGATATCCAGACCACTATTTAATTTTGAAATATCTTTTTCAGAGGGTCCCAATATTTCTTGATAAATTATCCAAAGTGTTGCACATACTTTTTTGATGGATGCCATTTGCTCTTCCCTCCACTCAGGTTTATTTTTCTTTGCATTCATAAAGAATTCACTGACTCTTTGTTCTAGTTGATCCATTGCATCTATGACATAATAAAAAAAATTCATATTAAATGACCAAATTCATATACTAAATATACATGGTTTGATTTAGGGAGGGAAAAAATCTGACAATACACACTCTTTCACCTTGCCAGTAACTTAAATATGTTATGCTTTGATTGTGTAAATATATAATGCCTCAATTATCTTCCTTTAAAAAGTTACAATTTTCCTTATTGACAGATTATTTTTGTTTTTGTTACTTCAAAATTTTTTCCAACAGCCAAAGTAGATAGGCTCTATACTATAATTTTTGAGCAATAAAGCCTTTAGGTCAAAAGCTAATGGTATTAAATCAGACAAATGTACCGAAACACAATTAAAACACCATTAGATAATCCTCACATTTCTTTTAACAAGAAAAAGTGATAAAAATATTTGGTATATGGCATTAAACATCTCATCATGTCATATCCCAACTGAAAGTAGTAGGTACAATCATTTAAACATTAATTCTAGGTAAGTTTTCCCCAAATTATATGCCAAGACTAATCATCTCATTGGATGTCTGCTAAAAAAAAAAAGGAAAAATTAATAAAAAAGATTCTGTTGTTATGTAAGTTGAGAAAAATCTTTTCATAATATACTTCTTTTGGAGATTTCCAGTCCACAATAGCCTTTTAAAGACTCTATGAAGTCCTATGGTTAATTTTTTAGAAGTATGTTCCTTTGTTTAAATAAGCATTTCTGAATTTATTTGGCACACAGTTCTGTTAATCCATAATACCTATTAACTTTAGAAAATTCTAGTTACTGTAAAGAAATGCACGTTTAAAAAGCCTGTAATATGTATAATGTAAGCCCAAATTACAAGAGAATTTAAAATTTTAAACAATAAAATATAAAAATAATTTAAAGTAAGTTACCCTTTATTTAATGCCTACTTTGTATCAGATACTAGAAATTCTAATCCATGTGTAACATTTTAAATCCTTGGATGATTCTCTTTTTATAGACAATGTAAGCCCCTCACAAGTGATAATACAGTCAGAGTCAATGAGTAAATTAGTAAAGCCCTAAAACAAACTCAGATCTGACATCAATGTCTGTGCTCAGTCCTGCAGAGAACACTACTTCAGCAAATCTTCAGCATTTCAACTACACTAAAATTAAAATGAATTTGTGAGATAGCTGGAGAACCACACACACAATTCATACTTCATATCACAATCCACTGAACAGAAAGTGGCTTCCATGCCACCACTTTTTATTATGTGCCACCTGAAACTTACCGGAAAAATATACTCATAAGCAAAGGGTATAGAAGTGGGTGTGTGGTCATGGGCAGAGAAGCCAGGAGCAGTGAAAAGGACAGGTTCTTAGCTGCAGCAGGTGGTCCCTGAGCCACCTATTTATAGTCGTTGCTCTATGAAAGAGCAAAGTTAATTTGGGGAAAAAGTCCTAGAGACTACCAAGCTATCACTGAAAGAAAAAGAAATGTTCATTAACTGCTAAAATTTTTAGTACAGCACATAAGAAACTTTACAGTGAAATCTAATTTCTGTCACTCATTTTAACCAAGAAAATGACGATTCTGTTACAATTTAAAATGTATCTAATGTGTAACTAAGTTTTCAAAATTTGACATTTGCCATGGTCTCTAAAGAGCTATATATAACCTCTGCTTCTGTGCTTTCCACTCTTGAAAAACTGTGAATAGGATGAACTTTAAAATAAGTATAAATGCTGAAATCTAAGTTCGATACGAAAAGGCTCAAGACGACATCTCAACATTTATTATGCTGACGTCCATTGAAACATAGATAACTATGTCAATGACGGTAGAGAAATATTTTTTGCACAATCCCACATTCTAGAAAGGAATACACGTGTCCCAATGCCTCCTGCTCTTGCAAAAGCCAGAAAAAAGTAGCATGGGAGGGAAGGGGAAGGCGAGATTCAGGGCTGCCAGTTCTTTTTGACAACTCCTTATGCACTAGCGGAGTGAGCCAGAGGACAGTGAAAGAGCACTAGGCGCTAGCAGTGATGACAAGCAAGTCTGGCACTGAACGCGCGCAGCGAACAGGAGTAGTAGACGCGCCGACTTACTCTGCACCTGCAGGTCCATCTCGCGCATTTCCGTGAAGCGGTCCCGCAGATCCATAGGAAGCTGCTCAATCACTGTCAAAGGGAGAGTCCGTCAGAGGGGCGGGGCCAACGGCGAAATACGCGCTTACGTCACTGCGCGCGTGCGTCAGGGGGGTCGAGGGGGCCGGCAGCCCACAACGAGGCTGCCAGTTACCGTGAGAAAGAAACATCCCCCGCCGCCCCCTCCCTCCCGCCATCTCGCTGCCCGTCCACTCGCGCTCTTGCCCGCCCGCACGTCCCACTGGCGGCCGCCGCCAGCGCCGCGCACTCACTTTCCAGATAGTCTTCTAGGTACAACATCGCGGCCCTTAGAGCTGAGGGAACAAGGGGGTCCAGGGGTTTATTTGTGTCACTCGCTGTCGCCGGAGTTTTGTCCCCTCCAATATGGCGCCTCCGCTAGCAGCACCCGCTCGACTCCGGCAAAAAAAAAAAAAGAAAAAAAAAAAAACCACTTTGGCGCCTGAGGCGCTTGCCTCACTGCCGCCCGGAGCTGCTATTGGTTGGTTCAAGCAATGACGTAGCCCGGCCGGTGTTCGCCCCCGTGCCTCTGTGGGAAATGTAGTTTTCTTCCTCCTCAGCGAGGGTTGGCGCGCTGGCGGCTCCCCTCGCAGAAACTACGAATACCGGGCGCCATTGCAAACAGTGCGTAACAGAATCCGAAATGCGGTGCCTCTGTTTATTTGTTGATTTTTGCACAGAGAATGGCGGGAGTTGTATGCACCTGCATAACACAACTAGGAACAACTTTTCACCTGTTCTTTGATGTGATTCCATGCCCCGGCGTTTGTGAGTTATGGGTTTCAAGAAGTGCCAGGCAAATAGCAAAGGTTCTAAACACTAGAATAATCAGCAAAGTTCGGGGAATTTGGATTGCTTAAAATAGAACTCTCTACTGGAATTTATCCTCATTATTCACTCTAAAATATAAAAGAGACACCTGGTTGGCTTACGTGTAATTTTAAAATAGTTTATACTGAGACTATGGAGTGAATATACATTTCCCAGATTAAAAGATGCACAAATAGTGTCAGTAGCCACTTATATATTCTAGTTTGCGGTCCATCTAATCGTCATTCTAATGTAATTGATCTATACATACAATCTGCATCCGCAAATAATAATAATAATAATCTTCATCATCACAGTGAGCAGCCATGAATTACGGATGCAGCCTTGATTTCTAATAGGCTGTTAATAGCAGTAACTTTATGTTGAGTAAATAGTCCATATTCGAGGTTGGTTGTCTTCGGCGTTCTTTAGTTTCTACTTTTCGACCTCTCCCAGCAAATGTTTTCCTGTGATATATTTAGTACGTCCCTACTCAGTTTCTTTTTAAATTGTTTTTTATTAAAAACTCTTGCACTCAATAAATGCTAGATATTGTTATTTTCCACTCTTCTTAACTTTTCGATTTTCTGGGGAAATTGTCATTAGTTCATAATTTATTGTTCATTTTCTGTTTTTCAAATTGCAGTTGAAACTGTGTGTGTGTGTTTCTTGCTTTCCTTCTCCATTACATACTCTTGTACTCAAGGTTTTCACTGCTCTTAAGCAGGAAACTTTCCTGTCGTGAATGATGAATCATGATGAATCTCAACGGAACCTTACTTCGATCCTAATAAGAATTAGAATTTTATAGTTTCTAGTTAAGTTTTTCATTACTTCCATCGAAAATCAAGTACTTTCGATCTTTTTCTCCCTTCTTTTTTTCCTCCTTTCTTCGTTTCCCATCCTTCCTTCTTCTGGCTGCTTTTAACATCTCTTTGACATCTTTTTGCAGTTTTGTAGTGATCTAAGTCTGAATTCCTTCCTTATTCCCTTTTCTTTCCTTAAAATTTTAAAATTATGCTTAGGATTTGAGGGGATTCCTGAATTTCAGGATTGGTGCCCTGCAACAATTCTAGAAAATTCTCAGCGTTTGTCTTTTCAGTATTGCTTATTTCTCATTTTTTCCATTAAGACTTTCTCTCTTTATTCTCTTATTTATCTTAATCTTTCTTTTATATGTTTTATTTTAGAATTTTCATAATTTTTCAGGTTTGGAAGTTCTATTCGGTTCTCTTTTCAAGACATCTTATAATTTCTTATACAAATTATTTAGTCTGTATCTTGTTTCTGTTAAACCTAATATTGAAACATTTATGGGCCTTTTAGTGCTATTTCTTCAGAAATGGGCACTTTTACTCATGGTGGCTTTTTCCTGTTGGGTTGCGATTTTGGACTCTGAATTCCTGTTTCTGGGATTACAAGCATAAGGATTCTTTGAGCTGGAGTTGAAATTGAGTTTTCATGGAGAGCATTAGAATTTGCTTGTCAGTTTGTTTGGAGACATCATAAACCCCTAGGACCAGATTAAATTGTCCCCTTGAGGTTTATTGTATTGCACAGATAGATTGAATTTGGGCCTCTATCCCAAATGGATTGTTACAGATTCTCAGAGGAGAATTTTTTTTTCTTTCTTTACTGGGCTCCAAGGCCAAGACAGACATGTTTCATTACTGGCCTATTCTGTGCATGAGGCTTATATGTCATTTACCCTTACATGGAGAGTATAGTCCATTGGGGCCCCAGATTTTTGTCTGCTGTAAGACTCTTCCTTTTAAACTGATACTTGGGTTTATCTTCTGACCCTGGCATGCTGCACAGCTATTAAAGTAAGAGCTCTAGGTGTCCAGAACTTGACAGATAGTCTCTGAACAAAAGCCTACTTTGGCTTGCACTTATTTCTCAGGATATTTTCATTTTCCTTCTTTTTCCCCTTTTATATTCGTTCTGAAAATTCCTTAATTTCCTACTAGTTCATCAGTGTATTTTTTTAAATCTAGCACTTTTAGTTGTTTTTGCCAGGTGGCTCTTTCAGAGTAGCTAAAATGGTATGCTATCATGAATAGAAGTACATCATTTCAGTGTAAACTGAGCTTCCTCAGGGAGTGTTCCATATTAAGGGAAATGAGATAATAAATCATTCCCAATTCAGTCAGTATAAATACACACTCCACAGAAACCAAAAATAAAACTTACACACTGTATATTTTAGTTAAATAATGTAACTCTTATTGTTGGAACATGTATCAGCTGAGCTGCAACAATTATGTTTGCATAGGCTTGTGATAACTTCTTACATAATTAGGTCATACAGTAGATACCATTTTTGAGTGGCTGCCTACTTAAAACCAATACTGCATTTCCAGGGAGTGCCCCTCATATGGATTGACCATGTCTGTATCAAAACTCATTAATTTATCAGGGATTCACCAAAGCTGGACCTATCAGATGCATTTTCTTATGATTTGAAATTGGGAATGAAAAGACACAGAGACTGGCAACCTTACAGAAGTACAGGACAGTAAATACATGGCCCACAAACTCCTGCTGGTGAGAGCCCCCAGAGAAGCTCTACTTTTTCCCTTGCCTTTCCCCTCTTTCTTTGTCAGTTTCTCTAACGCTAGTTGTATAAACTTGAGAAAGTAATTTTAACACTCTGTGCCTTTGTTTCCTGATCTGTCAATGGGAAATAGAAACAGTAGCAGAATCATAGGAGTGTGGGTTGAAGTATTTTCTATGCAAAACACTTATATTAATGCCATATGAATGTTATGATTCAATAAATGTCAGCTGCTATTACCATGATTATTAATATCACATGTGTCCTCCTAAGTTACTCTTATTGCAGATATTCCTTTTTGCTGCTGTTAGTTCCACCTTGTGCCCCTGCTTCTCTTAAGGCTGGACATCACCAGAACTCTAGTATTATCTCACCTACAGGTGTGATTCTGCCACTGTCATACTAAATTCAAGGGAGAAATCAAGCCAGGAAGGCTGTGTAAGACTACTGCAGTCGGCTGGGCACAGTGGCTCATGCCTGTAATCCTGGCACTTTGGGAGGCCAAGGCGGGCAGATCACAAGGTCAGGAGATCGAGACCATCCTGGCTAACACGGTGAAACCCCGTCTCTACTAAAAGTACAAAAAATTATCTGGGCATGGTGGTGGGTACCTATAGTCCCAGCTACTCTGGAGGCTGAGGCAGGAGAATGGCGTGAACCTGGGAGGGCGGAGCTTGCAGTGAGCCGAGATCGCACCACTGCGCTACAGCCTGGACAACAAAGCCAGACTCTTGTCTTAAAAAAAAAAAAAAAAGACTACTGCAGTTAAGGCTACTAGGTAAATAAAAATAGAAGGAATTAAAATTTAGGGATAAGATTGAAAAGTAGATACAGAATATGACTGTTTACCAGAGTCTAAGACAAGGGGAAATTTAAATCCCTCACATAGCATGTTTCTCGAGGAACCCTTGCTTGAAGTCTTAAGGTTCTAACACTTCCCTATCTTACAAAGAAAATTACCATCTTGAAACCTATTAAAACTTTGAAGTGAAATTTTTTAAACTTTGCACCAGGCAGTGTGCATCATCCCTGTGATGTGGAAAGAAAGAAGAGTAAAATGCTGTCATGACGTAAACCTACTTTTACATCTTTGAAAGTCATCGAGTCACTCACTGGATTGGTTATAAGCAGCATCAATATGATGGTAGTCTTCCGTCTACACACCTGTGGATGTTTTCAGCCTTTCCCCTCTCCCCTAATATCTACTAAAGAAACCTCTTTATGAAAGTTCTAATTTCCTGGGCTGGCTGCTGGGTGTTGGTGGTGGAGAATCTGGAGTAAAAGAGGAGAGAGAGGAAGAAGGCAAGTGTCTAATGGGAGGATAGTTAAGGAGGTTTTGCCAAGGGGACTTCTCTCTATGCGTTCAGTGGATGGTAGAGGGACAATACTGAGATAGATGGTGGGTTACTGGATACAAAGCCATCACAAAACCATTCCCTCAAAACAAATAGAAATTCTGGATGAAATGTAAGGATAACACTTAAAACAGAGAATGAAATCTCCAGGTAGCAGAAATAAGAGCAAACTCAAAGTTGGTGTAGAGAATAAGAGCTTAAGCTGAAAGAACTTGAGAGTTTATGGGCTTTAATTGTTGGGTTCTGACTGTGTAAAGATATCACAAGCCTCAGGTACTATGCTTGCAGGGAGCTAACGCTAACCATCTTGTAATAAACCAGTAATCATGAAGGGTTACTCCTATGAAGTTGCCTGGGGAAACAACAATAAAGCTTTCTGACCATCCACCTGAGATCATGGGTGAAAAGGCAACCCAGAGGAATTTAGACCTCAAACTTGTACCATGCATGGGTGTGGAATCCAAATTCAGACTCCACACAAGGTGCAGAGACCCTTTAAACAAGACAGTAAAAATTGGTCTGGTCTGGCAAAAGATGAGGGGCCCCCCAGAGAGGCAAATACAATAATATATAATAATATCCTTTAGGGATGTTCCTCGTCCTAGGACACAAAGAGGAGCAACTGTTGATGGTGAGCTCACATTGAAACATTGCAAAACACTGAAAGAAAAGAAGACGTGAATAAATTGTTGCAGATAGAATAAAAAGGAATTCTACAAATGTGAGTACTGGAAGTCATGACTGATGAAATTAACCCAGGATGTAGAACAAACAAGAAAAATAAAAATAAAAAATGTAACAATTGGAGAATCAATTTGAAATTTCCAATACCTGATTCAGAGGAGTTCCAGAAGGAGAGAATAGGAAAAAAAGTGGAGGCACACATGAGTACATATTCTAGGATGACATTTAGATGAAGTTTCTGAGTAGGTAAAAGTAATCTATGATGATAGAAATAGGAGAGTGGCCACCTCTAGGAAAAGTAGAGTGATTAACTCATCTTCGAGCCCTTGGCTGATAGGGATTGTTTCTTATGCACTGCTCTGTTACAAGCTTGCAGAAGACACTGAGTTCATATTTGTTGCATGAATAAGGAATGTAGGATTGGGTGGTTACGGGCTTTTTAATCATACCTGAGTTTGACTCCTGTCTCTGTTATTTACTCATATGACCTGAGCCAAGTTACTCAAAGTCCCTAAATTGTTTTTTCATTCATGAAATGAGAGTAAGAAAGGACACTTGCATTGTAGGATTGTGACAAGTCTCAAAGGAGACAGTGTTTAAGAGTACCTAGCGCAGTGTCCAGCACATAAATGTAATCAGGAAAAACATTATTTGTAGAATTGACAGTACAGAGATAAATGATCTGGTAAGTGCCATGCCAAGGGCACTGCAGTCGAAGCAGTCACCCCAGAGAAGGCAAATAAAGGGATGTATTGTCGTTAGAGGATTTAAAAACAATAATAAAACTGACTTTTACAGCCTGCTTTTTATTACCACCATGTGCCAGCAATTCTAAACAATGTCAGTGATGAAATATTTCTCCTGGAAAAAACATTCTGATAGTCTAAGGTCTAAACATTAGCTTCAGTTTTGGTGAAATTTTAATAAGTGAGACATTACGTAAATAGTTGATTAGAAATAAAAGACAAGATACACTTGAGTTCTTTCAGTTGTATATGATCACTTGGAGTTTTTATTTGTATTTTAAATTTAAAATAGTGAAACTGAACTGCTAGGTGTAGTATTTTTGGATTTTTTTGTTTACTAAATGCAAATTTTAGTTTAAATGTGAAACACATTACTGAATTGAATATTTTGAAAATGGAAATGTATTATTTTAGGATTGTTATTCTACTTGTTTTTTATTTAATTGCTATAACATTTTAATGTAGTGACTCATTAGTGTAACAGGCCATTGTTTCTTTCCAAAAAAATGCTTAAATCTAATTAAAAAGATTAATCATTACTTTTTTCTTCAATGCTATTAATTGTTAATTATTCACTACAAGGATGATTATATGATGAAGTTTGAGAAAAAGAAAATTTGCCTTTTCTGAATTTATTTTGTTCATTATCATTATTCATTTAATTTCATGATTATTTCTGAAAAATAATATTTTATAGAGGAGGGGCATATTAAAATTAAATGATTCAGGTGCAGGATATGCTAGGTAAGTATATTTAAATACTTCTTACAGGATAAATATATTTATACACAATGGCATAATTGTCTGTAACTATTTCCCCAGGTTTGATTTTGAAAGACTTAGGCTCTCTAGCATTCATTTTTGTGAGTCTGGTAATGTAAATATAAATTACCAAGCATCTTCTCTTTGTAACACAATATGAAAATATTTCAGTGACTATAAGGATTTTTTACACTGCTGGAAATGCTCCAGAGATTTTCCTTGTCTTCTCTCCAGTATCACACAGGTACTCTATGATACTGACAAGAAGTGGTGTTTGGAAAATTTTAGCTTTTTTCTTATTTTGATTTTTTACCTTGTCTTCAATGAATCCAAATAAGTAGAGTCTTAGGAATACTTATTTTGCTAGTAGGGTAAAAAGTATTTTTCTAAAGTAGGTTAAAGTATTCTTACCATTGAGGAAATAGAGTCTAGAAGTATGACAATATAGTGCTTTTTTACACTCTGTCCATGAATATCTTATGAGACTTACTACATTGTAGTCTACAGCCTGCATTTCCAACTAATTTGGAATTTTTCAAGGGCAGAGACCATGTTTTATTCATCTGTTGATCCACAGATCTGGCAGGTAATATGAGTTCAATAAAGATGTGATGAATTATTGAATGAACGAATGCATGAGTATTAAGCACTAGTTCATAAGATTCCAAGTTCAGAATAGAGAGGGCAACATAAAGTTGTCATGATTGTTAACCATTAAGCTCTGTGAAGAAAATGGGATTCCAATTGTCATCCAAGTAGCTGGACTGGAATGCTGAGAAGAATATTCTAAATAGAATTCTTTGAAGAATTCTCAAATACAGAAGTAGGTCAACCCCCTTCACAGTGATTTTTAATTAGGCTAACCTAAAAGGATAGGCAGAGGGAAAATGAAAGTAATATGGTAATTCATGAAGCTCTTTATTTTTTAAAAAACTCTTTGAAGTTGTAAATATTAACATAGCCTAATAAATAAGACATCTAGGGAATTTGAGAAATAATATTACTACAGTCTATTTCAGTAAATGCTTACTGAACAACAAATACCAATAATACAAAACATGACCAAGACACAGTCCCTGTTCTTGCAGAACATATAACATTTTAGGACAAATAGATGGTTCAGGAAATGATTTAAACATAATGTAATAGATGCTATGATATGGTGAAATTTTGAGGAAGGGACTAGATGATTCATCAAGAGGAATTTACATAAATTTTATTGAGATATGGTAGAGTTTTTTTAATGGATAATGACCATATTGATTTAGCAAAGGGAAAAAGTGATAGAGACCAATATAAAGATGCAATACATAAAATATCTACAGGTCAGACTTTGTAGTCATTAAATACCATGTTTTTGATTACTAACTATATGTTAATATGCGGTATGCACAGGGATGCTAATCAGAATATTTACACTGGTACAACCCTAACCAGTTGTTAAAATGTTGAGATGCTTCTAAATAGCAGCTGCTCTGAGCCACTGCAGTGTCTCATATCACCCTGTCTGCGCTGACCCTTCCTATGAGACTTTCTGGGCCTCTCATTATGTAGCTCCCATGGAGTTAAAACATGGCACCCCAGAACTTTGCATCAATAAGGCCAGCCTCTGCTATATGATTTGCTAATTATTTTGGATATCATTCCTGGATACATTATGAAGTGAAACATACATTATGTCACAACACTGTGTGACATATGATAGTACTTTTGAAAAAAAAAGGTATATGTGGATAGATAGATACATGAGACATATTTATAATTTAGGCTTCATCTACATTTTAGAAGTTAACAATAGTTATTTCTGAATGATGGTGGAATTTTAGGTGATTGTATTTTATCTACTTCTATATTTTTCAAACTTTAAAATTGTTTTATAATCAGAAATATATTGTACGCACACAAACACGAAATGAAAGCAATGGGATTGACAACCTATGTGGTGTTTTGTGTCTTGAAATTTTTTTAAGTTCTAAAAAAATTGGTCCAATATTTTGCAACTATTCTTAAAACTATTTTATTCTCAAAAGACTTTCATGCTGGGTTAATATTGCTGTCAGGGTCCAGATGGTGTCCAAGTGTCAAAATAGGAAGCCAAGTCATTAAGCAAATGAAGCATTTAGGATTCTGAGTCCTATTACCGGCCTTGGGTCAGACGCATAAAGGTCAGGGATCTGGGGGAAGCAGATACACAAATAGGAAATGAGGTTAAAAACATGTGGAGGAAAGAATTAGTTGCCAAGACAAATCCTGGAACATGGGGCAACATTCAGAATGCTAGGTTAAGGTCATCTGAGGTAGCAGAAATAGCGTAATTCAGGTTTTGGAATTAAGTAATTGTAGAGACAGGAGTCTGTTTTGGATGCCAGGTGAAGTCCTGTTTGTTGCACATAATCACCCTGGGATGATTGTGTGATGATGGCAGGAGAAGATGTTACTAAGAGGATAGCACCATCAGTGTTTTGGTATCATTTGAGTAGCTTAGTCATCTAGTTCAACATGTGAGGGTGTGTTTTCAGAACTAAATTGATGGAGTAAACAAGTAATTCTGTGTGCCATCCAGGTATAGCTTATAAGTGGATCCATGGGAACAGATAACATTGTTTGATGCCTAGGGCTTTGATTTGTAATGAAACCGAATTACAGATAGAACTGCTAACCTATAGATCAGTGGTTCTCAACCAGGAGTGATTTTGCCCTTCAGTGGATATTTGGCAATGTCTGGAGACATTTTAGTTGTCATAACTTGGGGAAGTACTACTGGCATCTTGTAAGTAGAGGCCAGAGATGCTGCCAAAATGTCTTACAATACACAGTACAGCCACCTGCAACAAATAATTATCAGGACCCAGAATGTCAATAATAATGAGATTAAGAAACTCTGCTGCAGATTGATATTATAGCTGAAGAATACTCAACATTCTTGGGTTAGTGTTCCGTGCCTATCAGTCACATTGTCATTTCCTTAATCAATGTTGGTTTGAGAAAATTGTACAGTAGAGGGCAGTGATAAACAAATTTTTGTGTTATATTATCATTTGTCCTCCATAGATTTTTTTTCCCTTTTTCTACTTCTCCAATTTCTAAAACAAAAATAATAGTAGATGCAAAACAATAAAACAAAATAATTTTGTATGTTTTAGGAAAAAACACATTTTATGCAAAGATGTATTAAAGATTTTAAAATACAAGTTCCACAGATACAGGAACCATGACTTTTTTACCTTCTTAAGGTATATCCTGAGTACTGATATCTCCGATGTTTTACTGTTTTTTTTGAAAGAAAAAAAACCAATTGTATATAAATATTGAGAAAGTAAAATATATCACCTAATACTAATGTATAGTTGATCATAGTTTTATTAGTAGCCTGTTCTAGTATTTTATTATCTTTATTTTTGTACTGCTGAGCCCAATACTCTTTACTATAATCATATGTTCTTTTGTAGTTGATTTTGTGAAAGTCAGAGGCATTTATTCTCCTTATATTAGTACTCTGTGTGCTTAAAGAACTTTTAAAGTGCATACTTAGTCTTTTTTCCAACTTATAAACTCATCAGAAAAAACAAAAAGTCAAAGGTAGTTTGATAGGCCATTTTAAAAAATTCAGTACTATTACCCTTACTCTTGGTTTATAAAAATATTATATTTATAGTAACAAATATCATGGTAAAAGACCAGTAATCTGAAATACTTATATTCTAAGTGGTCATTTAATTGTCCCCCCAATTTTATTATAAAATTAAGAATTGACAGATGATAGATATTTTTTCAGAGTAGTACATGAATGTAGTAACAAAGTAATAGTGTAAAAGAGCTTGTGGTAAAATGCAGCAGACTCCTGCCCTATTCGTCCTCATCTCCCTTCCGTTCCCTGGAGGTAATTACTATTTCTGTTTTACATTCTTCTGACAGTTGCCTTCAGAAGTCAAAATTATATGTTTATAACGTTCTTAATTTGTTAATTGTAGATGAGATACATTGCTTCTTCTATGATTTGTTATTTTATTGGTTACAATTTTAATGTTAATTATGTATGTATAATCCTACTACTAACTCTAACACAACACTAACTCCATGATTTTGAGACAGGCTCTCTTGACTCCTCCTCAGAAGATAAAGTTATTAGAGCGCCTAACTTTTGTCCTATCTTTATCTCCTCCCATTCAATTTTCTACCTCCTTTAACTATCCTTTTACATTGTCATGTTTGCTAATATGTTCTGCTCTGTAACAAGATTACCCTGGAGTCTTTATTGGGATGTCTATAGGATAACTCTAAAAGGTTAGAAATAAGTAACATTTATATCACTATGACTATATAATTTTTTTAATACTAAGGCAAAGAACCATTTCTTCTGGGGGTTTAATATTACAACTGTGGGGCAATTGAAGAAAAATGTTTTCAACACCGTTTTATGACACTCCATCACATGCTCAAAATCATGCCACTTTTTACTTTGTTTTATATTGGGACCATTAATTATTACTCATTTTCCCTCTGTTTTTGTAGTTTGTAATTTCTCTGTTTTTCTTTTGTTACATCCTCAGCTACCTTGTAATTCTCAATCATGCCATCTACTCCATTGTCTCCAAGAAAAAAAAATAAGTAATTGGTGTTGAATTTTGTCAGATGCTTTATCTAAATTTCATATATCGCATATGATTTTTCTCCTTTATTCGGATTAGGTGGTAAATTTTATTGATTGATTTTTGATGACTAAACCAATTTTGCGTTTCTGGGGGTAAACCCCACTTGGTTATACTATAGCAATACTTTTTATATACTAATGGATTTGAATTGCCAATATTTTGAGAATTTTTTGTGTCTGTGCTCATGAGGATTATTGATTATTGGCTGGTAGTTTTCTTTTCTAGTCTTTGCCTTCTCTGATTTAGGTATCAGTTATGTTGTCCTCAAGTGTGAAGGCTGTGAAGAATTAAAGATCAGGTGTTTGCTTTTAACATTGTGCTGGATAAGTTAAAAAATAACGGTGGAAAACTAAACTATTTTCTCAATGCATTCCCCAAATTTTTGTCTGACTGTGACAAAAAAAAATAATAATGTGTTGCAACCAGTAAACTTCAAACTAGATCCTATCGGTTGTAGGATTGTAGCATCAGAAAAATTCACAGCCCTACCATATCTCTTGTGTGAACACAATGCTTTTTTTTTCCATGAAAGTTTAGGACATGAAGAACAGAAATGTGGTCCTGTGAGAGGTTTTGGACAACTCAGAGACCCCAAATCTTCAAATATTTCTGAGCTTACACTGCCATAAAAATAAAAACACCTCTTTTTTTTTTTTTTTTTTTTTTTTTTTTAGAGAAGGCCAAATACAAAGTCAAACTTAAGATGAAAAGGTTAATGCACCCACATATGCAAGATTTTCTAACTTATATCAGCAAATAATAGGGAGAATGGAATTGTAAATGCATTGTGAAGATGCTCAACTAAGACAAGAGAAACAAGTTTAGGTTGGGCTGAATTTTTCCACGTGGGGGCATATGCCAGTGAATCTGGTTCTTGTAGGCTTAAGCAGTTGGAAGCAGTTCTGTTTGACTAGTTGACTAAATAAGTATTTAACGGTGGCCTGTATTTAATGGATTGAGGTGCCAAAAATTCCTTGGAGAGATGAACCCAAGACTTAGGGAGATAGGAAGCTTGGAATGAATTTATAAAATACTCTTCTTTCACCCTCCTCCTAATCACATCTGCTGAGTATGTCTGAAGACTTTCCCTTTATCAAGACACTGGGAAATGTATTTTGAGCACATCAGTAACTTTAAAAAATGTTCTAGGGGAACAACATTCTTTGTAGGCTAAGGAAGCTGGTAGAAGATGCTGCAGTTGGTATGAACTCTTTGATTGCAGCAGGGATGCTAGGATCCAAGATAGCATGGGCCAAATAGCCACATTTAACTACCGGGGCGAAGTGGGCTTAGTCCTCTTAATATCTCCATGGCCTGAGTGGTAATCTGAATGATCTGACCTTCAGTAATGTTCAGGGATTGATGGCTGAATGTTAATCAGGTTCATATAAATTAGTAGATGGACAACACACTAAGGCTGTCTTTATTCTCTCTAACCAAAAACTCGAGGTCTGGGGAGAACAGGATCTTAATTGGAACCACCATATTAGAATCTGAGACCTGAATTAGTTTATACATCTAGATTCCCTTTAATGATGGGGAGATTGATGCACTTGAAAAGGGACCTTGCATCATTGTAAGGCCATGCCATTAATTTTTTTTTCTAGCCTTCTCCAAAGACACAATTTACACTTAGGTGAAATATACCTACCTTTTCTGAGACTATTGGATACTGCTCTTAACTAATTGTTGCTTCCTGAGTACAAAGAATTCTACAGTTCACAGATGAATGTAGGTAGTTCTAGGATTCATGTGAGTAATGTAGTTTTCAAGGAACTCTGCCTCATAGTACACCTACTACTCCTCTGAACTCAGTCTTTGATAATTCATCAGTTCCTTAATGTAATGTTGAAATAGCTATTCACATACTGCGCAATTGGGAGAATCTCTGCTTTGAAACAATACTAGGAAAGGGCCAGTGGAAATTACTTTATCCTTCGAGCACTATCCAATTCTCAAGTGATAACACATTTCAGGAATACCAGAGAGATCAGTGCCACCATTAAACCTTGAAGACATCTGTCTAGTCCACACTGGACAAATCTACCATAATCTGTCTGTATGATTGTAGCAGTGTGCTACCTGGCCTTCCTGCCTCCCTCTTCCCCTTCCTCTTTACTATCCATTCTCTACATGAGTAGCACATAGTTATCCTCCTAAAAGGTATGTCAAATGACCTTTCTCCTCTCCTCACAACCCTCCAATGGTTTACCGTTTAAGTCACAGCAAAAGCCACGGTCCTTACAATGGCCCACAAGGCCCCAAATGACCTGACTTCCTGTCATCTCTCTGTTGTCATTTTCTTCTACTCCACCTCATTCACTGCACTATAGCCATGACAACCTCCTGACTCTTCCTTGAACACA
The DNA here is from genome assembly GCF_000001405.40 of Homo sapiens. NCBI lineage: Eukaryota > Metazoa > Chordata > Mammalia > Primates > Hominidae > Homo > Homo sapiens. The sequence continues at coordinate 120,937,246 of NC_000007.14, read as the reverse complement.
CCAGGCAGGTGTCTACCTAAGGACCTTTCTGTCAGCTGTTTCCTCCAGATATGTCTGCATGACTTGCTTCCTCCACTACAACTCTGTTGATATCAGTCAAATTACGTCCTTCTAAGTAAGATTTTCTCTAGCAACCCTATTTAAAATTTCAACATCCCCCCAATTCCTTGCCCAACCAAGTACTCCTGCTCTTTTCTTTATTACAGTCACTTAATGATGAGGAGACGTACTGAGAAATGAATTGTTAGGCGATTTTGTCATTGTGTGAACATCAGAATGTACTTATGCAAACATAGTTGATATAGCCTACTACACACTCAGGCTGTTCAGTATGTAGCCTATTGCTTCTATAGCATGTTACTGAACTGCATACTATAGGAAATTGTAATACAAATAACTAAGCAATAGGAATTTTTAGCTCCATTGTAACTATGAGACCACCATCGCATATGTGGTCTGTCATTGACCAAAATGCCATTATGTGGTCCATGATTTTATATATATATATATAATTTATTTGTAAGATAATAAGATTATATATGGTAAACATATTCATATATTTTATGTATAGAAAAATATACATATAAGATACAGATCTTATTTATATATAGCTATATCTTATACAACATATAAGATTAGACATATATCTTATTGATTTGTATTTTTGTCTTTTGCTCACTAGAATGTGAACTCCATGAGGACAGGGATTTTTATTTTATTAACTGTTGTACATAATTACTGAGAAGTGTATCTGGCATATATTAATAGCTCCATAATTATTTATTATGGAATAACGAGAAGCTTAGTGGTTCTGATATTTGTTCCATTGCCATTGAGCATAAGACATCTTTGCAAGAATGAAAGCAGACTTTCAAAGTTAAATTGTATGGTGATGCAAATTGCTACTATTGTTTCAGATGTGGTCTATTTATAGGAGCAAGTCAGCCCATACTCTGGGACCTGGTATGCAACTATTTATCTATGAAATGTTATTTTTTTTCTATATCCCAATAAGCCAGAACAGTGAAAAAAGGTGTCTTTCATCTAGAAGGGACAGCAGTGCACCTTTACTATCTTGCTTCCGCTCCATGCCATAGTTTAATCCCTCAGGACCTTGATCATTTCAGCGTTTTACTGGACATTACGCTGGCTCACTATATGGTAAAATAATGCTTCCAGGAGTGGATATAAAGAAGTTACAGATGTGAGTCTTTGTATATCAGACAACTTTGGTGAATTCTATCAGAGTTTCTGGCATCTGTTTATTTTTCCAAACTGCCTGAGATTTAACTGACATCACTTAGGCACAATCAGAGGGATGCCTTGTACCCTTGTCACACAGTGGGCTTCTTCCACTTTGTATCATGCAGTTCTGACCTCCAGCCTGTGCTTCATGTCTCCTACCTCCTGCTTCTGCTACATGATCACATCTATGCATGCACACCCTGCAGAAAAGTTAACACACTGTAGGGAAAATCTTTGACCACTGGAGAGTGGCAACCAATGAGTTTCTCCACCTCCCAGCCTACCCAGTGATTATCCAGAAATGTGCTCTAGATATACACTTCTTGAGGACAAGCAGTAGTACTAAAGAGTGGCCAGGTCAAAACGTCATCCTCTTATATTATCTGTGCCTTCTTCCCTCACACCCTTTTATTTTTTCACCTGTACTCTCTTGGATTTTATTGCCGAATAGTATAATTTCAAATAAGCCATAGGCTCCGTCATGGACTACTCCATCATGATTCCTGACACTTTCTTCTGCAGTAAAGTCAGATAAAAGGTGCATCATTGGGCTAGGCTGTAGCCATAAGAACTGAACAGAATGGAAGCAATGCTAATTATAAGAATTGTAGAGTGGGGCTGCTCTGCCTATGGGGTAGCCATTCTTTTGTTTCTTTACTTCTCTAGTAAATTTGCTTTCACTTAAAGAAAAGAAGAATTGTAGAGTGGGATGACCTGAGATAAGGAACTAGGCATACCAATTCATGGTTATGGTTTAATGATTTGACTAAATGATCTGGGACTTGGGAAAGGCAACGTTAGAGGATTGGTAACGAGGACTTTGGGGGAAATGATATGTATTAGACCCAATGTATGAGAATATTTGTGTCTCATATGAATGTTTACAAAAATACCTCCACAGAAAAATAGGCTTTCTTTAATCAGGTGAGCAAGATGCCCAACTCTGTGGATGTTGTCAGTTACTTTTCCTATTCAACCCTGAGGCTTGCTCAATGGACGTGTGGCAAGGGCAGAAGTTTTGCTTGAGCTCAACAGGAATTTTTCGTCATCCAGATTGACTTGGTAGCGTGATTACTATGTACCAGAAATAATAGCAACAGCAACTAATTATGCCCAGCTTGTGAATATGTTGGACATCTTCCAAGTTAGAAGGAGCAATTATATTTTCTTTAGTGGGATAAAGTCAGTTTTGATTCACTTTCCCTGCCACCATCTATGGATTGACTAAATATCTAATCACAGTCATTGTATCTGACTCAATAATTTATTTCACAGTGAAATAAATAAAGCAATGAGGTAATATTTATAGGATTCACAAGTCTTACCTTATAATAATCTCAAAAGAGTCTGCACTATGAATTGGTAGAATTTTCAAACTTAGATTTAGTGCCACTTGGGAGACACCTTATATGGTTGGTGTATTGTCTTATAGGATGCACTGTATATTTATATCTATATATTTGGAACTAGGAACCAATATATAGAACTGCTTGTCTAGTACCCAGAATGTATTGAGTCCTAGAATGTAAGAATTCAAATGAGAGTGATGTGCTTCCCAAATATTTGATTTCCAATCCTGTGATTTTGCTGGTTTAGATATAGCAATTTATAAGACCTGAATTGTTTCCTTTTTTGTTAGAGGGTGAACTTGCTTTCATTATATGAGGAATAGTGGCATTATGTTGCATTATGTTAAGTTGTTTTTGTTGATGAGTTTTCAGAAGTTTCAGTTTGATAAAGGTATGTGTTAGTGCTGAGAAGCTAATGCAGTGGGCTGTGGTGAGTATTTGTCGTATTTTTGAGCTGTTATGAAATACAGTCTCTAGGTTTGGGGAGTTCTTTATCTTACAGGAACAAAGGCCAGGTAGATTATTGCTTTCCCAGATTTCTTTAAAGCATGCCTTAATTCTTTCAGGCTGCAATAACACAACACCACAGAGTGAGTAATTTATAAACAACAGACATTTATTTCTTACAGTTCTGGAGACTAGAAAGTCCAAGACCAAAGCACTAGTAAATCCTCATAGGGTATAAAGGGCAAACCAGATCCTTTAGTCCTCTTTATAAAGGCAATAATCCCCTCATAAGGGCTTCACCCTCATGACCTAATCACCTCTTAAAGACCCCACCTCTTAATGCTATTGCACTGGGGATTTGATTTTAGTATATGAGTTTGTGAGTGGGGTGGGGCACAAACATTGAGACTATGGCACAGCATGTGACCTCAGCTCTCCCAATCAGATGGACTCACAGGAGACTGAATCAGAAACTGATGAGGAAGCTGGCATCATGAGAAATTCATTCTAAGAGTGGCAGCGTTCACATCCAGAGCAGAGCTGATGGTACAAGTTGCAATTTCCATATTTAGCAGTGATAACTGTGTGTTCAGTTCAGTGCTGTGTTTTTTTAATGTGGCTCTTGGCTGTGGAGCTTCTAAGCCTAGTTTATGAGTCCTGCTGGAGGGTTAATGAGCTTCCTGATGTCTTCTGATAAAATGTATAAACTGCCTGAATTGATTAAACATAGAATCTATTTGTTTTAACCAAAAAACTATTGAAAACAATTTTCTTTTTCATGTTATTTGATTATTCTTTCTTCAAATTCTTGAGTTCAATACATAGTTCATTTATTTTTATTCATTCTTAAGTAATTATGTATGTTTTGTTGTCATTAGTATATATTCCAAATATTCTAAAATTTTGGTTTTGACATTATTTCACTCTATGATTGCTTAACTAGAATTTTGAATTTCTAGGTAGTTGTGAAGATTTTTCTGTATATTTTTTGAATTCTAATTTTATTGCCTGTGATCAGGTAATGTGTTCTGTGCTGTTTCTATAATTTAGAGTTTATTCAGTTCTGTGGCTTAACATATGGTCAATTTTCCTAAAAGCTTAAAGTAATTTTTGGAAAGTTACTTTATATATATTTTGAGGATACTGTATTCAATGTCTACCTAAAAGTCTTACAATGTTGTTACTTGGGGCCTTTACATCCTAACTTATTTTTATCTCTTATTTAATCTATCATACTCTGAGCTAGGTATTATTGTTTTTCTGTATCTATTTTTACTTTCTGCAGCTTAGCCATTTTGAATTTTGAAGCTGTTATTTGATGCATAAAGATCTTTGAGAGAGATCTTTGTGGCTTACATTATCATTTTAAAGTATTCACTTTTTTCTTTAATGCCTTTTGCTTTGATTTCATAACTGCCTGATACTAATTTTACAAACTCAACATTTTTCATGATTAGTATTTTTTTTTTTGCCCTTTACCCTTGAGTCCTTTTATTTTTAAATATGTCTCTTGTATCTGATTGTATATTGTATCTGTATATTGTATATTGTAACTTATTTTTCAAGGTCAGTATTTTTTGCCCTTTACCTTCAATCTCCCTAGAGATCATTTTATTTTAAATATGTCTCTTGTATCTGATCGCATATTGTATATTATATCTCTATGTTGTATATTGTAACTGATTTTATAGCCAATCTAATAGATTAATGTATTAGATTTCACTTATGATATGACAATTACATTGAGATTTAGTTCTAACTTCATACCATTTTCTGTTTTTGATGTTTCATTTGTTTTCTATAATTTGCCAAGAAATAAATATTTAGAGCACAATTTCAAGAAGCATAAATTATTTAAGGATTTTTTTCTCCCTTGTCGTCAGTTGCAGCAATTACTGTTTAACATAAACTCTGTCTTTCCCTTCTAAATTAAGGACAACTCTTGCCATGAAACTTTCTTAGTGTCAAATCCCCACAATCATGTACAGTCTCCCTAGATTCCTAACTCCAGCTTTTGTTTCAGCATTTTGGACACTTTTTGTTAACGATGATATATCAAATATAATACATCATTTTCTCTTGTGAGGGTTCCTAACTAATTTCTCTTCATAGGAGAAACTGATTTCTTTCTCACTCGCATTTACAGTGCTTTCTACTTTAAAGCCAAGCAGTATAATCTGGTAGGAAAAGAGTTGATGGCAACCTCTATGTCTTCACAACTTTTAGAGCTATCTTCTCTGGCCCCCTTTTTTTAAGTTCTTTGTTCAAATGGAAAGTTCTTTTTTCATCTCTCTCTCATTCCTTTAAAACTTAGAGCTTTAAAGTCAATGTTCATTGAATTATTTAAGAAAATCTTTCAACCCCCATTAAAAACTGACCACTTGCATAAACTTACATCTAATAAAACTGACCTCCTATCTTCCCTTTCTATTCTACATTGCAAACACACACTCATGTTCAATTTGGCTTTTAGGATGGTGATTAGTATCATTAATATTAGTAGCTATTACATTCCTTTCTCAAAAGTAGGCACCAGTGTTATTCATTTTTACTGTAAACTTTTAGAGGTAGCTATGTCAATAAATGAAATTTGATGATAAATATTGAATACTATGGCCCTTTACCACAAACATGTGGTATTTTACTTTAAACTATGTGTGCATTCTCAACTGAAGAAGTAAATTATGGATGGTAACATATATTTCAAGATCAGAATCTTTAATTTATTTGATTCATCAACAGGAAAATGCAATTTCCGTATGTCTTCCAACTTGACTGTTAGCCCAGATTTAAACAAATACACACCTTCTTCTCTTTCAGTTATTTTTTTCTGCAGCTGAATTAGTCATAATTTCCTTTTTGTTGTTTCTTTTTTTTTTGCAGTCTGCAAATACATCATCAGCAATTAACCATTTACTTTCTGTTTTCTCAAAATTTATTTAAATGAGTTTACACTTTATCTACTGTTAGCACAAAATAAATCTTTAAAACTGATTAACCTTTAAGTTAAAAAGATCAGTTTTTAACTTAACGTTTTATTAGTGTATATTGTAAAAAAATACATGTTTTAAAGGCCCATCTTTGCATTGTCTTGTATAAACTAAAATATAATGTAATTTTGAAAGGGTGCTTTTGGATCATTCAAATATTAAAATATCTCTGAAGACTGATTCCTATCAAAAGTTTTTAGTTAAGTATAGTTTATTGCTTTTAATGCTATGAAAATATTAGAGATACATTTTGACTTTATCTTTAAACTTTATATATTGCCATGTCTTCAAAATATACTCAGCTTTATTTAACACTTTTGTTGGTGCAGTTGTTAGCAGCACATGCTTAGGAGTTGGACAACATAAGAGTAAATGTTTTATCCGTAACTCACTGACTGTATTTAACTGTTCCTTGCCTCAGTTTCCTCACTTCTAAGTGGGGATAGTAACAATTCCTACTTCATAGGGTTGTTGTAAAGATTAAAAGAGTAGATATATGTAAAGTTTGTAGAAGAGGGCCTGACTTTTGGAAGCATTATAATGAAGAGTGGTTAAAGTCATGGGCACTGGAGTTGGGTCTGGGTACCAGTGCCAGTTCTACCACATACATACATTTGGGAACTGGAGAGTAATTTATTTGGTCTCTTCTGTAGGCTCCTGTCTTCTCCATCTGGTAAGGATGATAATACATATTATGTGTGGTAGAGCACATAAGATGAAAGACTTAATATCTGCCATGTGGTAAGCACTCAATTAATAGTTCCCAGATATTTCCAATATATTTTAGAAAGCCTTTTAAACATTTTTTACGGCAACTAAAGAGTAAGGTTTAATGTTAAGGTGAGGAGAGGCAAGAAAATAACAAAAAGGAAAGTAGTTTATAGTCAATGGCACTTTCAGGGCAATAAAGGAATATCGCTTCCTTAAATATCAGTCTGTGGGGTAGACAGCAATAAAAATCACTTTGATTTGAATTAACACAGCACTGTTCACTTTTTTCTTACTTTAAATCCCATTTGGTCCTAATGTCCTCATTTATCCACAGAATAATTCCATTATGATTTTGATACCCAGAGCTGTGTTCTTGCAGGGTTGGCAAGTGTTTGTGTGGGAAGGCCCTCCTTCCAAAAGTAGCTTCACCAAAACAAGCCACCATTCAATGCATTGTTCCTGATAAAAATGCCTGTTATTTGGGAGTTGTCAGAAATCAGTATGTTTTGTGAATTGGTTTATTATCTCTTAACAATTAAATGAGGAGTAGGGCATAAAGTTTTAATGAGGAACAGAATGAAGAGTATCTCAAAAACTCAGTTGATTTTCTAGGCCCTGAGAAACTCAGATAGTAACAATGATTGAAAAGTGTTAGATGTACTTTTCTTTACATTTAAAACCCCAAATTAATTACTGTTTTTGTAAATACTTATATTTTGAAAACACAGTAGGAATAAAAATAATTGACCACAGTTTGAAAATTATTGTACAATTTTGCAATTTATAGGTCAAGAAATCATAACTTTAAAAGAGTTCCTGTTTCATGATGGCTAAAAATAAACTTTTGGGGAAAAAACGCACCCAAATTCAGGACTAGAGGTCAGTACAAAGAGGAACATGACTTACAGAAATTACATTAAATTAAAGTTCTATCCAAAAAAGTGAGAGGAATGACTTCTATTCAAATTTATACTATATATGTATTAGGAAGGATCTTATGGTTATGACTAATTCAGAGCCTTAGATTTCTTCTCTATAAACTGGAGCACTTGTCTGTCAAGTGTATTCTCAGTCTTCTTCTAGTACCTTGGTCAAAGCACAGCAGTCTCCATAGCATGTATTTAGGCATTTCTTTCTCAAGTTCTTTCTGCTAATTTAACACTGACCCTGTGCCATAGATGTGAGTCACTGTCATAGTAACACTTATGCTCTGAACATTGAATGTTCCTCATCTACTGTTATTGCTCTGGCCTCCTCTACTATTTTAATAATGATTTTAATATGCATTATGTATCTATTGTTTCACAATATGTTAAATCTCAATAGTTAATTTCAAGCTTAATAGCACTGTGCTAGTCAGTGTAATCCTTTTCATAGTCAATTGGAGTTGTATATAATCCCCTTCTCTTGGATGAAGTATGTGTGGGTATAAGAAAAAAAATATTAACTTTATTGAAATGTATATTGTCTGGTTAACCACAATAATGGAAGTTTTAATTTTTAGATCCTGCTCTTCTACACAAGTTTTCTTAAAAATTATCACTTATTGGGGTCATAGATTGTGGCTCTTCAATCCAGATTTACTCTACAGAACAAGCCTTATGTGGAGGGTATTATTATTTGCTTTTGTAAAAAGTAAGTTTTTTGATACTCTTATTGATTCAAGCATGAGTTTTCCTTGATAAGATGCAATTTTACCTAACAATGAAATGATTAATGGCACATAGCTTTATGAGTCAAGGTATTTGTACAAGAATGTGGAAAAGTGGTAATTTTATAACTGATTTGATCAGAGTGTCATGATTGAATTCTTTAAGGACAGGTATTTATATAAAGAATATGGTACTATCTTTAGAACAAAACATAATTTATGTTTTTTGTTTGTTTTTTAAATTCTGTAAAACAAAAACAATGAAAGATAGATTACGTAAATGAACCATGTTGGTTTTGGATTTGCAATATCATTAGATAGATACTAAATTTTAAAACCTTACTAAACAGTAATGAATGACCAAAATTAGTTCTAAATGTATATTTTAGCATAACTGTACAATAGCTACTATAAATTAATTGATTCATATAATTAATTTTATTTGCTAAAATTCCTGTTAAAATCTTTGAATACACAATAAAGTACAGCAAAACAAATTCTTTTTAAGGAATAGCTTCCTGCTTTAAAGTTGGAATCCTTAGAAGATATTATTAAACTATATATCAGTGACTCAGTTAAATTCACGGGAGATAACATTTCCCATTAAAAATTCCTGAAACAGCTCATTGGGCAAGCTATATAAGTTTATTTCTGGCAATTGCTAGTAAACTATTCTGGAAGTTCATAGAATTAAATATTGAAAATGCAATCCCTGACTGTATTTTGGATATAAATCACACCTACCAAGTTCGACTAAGAAACTAAGGTGTAGTGAGGAGTCACATTGAGCTTGTGTATATCTCTCTTGTTCTTGTAATTCACAAAATCCAGCTGTAAAATGTGAGTCTGTCATTTTATTTTCCATGATGACTCAGTGAAGACTTGGGAGGATCATGAGATCCTCAGAACAGCAGAGGGGACATTAGGCTGCGGACCAGGTGTGAAATGTAAAATCCCCTACTGTCTTAGTTTCATTTCTTTCTCCTAACTTCCTCATTGCTGTCCAGGGTTGTGGAAACTGTTTTCATCCTAGATCTGTTTTTTATTCAAAGACTTGTTTTAGGAAAAGGTTGTAAACTGATTCTGTGTGTCTAGCCTTTGGGAGACTGGCTTATCCCTACTCTGAAGTTTTTCTGTCACTAAATGATTCTTCCATTTTCTGTGGACACCAACTGAGTGTCTTCTACAATTCAGTACTATTCTAACACTACCTAGAGTTAGTGTCAGCCTCCACAGGTTTAAAGGCTCATTCCCACAAAATTGCCCTTACTTCAGATGCCAGTTGCAAGTCTTGGGTCCCCAGACTACCTGCACTTTTGTTCAACTTGGTGACAACTTGAAGGGTTCCCACATCCCTCCCCAAGATTTGATAATTCACTAGAACTCCTCAGAGAACTCAGAAAAACACTATCTATGTTTGCCATCTTAATACAATGAATGCAACTCAGGAGCAGCCAAATGGAAGAGACGCAGAGGGCAGGAAATGAGGGTTAAGTGGGGTATGGAGCTTCCATGCCCTCCTGACACCTTGATATGTTCACCAACCTGGAAACTCTCCATACCCGATTATTTAAGGTTTTTTTGTTTGTTTGTTTTTTATGCAGGTTTCATTTTGTAGGCATGACTAATTGAAGCTTTAGCCACTGATGACTGAACTCAATCTCCAGCCTCTCTTCCCTCCCAGAGGGCTGGAGGAGAGTTTAGAAAGTTCTAACTCTAACCACCTTGTTGGTTTTTCTGGTGATCAGCCCCCATCGTGAAGCAATCTAGGGACTGCTAAGTCACCTAATTAACATAACTCAGGTGGAGTTAAAAAGGTGCTTGTCATAAATAACAAAAGGTACTCCTCCTACTCAAGAAATTCCAAGCATTTTAGTAGCTCTGTGCCAGCAATCAGAGACAAACCAAATACATTTTTTTATTATACCATACCTATCCATCTCAGATCTTATTAGACCCCATAAAAAGTTTACGATGTCCTTATGAACCAGTTTAAATGAGCTCCCATTGGCCAAATTTGTGAGAGATAAATGACAAAGAAGCAAAAACTCTTTCTTAAGTATAATGTCAACCATTAACAAATGTTGAAGGAATGATGGTGTTTGAAAAAATCATCACTTGGGAGCAATCATATTAATAATCAGTTCAGACAGGAATGATTAGCTGATTCTAGAACAAGTGGGTAAAAATGTGATGAGGAACAGGATATTTATGTAGTATCAAAGTATCTCCTCCAAAATATTTATTAAATACAAGGGAAACATAGCAGTTTTACAAGTACTTGTCTAACACTGAAACCCAAGTGATTAATGTTTAACATCAACAAAAATAAGGCAAACCAATATCATGTGCCCCTAATATGATGCTCTGGAAGAACCCAACATTACTACTGTAGCATTCTACAGAAATGTAGTATTCTGTAACAATCTATAGAAAAATGTGTAACCTGAATCTAATCATAGGGGAATATCAGACAAACCCAAATTAGGGGATATTCTACAAAATAATTGACCTATAGTCTTCAAAATTGTAAGCCAAAAAAAAAAAGAGAATAATTTCAAACTAAAGGAGACCAAAGGACATGACATATGATCTTTGATTACAATGTTGACCAGATTTTTCTTTAAAAACATTATTAGAACAATTGAGAAAAAAATATAGTCTTTAAATTAGATAATATTACTGAATCATTGTTAATTTCTTGATTCTTGTATCAAACTGTAGACATGTAAGAGAATGATTTTTTTCTTAGGGATTATGCGCAGAAGTATTTGGAGCAGAGAGAATCATGGCTGTTAACTACACATTTTTTTTTGAACAATTACAGAAATTTGTTTTTATGAACAATTTTTTTCTAAACAGTTTTTTATTATCTACATATATATCAAAATGTTATCAAATATCAATAATTGGAGAATCTGCGTGAAGAATAAATGTGAAATTATTTCAAATATAACATTAGACAAGAAAAGTTTGGCTGTCCTTTTATTCAAGGCAGAGGAAATCTACTGTAGAGCTAAGGAAGCTTCAGCGTCAGAGCCCCACATTGACTTGAATCTCTTAATAAGGTTCTGGAAAGGACTCTAGTGTTGATATGGAGTGTTAGTCCTAGGGTTGCTGTAATAAATTACCAGAAACATGATGATTTAAAACAACAGAAATTTCTTCCCAGTTCAGGGGGCCAGAGGTCCGAGATCAAGAAGTCACAGAGCTGCACTCTCCCTGGAGGCTCTAGGGGAGAACACTGCCTTGCCTCTTCTGGCTTCTGGTGGCGGTAGGCATTCCTTATGTCTGTGTCACTTCGTCTTCAGATGGCCTTCTCTGAGTCTATGTCCTCTCTCATAAGGATGTTTATCTTCTCTCATAAAGACGCCTGCCTTCTCTTTTCTTAAAAGGATGCTTGTCAGTGGACTCAGGGTCCACCTCGGCAATTCAGAATGGTTTCCTCTTAAGATCCTTAACTAAATTGCATCTGCAAAGACTCTACCCAAATAAGGTCACATTTATGGGACTGGGGGCCAGGACATAGGCATATCTTTTGGGGGGCCACCTTTCAACCCACCACCACATGTGGTTTTATGATTTTTGTAAAATTTGCAATGAAATGTTTTCACTTGGTTAAAACCTCTTTCTTTCCACTTCAGCATTCTCTCTGTTACACTTATCCTTTGGTTGGGTGGCTTTGGAGTTCTGAGCAAGTTGAGGATCTGATGGGAATTCGAGTAAGACATACCTTTTATGTGAATCTAGGAAGATATATTTATGTAGTTTGTAGGGCTGGCTTCTAGGAATACTTTCGTGCCTGCTGTACTGACTCACACTGTTCTGACACAAAGGTGCAGGGTCATACCCATACCATCCTATAGATGTGTGCTATAGCAATGAGCACTGGAAGTAGATGGATCAAACAGAGGGGTCAGGGGCAGGGGAGGTTTGAGGGACACATTTTAAATAGATGAAACAAGAAGTATGTGGAAACTTCTTACAATTATGTGATGTATAAAATTATGAGCAGGCTGGTTGTGGTGGCTCACACCTGTAATCCCAGCAATTTGGGAGGTAGAGGTAAGCAGATCACTTGAGCCCAGGAGTTCAGGACCAGCTTGGGCAATATGGCAAAACCCGGTTTCTACTAAAATTACAGAAAAATTCGCCAGATGTGGTGACATGCATCTGTGGTCCCAACTACTTGGGAGGCTGAGGTGGGAGGATCACCTGAGCCCAGGAAGTCGAGGCTGCAGCGATCCGTGGATCGTGCCACTGCACTCCAGCCTGAGTGACAGGAGTGAGACCCTGCCTCAAAAAACAAAAAAGCAAAAGATTCGGTTCTCATCAATGCCTTGTCAAAAATAGTCTCCCTTATTAGCAATATACTTGCTGGTGAAATATGTAGAATTATAAATGCATAATGTATACTTTTTTCAATATGGAGATTCAGCAAAATTATATTGATCAGAATTCTTATTTGTGAGTCACCAAAGTTTTGTAGTACTATAAGCAATTAATGTAACTGTGAAGTCACACATCTTATGTTTTCAAATATATTAGATTGTATCTTAGCCTGTTTGCTGTAAAATGAACTGAAGAAGTCTGGCTGTTACAACCAAAATATGTAAATTGCTACTGACTCAGTGAAATGACCTGAAGAAATACTAGTTCAGTAAAAAAACTCTTATCAACGTCCATCAATAAGCCAATGTGTGTAGTATTAATTTACACAATTATATACCTCAGTACAGTACTGTCAGTTTAAAAATGGCTTTTTCTTTAATTTCACCTTAGTTTTCTTCTTTCCTTTTTTTTTTTTTTGAGTCAGTGAGACAGGGTCTCACCCTGTCACCCAAGCTGGAGTGCAGTGGCGTGATCATGGCTCACTGCAGCCACAATCTCCTGGGCTCAGGTGATCCTCTGGCCTCAGCCTCCCTAGTTGCTGGAACTACAGGCATACGCCACCACACCCAGCTAGCTTTTTTATTCTTAGTAGAAACAGGGTTTCACCATGTTGCCTGCATTGGTCTCAAACTCCTGGCCTCAAGCAGTCCCCCACCTTGGCCTCCCAAAGTGCTAGGATTACAGGCGTGAGCCACTGCATCCGGCTTCTTTTATTGAAAACTATTGATCTCATCAAAATTCGAGTATGATTTTCAGGAAGCATCCCAGTTGAAGCAAAACAAAAAAAGCAAGTAAACTTAAAGAAGAATGGAAGACACTTCAAAATGTCAGAAATCCTTATTATATCACAGTAAAAATTCTGATTGCCTAAATTATGAAGATAAGAAAAAGGGTTCAGGTGCCATGGTTCATGCCTGTAATTCCAACACTTTGGGAGGATGAGGCATAAGGATTGCTTGAAGCCAGGAGCTCAAGACCAGCCTGAGCAACATAGTGATACCCCGTCACAACATTTTTTTTTTTTTTTTTTTTTTAGAAATTAGCTAGAAATGGTGATGTGCACCTATAGTCCCAGCTACTCAGGAGACTGAGGCAGGAAGATGGCTTGAGCTTGAGCCCAGGAGCTCGAGGCTGCAATGAGCTATCATGGCACCACTGAACTCCAGCCTGGGCAACAGAACGAGACTTTTTCTTTTTTTTTTTTTTTTTAAGGATCAGAATATCCAAGAAACTTTGAAAAATAAAAATGTAACAACATAGAAAATTATGAAAATCGTAAATTTTTAAATAGGAAATGAAAAAATATTGATTTGAGGAATAGTGAAGAAAGATACAATTTATATGAACATAAGTAACAAACTGGTTAATGAGTATTGTCAATGTACAAGAACATTTAAGATTGGAACTATGCAAGAAAATGTCACCTGCCTTGAAATCACACAGCTCATAGATGAAATCAGAAACATGGTAGAGGTTTACTCAAGTTTTTAAACAATCCTAAACATTTATGCGATGCTAAGTAAAGAATTGTGAAGCTGCAAGATGCTTACCTATACTATTAGTACAAAAAACCCCCACAATATTGTCCATTTGAGAAAAGAATGAGTTATCTTCCTAACCTCTCAATAGAAATCAATATTACAAAATCATCCTTATATGAAAAGTACACCAAAAGCATATAGCCAAAAGCATAGCGAAAAAAGTAATTCAGAGATGGGTCAGACTAATCAGTACAAATATTAGCCCATATTTCTAGGTGTTTAAATATTTGTGTGTTTGCCACTTAAAAAAAGTAAACTTGTGGTTGCTTTTTCATTTGGAATAAATAGTGACTTTTGCATTTGTATACTTGCATTATGTTTCTTAGAGGGGACCTCAAAACTATGCATGCTTTATTCAGTGTCCACCACTACTGGTCTGAGGTATTGAATAGACACTGAAATTTGAATATGAGTAAATGTTAGTAACTCTGTTTTAACATATGCAGTTATCTTTATTTTATAGATTCAGGATTTAGTCTCTCAAAAGAGCCCCTAGCACTGTGATTTAAAAAAGCATAGTTTTTTGAATTAAAATGGTGTTCAAATATCTCAGATTCTCCTATTGTGGTTGATTATTCAAAAGATGTCTTTCTATCAAACAATTAAAAGGTACTTGTTTTTTTAAAATGAAACACCAATTGGTGAAAATTTTTTAAAAACCCTGAGTTTAAACTTTTTTTCTGAATGTGTAGGTGTGTCTGTAACCAGAAAGAGAATGACTATATGTATGTATTTCTAGGTTGTTAAAATATATATGAATTAAGCTGTTTTGAACAAGAACTGTATTTTCCAGTATAGCCTTAGGCTCACAGAAAGTAAATTTAACTTCTGGTTTGATAAGAATAGGCCACAGGCCAAGTAATAAATAAGTGGCTTAATTACCACAAGTTTTTTTTTAGGTAGCACTTTTAAATCATGCCTAATAGCAAAAATCCTGGTTGTAAAACAATAAAAATTATGGTGAGGAGGTTTTCAAACCAACCTTGCCCTACTCTGCCCTGACCCTCTTTAATTTTCACAACATTGTGAATATACTTAATGCCATTAAATTGTACATTTAAAAATGGTTAAAATGATAAACTTTAGGTTATGTATATTTTACCAGAAAAAATGCAAATGATATGTAAATATTTCATTTTCAGAAGCTTGCTAGAGTTTTTTTTCTACTTCTTTCTTTATTATTTGGAAAAAACAACAGCTTTTCATATGTCAACACCACAGATCTTGCATGATAAATGTGCTTCGTAACATAAAATCTATATTTTCCATGAATTTAAACTGTAATCCTAGGAAGGCCAGTCAAGGAACCTTAGTCTGTGGCCACCTCCTTGTTCCTTCCTCCTTGTAGCCAAGTCTTTATCCGAACTTTGACTCTGTGGTCCTATTCTTCTCAATGTTTTGTCTCCTTCACTTTTACAGCACCAAAGTTTGCTTCTGTGTTTTGTTTATTTGTTTATTTTTAAAAAAAGAAATGCAGCCTCTTTGTTGCATTCATAGTCTGAAAAAGAGAATCACATGATCATGTTTACTCTCTACCCACGACAGCTTCTCTAATCAGCAGTCATTAGAAGTTGTTGGGCCAGGTCTTCTGTGGTCAGGCATTGATCTTTACATGCCCCAATGTGGTTCGGTTGGGTTTCTGGGGGCATGTGACACAAAGCATGGCAACATGCATGCAAAAACTGGTTCTGGCTATTCCATTTAGCATTAAACGACTGCTTGGAAGGGTTAATGTAGCATTTTTTAACATTTTGCTATGGACATATGACATGCATTGACTATTTCTATCAGCCAAACTAGAATTAAAGCTATTGCTACACACACACTTAGGTAGCACACATTGTGAAATAATGCACTCAATGCAACAGTAAATCAAAATTGGTTAGGTTGGAAGGCAGAGTAGTCTATGATATTGGCTTCAGATTTCTAACCAAACTAAAGGCTTAAAGAATAGTGGCAGATTATGGCCTATTGCATATTTGTGAGATCTCATCTGTTATAATTACTGTATCTTATTCATAATATATTTCATCACCATCAATTGAAAGCATACTTTATCTAAAATGACCAGATAATATCACCGCCACCAAGATTCTGGACCACAGCCAATCTTCTGGCATTTCAGTGATCCTTGATGCAACCCAACACTACTGTGAACAGGATGTTGAAGCAGCTGTTGCAGTAAAGTAAAAGGGGGCATTTGCGATCACTGGGCAGAAGAAACACATAGCAAATTGTACCACCCAATTTTAAGTATGCAGTTATGCCTTCAACAAAACATAATCTTTGTGTTAAAAAGTTTATTGTAGCAGCTAAGGTAGTCTTGGAAATATAGTAGTCTTTTCCCAAGAAGAAGTTCTCCTTTGGCAAAACTTGATAATTTGTTAATTTATTTATGTATGTATCTGTGTTAATTGTTCAATTTGGAATTCTAGTATATGTGACTTTTCAAATCACTCTTGTTGATTGCTAAAGAAGAAAGAACTAGGGTTAGGAATAGAAAAGGGAAGTAAATAAAATAGCAAGAAAAAATACTTTAATTTGCAGTTAAGATTTGGAAAAGATAAGCCATGTTTAAAGGAAGAAAACTTAGTCCCTAGAAGTGACATGAATGAGCTTTCTCATGTACCAAAGAAGTTGATGAACACGAACTAGGGATATAAGGGCATGGATACAGGAAGGAAGGAATTGGCATGTAGATGTCAGCATGTCTACGTCATCAAATCAGAAAGACATTAAGCATTTGGATAAAGAAAAAACAAAAAGTTGGAATGTGAGATGGCAAATTTATTAAACAATAAATGATACTGACCTATTTTCTCTTCCTATCTACTAAACTAAATTCTGGCTTTATCTAGTGTATTTTTCCACCCATACTGGTTCCCAAATAATGTCCTGTCTTGCTTGATTGGTCTTTGAGGCTTTCATGATGCATATTAGAAGAAGGAATATGGGCAGAAAGAGAACAATTTGCATACTAGCAGGGTTTAAGGACTAAAACTTTCATGAAAGTTTATCAGATACAGTTTGAAGAGAGAGGCACAGAAGTTACCATATGAGAGAGAAGCTGATGAAAGAGAAAAGGAGGATTTTAAGTATTGCAGTAGATATATGTCTTCTTCATGGACTTTTAAAAGTCCATATGAACTTAAATTATTTAAAAATAGCTTTATTGGTGGTTTTGTCTGGCTGCATGGCTAAGCTGACCCTGGACCTCATGGACTCAGACTCTATAAACATTGCATTGACTTTTACCTAATCCTCAACTTGATGCAACAGCTGTGCATGCATCTTTTTGAGACTGCAGTGAAGAGAGGGAGCCTAATAGTTTCTTTTCTGCTTTGTGTAGTGAACATAAAAGTATAAAAGCTTTAATTGGTTAATTTTTTATTTCAATTACTCCATTTTATTTTTCTTCACTATACCTTTTCTCACATAGGAATTTTTAAACATATGACCTCTATAGTTAGGAAACTACTAGTATAGTTTCAAAAATTTTATTTTTCATAACTTTATACTGCCCACCTCAACTACAGTTTCCTCTCTCCTCCCACATCTGCATAGGTTTCAGATGCACAGACACATCAAACTACAAATAGCCAGACAATATGCATACACTGTTACAGCCCTTCACTATCCCAGTCACCCCCACTCCCCATCTCCATTTCTGTCTCTCTATCATACCCACACGCACACACACACACACACTCACACACTTTATTTGTTGTCACAGCTAAAAAGGTGACAGAAAGATAAATAATGCATTTTCCTTGGTCAAAGCCAAACAGTTGATGGCAATTCTTTAAGCCTCATGGTTTTAGCCATTTTGAGAAGGATCCTGCCGTTTTAAAAATAGTTAATAAAGGCCAAGATGTCCTGTAAAATGCAACTTCAATATTTCCCCAGCCTGAGGTGAGTAAATTTGATAACAGATCTAGCTAAAGTTAAAGAGCCTAGCTTCTTATGGCCATATTTATGTCTAATTGGACCTCAAATATAAAGACTTTCCATACCATAAAATGCTACAGGGGAACCACAGCATTGAATTAACATTATTAAAACCCTGCTGGAGAAGGAACTATTTGTGGGGGTGCCTGATTATGTCCAGCATAGGGTTATTTGCAGGTTGGTTCTCCAACAGCAACATTTCATATAGAGCAGCTTTCCCATTTGCTCGTTGGTCTTGCCAGAGGTAGCATAACCTGCGCAAGTTACCTGGATCTGCACCCATGTTCTATGACTGGAGTGTGTGTTTCAAAAAGATAAATATAAAGGACAGCTATAGAGTTTGTCCTTTCCATTATTCCTAAACCTAAAGTGAGCCTCTCTCAAGTTTCCTTGGGGCTTTAGATAATGGGTAGTAAAGTTTCTCCAAATTTGGTCTCTGATGTACTATGTGAACACACAATTTTCTGTCAGAAATTTCTTCTCCCTTCAATTCTTGTATGCAACTGAACCTTTCTGAGGATGAGGAGACCAATCGAAAAATACTAAAGAAACCTGTTCACTCAATTATTTGCTTTTCTACAAAAGTGAACTAGTCAACCAAGGTGAACTCTTCACTCCCTCTGACAGGAGCCCTTCTTTGCACTCCAATCCCTAATTCTCCATGGAAAGTCTCATAGAAGTTCCTATCAATAAGTTTCCCTGAGAAATGTTCCACAAGTTCAGTTCAATTTACTTTTCAGCCCACCTTTTCAAAAATACAATCTTTTGTCTCAGCCCTAATTGTAATAAAAAAATCTCTTGTAGGAAGATGATTGTCTACTTTCAGGATTAGGAACGCATGAAGGGCCGGGTGCGGTGGCTCACGCCTGTAATCCCAGCACTTTGGGAGGCCAAGGCGGGCCGATCAGATCACCTGAGGTCAAGAGTTCGAGAGCAGCCTGGCTAACCTGGTGAAACCCTGTTTCTACTAAAAATACAAAAAATTAGCTTGGCGTGATGGTGCGCATCTGTTATCCCAGCTACTCGGGAGGCTGAAGCAGGAGAATTGCTTGAACCCAGGAGGCGGAGATTGCAGTGAGTGAAGATTGCACCATTGTACTCCACCTTGGGCAACAACAGTGAAACTCCCTCTAAAAAAAAAAAAAAAAAGAAGAAGAAAAGAAAAGAAAAAAGTACATGAAGTAGCTTTAGATAGAGTTTTAGTTCTTGGTTTTCATCCTTGGACAGAGGCAGGGAACTGACTCCTATGTTGGCCTAAGGTATCATTCAGGCAGCATTATAGCTTTGGAACCTTTGGTGAGGGAGAGATAGTGTCACAAATGATTCTCTTCCTCCTTCTTGAGAGTATGTTGTTCAAACCTTCAACAGAACACTGGTAAGGTGGGAGACACCTTCATCCAGCTAAACTGGATGCATTATCTCTCATTCTTCGGTCACTCCTCCAGTGAGAGTGTGTCTGAATGGCTTTGCTTCCCAAGGCACCTCCACCTCTGCGTCACCCTTCCCATTTCCCTTCATTTCCAATTTCCTGTGGTATATGATATTTCTGAGAAGAAAAATAGATGCCACCAGGACATTCAATTATGACTTCCATACCTCCATCCAGCAGAGAGCCATGCCACTTAGAAGAACATACTGTTTTATTACATTTAATTTTGCTAGCTTATTTCACCATTTTCCACCACTTGCAACGATCTGAGACCATAACATTGTGCTTGAGTGGGGTTTGAATGTGAGGGCTAAATCTGAAGTATTGTATTTACAATATGAGCATCGTCCCTTCACAACCCGTGTTGAGGGGAATACCTCCAGGCTTCACTACTGTATTAGGATTTACGTAGCATTGAGAGACTGAGATGTTCCACAGACTCCATATACTTAAATGAGCTGCATGTTACTCAGATCTAATTTTCAGATGCTGCTAAATAAGAGACCCTTCTCTGTAATTAACGAGGTGTTAGTAAGTCACTCATTCATTCACTTACATCTATGCTATTTACACTATGTGGTTGTTGAACATAAAACAGTTACACAGTATAGAATATCTATATCAGATAACATTCCCAGCTGTCTCTTGAAGATTTATTTCCTCATATTGTATATATCATGTTCTTTTCTCAATTAAAAGATTGTTGCTAAATAGAAATAGGTAAATATAGGCTTAAAAAGTCATAAAATAAGAATTAACATTTAAAAAAATTTATTTTTAGAGAAATTAAAATTTGATGAATAAGCTCAATTTCTATAAGAAATTGCGTTTTATCACATATCCTAGATTTTGGTGTAGTTCCCTTTGAATCAATTTGCTAATGTAAAGACAGATTCATGATAATTAATTAGATCTATATTTATTTGTAATAAATGATGAAACTTTCTAGCATCATGACTGGAAATAAATAATGGATACATCTATATGCTAAGGATATTTTCTTTTATTTATCCAAGTTAATTCATTCATACATTGCTTAAGAACATTATCAGAAAAGAAACAGATTAATATATTTCTACGTACTATTTTAAATAACATCACTGTGAGAGGTCATTAACATATTTTAAAGCATGCTTTGGTAGAAAAATGTTATGTAGGACAGGATTTGATATTATCTGCTCTGTATTTTTATGGATTGAGGCCCAGGTTGGCAACGGGCCTCACATAGTCAGTTTAGGAAGGAGAGAAGGGGAGTCAAAAATTTCAGAAATCTAATGAATGTCTGTTCTTAACGGCTTCATTTCATGCTGCCTTCTCTTTTCAAGTAATGCCACTATTTTCCAAACAGGTTTATAAAACAAGTCCTTTTTTGTAGCAATGATTTGTATTTTATATAGTTTCTCCTGAAATATTAAAATTTTATGTCATTGAAATTAATACGCTTAATTTAAGTACAATTTTAAATTAATTCCCTTATTTTAAAAATGATGAGAAAACTCTGCTTGCTCTTTCCAGTTCAAAAAATATTATTTAAATGAATTAGCAAAACTTGAACCATTTTGCTACTTCTGGCAAAAGATTTATTTCCCATGTACATCAGATAATGAAAACTGAACAAATGCTAACAGCTGCCAACCTATCCATTCAACTTTCTGCTTACGTCACACAAAGCATACATTTTTAAGAGGCAGACATATGGGCCTTATATCATGTTTATGTAGACATTTGTGGATGAAATGCCAGAAAATATTCTGCCCCAAACTATAGTTACATCTTGTACCTTAGGGAAATCCATAAAAATTAATGCATCAGGTTTTTATAGAGTTAATACATTTGATTCAACTGCAATATGTTTTGTAGTTACTAGAAAACATTTTTCTTTTTCTTGGTAATGTTTACTTTTTATTGCCTTATAACTTACATACAGTGCAAATCATTGCTTTTGTGTTTCAAAAAATACACCACAATCAACTGGCCCATCATTTCTCAAAACTTGCTTATGCCCCTTTTGTCATCATCTGCCCTCTCCATACACAGCCCCTGGCATACCCAACCTATGACTGATTTGTTTTCTCTTCAGTTTTATGACATTTTCAGGATATCATAAAAATGGAATCAGACATGATACAACTTTTTGAGTCAAATTATTTTTACTTAGCAAAATGAATTTGAGATTCATTAGTGTTTTTGTGTATATCAGGAGTGTATTTATTTTAATAGCTGAGAAATATTCTACTGATGGATGTACCACAGTTTATTAACCCATTCATCAGCTGAAGGTCATATAGGTTTTTTCCAACTTTTGGCAATTATACATAAAACTTCTAGAAATATTTGGTAGAGTATTCATTTTGCAGGGGCAGGATTGCTGGGACTGGAACTGTTTGATTATATGTTAACTGTATGATTAAGTACATAAAAATCTGTCAACATGTTTTCCAAAATGGTTGTATCATTTTGTGTTCTCTCCAGCAATACATGAGAGTTCCAGTTGCTTCCATTCTGGCCAACACCTGATACTGTTATTTTAAATTTTTAGCCATGCTAAGAAGTGGACAGTATCTCATCGTGAATTTAATTGGCATTTTCCTAATGACAATGATGTTGACAACCATTCCATGAGCTTATTTGTCATCTCCATATCTTTTCAATGAAGTGTATGTCAAATCTTTGGCACTGAAAAAATAGATTACTTTTTATTATTGAGACTTGTAAGTTTTTAGTATATTTTTGATAGAAGTTATTTGTTATATATGTGTTTTGCAAATATTTTCTCCCACTTTGCAGCTTTTGTCAGTCTTTTGAGTTCTCTTTCATAGAGCAGGTAGTTTTAAATTGCATAAATTTAAATTCAACATTTTTGTCTTTATGTATAGTGCTTTGATGTCATATCTAAGAAATCTTTACCTTATCCAAGATCACAAAGGTTTTCTTCTATGTTTTCTTGTAGGTTTTACCTTTCAAGTTTTTCGATTGGCTGTCATAACTTTTTTATAAGACATGAGGAATGAGCCAAGTTTCATTTTCTTACATATTGATGTCAAGTTGTTCCAGCTCTGTTTGTTGAACGACTACCTTTTCTCCATCAATTTATTTGTCACTTTTGTAGATCTATTTTTGGGCTCTCAATTTTATTCCATTAACATATATGTCTATCCGTTCACCAATATCTCACTGTTTTGATTACTTAAATTCAGGCAATTAGTGTCTTCCAGCTGTTTGTTTTTCCAAAACTCTTTGGTGATTCTGGTTCCTTTGTCTTTCCATGTAAGTTGTAAAATCAGCTTATCAGTTTCTACAAATATAAATCTGCTGGGATTTTAATTAGAACTGCATTGAAGCTATAAAGCAGTACAAGAGAAAATTGGCATCTTGAAAATACTGAGTCTTCTAAACCATGAACATGGTATATCTCTCCATTTATTAGGGTCTTTGATTTCTGTCATCATCATTTTACTATTTTTGTCTAATGGATCTTGAACACCTTTTGTTAGAAAGTGCATTATGTTCTGTGACACTATTGTAAAGGTACTTTTAATTTTTTAAAAAATTCAATTTCCAATTGTTTGTTGATTGTATATAGACATACAATTTACTTTGTATCCTATATTCTTGCTAAACTCACTTATTAGTTATAGGAGAATTATTTTTTCTTGTGGTAGATTTTTTGGGGATTTTCTACATAGACAGTCCTATAAATCAGGCAAATAAAGACAGTTTTATTTCCTCCTTTTCAAATTACCTTAATCTTTTTTCTCATTGAAATGAATAGGACCTCCAATACAATATTTAATAGGAGTAAGATTATTCTTGCCTTGCTCCTAATATTAGAGGACAGCATTTAATTTTTCACCATTAAGAATTATATTAACTGAAGCTTTTTTGTAGGTGCCTTTGGTAAGCTTAATGAGGTTTTCTGTATTTTTAGTTTTTTTAGAATTCTTATTAATGTGGAATTTTTATCAAATATTTTTTCTGCATTGAATATGATTAACATATAGTTTTTCTTCTTCAGTCTATTTATTGATAATATGTATTCCACTGTTTGATTTTCAAATTTTGAACCAGCCTTGCTTCTTAGGTAAACCCAACTTGGTTATTAAGTATTATCACTTATTTCTATTGTTGAATACAAATTATGAGTTTTGAATATATATTCATGAGGAATATTGATTTGATGTTTTCTTTGTCATGATATCTTTAGCTAGACTTAGTGTAATAATGTTAACCTCATAAAATAAGTTGGAAAATTGTTCTCCTATTTTCTGAGAGAGCTTGCGTAGATTTGGTGTGTGTGGTTTTTTTTCCTTAAATGTTTTGTAGAATTCAGCAGTGATGCCATCTGAGCTTACAGTTTTCTTTACTGGAAGGTTTTAAACTAAAAATTCAATTTCTTCCATATATGTAGGACTATTCAGGTTATCTATTTCTTCTTGAGTGAATTTTGAAAGTTCTTTTTAAAATAATACATTTACTTCACCTAAGTTATTGCATTTATGAGCATTGCATTGTTCATAATGCTTTTTTTTTTGAGACGGAGTCTTGCTCAGTCACCCAGGCTGGAGTGCAGTGGCGCAATCTTGGCACACTGCAAGCTCCACCTCCTGGGTTCATGCCATTCTCCTGCCTCAGCCTCCCGAGTAGCTGGGACTACAGGTGCCCACCAGCACACCCGGCTAATTTCTTTTGTATTTTAGTAGAGATGGGGTTTCACCATGTTAGCCAGGATGGTCTTGATCTCCTGACCTCGTGATCCACCCGCCTCAGCCTCCCAAAGTGCTGGGATTACAGGCATGAGCCACTGCACCCAGCCCATAATGCTTCTTTATAATACGTTTTGTGTCTGTAAAATCTGTAATGATTCTTCTTTTATTGTTCTTGATATTGATAAATTGTGTGTGTGTGTGTGTGTGTATGTGTGTGTGTGTTGGTCAGTCCTACCAGAGGTTATAAATCATATTGATCTTCACAAAAACTTTGTTGGTTACATTGATTTTATTCAATTATTTTTCTGTTTATGTATTTCCACTCTATTTTTTGTATTCTTTTTCCACATACTTTGGTTTAAACTTGTTCTAATTTTAAGAGTTTTCTGAGGTTTTTGCTTAGATCCTAAATTTGCGACTTTTCTTCTTTCATAATGTATGGATTAATGCTGTAAATTTCCCTTTAAGCACAGCTGTAACAGCATCCCGCAAATTTTGATATGTTATATTTTTATGTTCAATCAATTTACAGTATTTTTTTAATTTCCCTTGTGACTTCTTTGATGTATTGGTTATTTAAAGGTGTGTTGTTTAATTTCCACATATTTGTTTTCCAGTTTAATTATTTCTGTTACTTATTTCTAGTTTAATTGTTACAGTAAGAATTGTATGATTTGCTTCTTTTTTTTTGTTTTGTTTTGTTTTTGAGATGGAGTCTCACTGTCTCCTGGGCTGAAGTGTAGTGTCACGATCCGGGCTCACTGCAAGCTCCGCCTCCCGGGTTCACGCCATTCTCCTGCCTTAGCCTCCTAAGTAGCTGGGACTTACAGGCGCCCACCACCATGCCCGGCTAATTTTTTTTTTTTTTTTTTTTTTTTTTTTTGTATTTTTAGTAGAGACGGTGTTTCACCGTGTTAGCCAGGATGGTCTTGAACTCCTGACCTCGTGATCCACCCGCCTGGGCCTCCCAAAGTGCTGGGATTACAGGTGTGAGCCACTGTGCCCAGCTGATTTTGCTTTTTTAAATCTGTTATTTTTTCACCCAGAAGATTCAATCTTTTGGGAAATGTTTTATCTGTAAAATATGAGCTTCATGTAACCTGAAACTCTGATGTTAAGTGCATACACATTTAAGTACTTAACATACACATCAGTGTATAGGTATGACCCCATTATCAGGAGGTAATGTTGCTATTTATCTCTGGTAAAATTATTTGTCAAAAGTCTACTTTGTGTTAAAGTAATATAACCATTGATCCTAGTTATATTTGTATACTTAAGGAGGGTTTTTTAATAGCATATGGATGTATGTTGTTTTTGTTTAATCCAGTCTCTGATTTTTTGTATATATACCATTATATTTAATGCATTAACTGAAATAGTTGAAATCTACCACTTTATTATTTGTTTTGCTTGTCCTCTATTTTAGAGCCTCTTTCTATTTTCTTGCCTTCTGTTGGATTATTTTACTATTGTTTGGTATTTCATTTTAATTTATACATTAGATTTTTAGGTATATTTGCATTATTTTTTACTGGTTCCTTTAGGTATTATACTATAGATACTTCCATTTTATAATATAATTAGAGTCAACATTGCACTATTTTAAGTAAAATGTAAAAGCTTTGCTACTGTATCAATCTTTTTATTTCACTCCAAGACCTTTATGCTGTAACTGTCATATATATTATGCCTACATACACAGAAAACTCCATCAAAGAATGTTATAATTTTTGCTTTCAATATTTACTATATTTTAAAGAAGTTAAGTGAAAAAAAATACTGTTTTTTTCTATTTAACCACATATTTACCATTTTTCTTACTCTTCCTTCATTCCTCAATATCCAAGTTTCTTCTGGTATCATTTCTCTTCAGCTGGAAGAATTTCATCTGGTATTCCTTTAGAACAAGTCTGCTAAATAAAATTATCAATTTTCTTTCATATGAAAATTTCTATATTTTCCCTCCTGATGGATATTTTCCTTGGATAAAGAATTTTTTGCTGACAGCTTTTTTCTTTCAGCATCTTCAAGACCTTCTTCTACTGTTTCCCAGCTTCCATGGTTTCTGAAGAGAAATTAATTGATTACTGTTTCTCTATCAAGAGAAAAGAAACAAAGGTGAAGGACTCACCACCCACCCAATTTGGATTGCTTTAGCAATTTCTGGCTCACCTCCACAATCTGTCTTGCTTTGCAGAGTCCTCAGGTAGTATTTTGTCCAGCGTTTTAAGTTGTCATCAGGAGGAGTTGCCTATACTGGGTTTTTGCAGCCACAGCAGAAGTGAAATATAGTTTCATTTTTTCTTACTGTATTCAGAAACTTCAAAGCATTTAGAATGAGGATGAATTCATTGGAATGGGAATGCTATAACAATTCACTCCAGTGGAAGCATTATAGCAAAGGTCTTTTGGAGATATGCTCCTAACAAAGTAATATATTCTATAGTGAAGGAATAGGTGGCCATTTCCTGTCTAATATCTTTGTCACCTAGAAATTATTTACCTCTGTGGCTTAGGCCAAAATTATGATTTACATCCACTTGAAACACAGTTGTCCTCATATTACATAATATAGCCTGTATATATAAAGTATTAAAATATGTCCATGCTTGCTCATTAAAAGACAAACTCTATGATAGAAATCAGAAGACTTTTAGGTAGCAAAAAACAGAATGTTAATGGCAAAGTGATCAGAGAAGCATAAAATGGAAGATGTATAATGTGTTCTTTTTTGAAGAGCAGCTGACTGACACTAAAATAAATCATCACCATGGGAGGCAGAGGTTTACCTATATGTGTATAACACAAATATGGGGTTGGGACTATGTCTTCTAAGTTATATGGTACTCCATGTCATCTAGCGTAGTGCCTTGTGCATGATGATTTCAATAATTTTTTTTCTAAATCATATGCCAATATGTGTATATATGTGTACAAACAGCAAGAACCCAAGAACTAAACAGTGTACTCTGTTATATTTTACTCCACTTTATTTCCAACATTAATAAGTCACAGATTTTTGAACTTACTTGTTATTTTTATGTCTTCCTTCCATTTTAATTCTCTGTCTCCTATTTCTGCAGACGTACAATATGTCTGGAAACAAGTGATTTATTTTATTATCTTAATTTAAATACCTTTAAAACACCTCCTGATGAGTTGATAATTTGGGGACTATTCTTTCACAATGAAAGGAAAATAAAATTAAAAGAATGATGGACAAAATAATTTATAAATGAAAAAGAGTTACAAAAAACTAAGATGCTTTGTGATATTTAGGACATGTAATACGTGTTTTGAACATAAAGTTGGTATTTAGTTATCATTAGTAGAAAATAAACTTTCCACTACATTAATATTGAACAAATATTTAAAGAGGAGAAATCAAATAATGAACTTACATGGTATACCATGTACTTAATCTGACCTTGTTTTAGACCAATTGATCATTAAGGGAAATACTGATAGGCCAACTAGCTATAGGTGAATTGACTTAGAGCTGTGGGTTCCAAGGAGCTGAAATGAATATTAGGAATTTTTATTATACAAGATAGTTATTAGGCTGATATTATTTCAAAGGATTTATTGCATAGAAATAAGTAAACATAAAATAGTTCATAAATATTTGCACATGAGAATATTTATTGAAACTTTTTAATGGTCAAAAACTATTAAAAATTTGAATGTCATTAATAGAGGAATGGGTAAACACATTTTAATTAATCCACATAACACAGTTAGTCAAAAGTGTGAATTCTGTTTATATCTATTGACCCAGAAGGATGCATGTGATGTATTATTAAAGAAAAAAAACAAATTGCATATTTATATTACTTAACTTTTGCAAAATAGTAAACAAACAAAAACTGTGTGTTGGGGGGAGTGGGGGAAAAACGAGAGAGAATATGTGTGTATGCATTTGTTGGTACAACTACATGGAAATGCAGGTTATTTCTGTTGGGTTGGGGGAAGGGTATTTAAAATGAGAGCTAGTATATCTTTTTTTCAAAATCCTCATATAAGTTTTTGCCTTTTTCAGTTGTTAAAACCAGCAGGTGATAGTGTGATAATTTATAAAACTTGAATGAAGTTAAGTTTTAAAGTTGTTGTCTGAGGAAATCTCAGTTTACTTGTCACTCTATATCTAGCTGTTCTCCCTGCAGCAAATTTTTGGTCAGTCAAGCAAAACTCCTTAGGTAATTGTCTGCCTTTGATAATTTCAAGACTTCCCTACCTAGAGGTATGCTATGAAGCAGATGTCTTCTCAAATTCTTTTTGATTCTGTGCATATACTTATATGTATATGAACATTTATTTATTCATGTTATATGAAACTATGTGGCCCAGTTTAGCCTCAGATATTTCCCCCATATAAAACTGCTTGTCTCTGTAGAACTGAGAGTGTTTTAGAAGGGAGACTTCAGTAGATGACAAATGATCAAGAAATTCCAATCTAGTAAATTTCCATGAATGCCGATATTTACAAATTGAATAGCCCTTATTCTTCATACATATACGTAGAAATACCAGAAACATATATGTGCAAATGGTGGTAGAAATAAAGAGGATGGGAGAAAACGATGAAGCTATTTGGCATTTTAAAATATTTTTTCCTAATATGGAAAACTCTATTTATAACTATTCATTTGCTTTTTTATTCTATTCTGCTCTCTCAGTTCATTTTACATAATATTTCCTTTCTGTCTCAGAATTTCTGAAGTACCCTAAGCACCCTCCTTACACAAAAAATAGGGTACATTTATAGTTAGAGTAATGAATGTCTTCTCTTTCCTTTTCTCTTATGAGAGGAATGAGAACATGAGGCACTAGAGATAATTTTTCATAACACTTTTAATTAACTTGAATGTCGAGTGAAATTGAAGCATTCTACCAGGAAAACTGAAGCAGCATTATTCCCTTTCCCATCACATCAGGTGACCATAGCTCCACAACAACAATCAAGTCTGGCATACATTTCAACCATTTGTCTTCTGAAGCTGGGTTTGGCAAGGCAAAGATCAGACCTTTGCATTTCATAAAATTCCTGGTATGGTGTCTGTATTCTATACAGCCATATTCAATAATTCAATAAATATGTTTCAGAAATACCTCCATGTAAATATTTTCTGTAAATAACCCAAGAAGATAGTAAACAAATAATTGCTACTTGAGTCCCAGCTGACAAAGAGAAAATAAAGGTATTCCCTTTTATATCTTTTGATTTTCAGGTAATCCCTCTGCTTTCCTTTAAATTTACAGGTACAAATATTCTTTTTCCTGTATGTAAATGTGGGCTTTCCATTTATAGGGAGAAATGTGGTCACTTTAATCAGCGGGAATTGAAGAATGCAGCTTAGTATATAAGAAATCAATTTAGAATGATCTGCTTATATAAATCGGTAACCCATATAACTTGATAATTTATAGGATGGTTTGATGAGAGACTGTAATCCTGTGGTACAGGTACTGGGAATTGGTTAAGAGTATGGGCATTGCAGTTGAACTCCTTGGACAGTCATCTCTGCTTACTTCATTATGAGCTAGGGATGTTGAGTTTGTTTCTCAAACTCAACTTCATCATTCTTAGATACAGTACGTATTTCATAGAATTGTGAAGAAGATTACATAAAGGGTGCTTGGAAAGTGCTTAGCACAGTGCCTGGCACACAGTCAGCGATCTATATATGTTAGCTCTTAATGCTATTATGTATGTTCAGGACCATTTCTTGCATTCACTGAACTGGAAAATTTGTACTATTTCTATATGCTTTCATTTTCTTTTTTTTTTCATTTAAATGTTATTGCTAAAATATGCTCAGGTTTTGCACTGCACATGGGTAGCTCTACATGGTGCGAATGTAGTATGCTATATCAGAAGTCAGACAACTTAAATTCTAGTTGTAGTTCTGCTGCCAACACTGGGATCTGGCACAATTCTTTTTCCTTTCCTGAGTCTTAATTTTTCAGCTTCTTTTTTATTTTTTTAAATTATACTTTAAGTTCTAGGGTACATGTGCACAACGTGCAGGTTTGTTACATAGCTATAGATGTGCCATGTTGGTTTGCTGCACCTGTCAACTCGTCACTTAACATTAGATATTTCTCCTGATGCTATCCCTCCTCCAGCCACCCACCCCAAGACAGGCCCCAGTGTATGATGTTCCCCGACCTGTGTCCAGGTGTTCTCATTGTTTAGTTCCCACCTATGAGTGAGAACATGCAGTGTTTGGTTTTCTGTCCTTGTGATAGTTTGCTCAGAATGATGGTTCCAGCTTCATCCATGTCCCTGCAAAGAACATTAACTCATCCTTTTTATGGCTTTATAGTATTCCATGGTGTGTATGTGCCACATTTTCTTAATCCAGTCTATCATTGATAGACACTTGGATTGGTTCCAAGTCTTTGCTATTGTGAGTAGTGCCGCAATAAACATACGTGTGCATGTGTCTTTATAGTAGCATGATTTATAATCCTTGGGGTATATACCCAGTAATGGGATTGCTGGGTCAAATGGTATTTCTAGTTCTAGATCCTTGAGGAATCGCGACAGTGTCTTCCACAATGGTTGAACTAGTTTACACTCCCACCAACTGTATAAAAGTGTTCCCATTTCTCCACCTCCTCTCCAGCATCTGTTGTTTCCTGACTTTTTAATGATCACCATTCTAACTGGTGTGAGATGGTATCTCATTGTGGTTTTGATTTGCATTTCTCTGATGACCAGTGCTGATGAGCATTTTTTCATGTGTCTGAGGCTGCATAAATGTCTTCTTTTGAGAAGTGTGTCTGTTCATATCCTTCGCCCACTTTTTGATGGGGTTGTTTGTTTTTTTCTTGTAAATTTTTTAAAGTTCTTTGTAGATTCTGGATATTAGCCCTTTGTCAGATGAGTAGATTGCAAAACTTTTCTCCCGTTCTGTAGGTTGCCTGTTCACTCTGATGGTAGTTTCTTTTGCTGTGCAGAGCTCTTTAGTTTAATTAGATCCCATTTGTCAATTCTGGCTTTTGTTGCCATTGCTTTTGGTGTTTTAGTCTTGAAGCCCTTGCCCATGCCTATGTCCTGAATGGTATTGCCTAGGTTTTCTTCTAGGGTTTTTATGGTTTTAGGTCTAACATTTAAGTCTTTAATCCATCTTGAATTAATTTTTGTATAAGGTATAAGGAAGGGATCCAGTTTCAGCTTTCTATATATGGATAGCCAGTTTTCCCAGCACCATTTATTAAATAGGGAATCCTTTCCCCATTTCTTCTTTTTGTCAGGATTGTCAAAGATCAGATGGTTGTAGATGTGTGTTGTTATTTCTGAGGCCTCTATTCTGTTCCATTGGTCTATATCTCTGTTTTGGTACCAGTACCATGCTGTTTTGGTTACTGTAGCCTTGTAGTATAGTTTGAACTCAGGTGGCATGATGCCTCCAGCTTTGTTCTTTTTGCTTAGGTATTGACTTGGCAATACAAGCTCTTTTTTGGTTCCATATGAAATTTAAAGTAGTTTTTTCCAATTCTGTTAAGAAATTCACTGGCAGCTTGATGGGGATGGCATTGAATCTATAAATTACCTTGGGAAGTATGGCCATTTTCATATTGATTCTCCCTATCCATGACCATGGAATATTCTTCCATTTGTTTGTGTCCTCCTTTATATCTTCGAGCAGTGGTTTGCAGTCTCCTTAAAGAGGTCATTCACATCCCTTGTAAGTTGGATTCCTAGGTATTTTATTCTCTTTGTAGCAATTCTGAATGGGGGTTTACTCATGATTTGGTTGTTTGTCTGTTATTGGTGTATAGGAATGCTTGTGATTTTTGCACATTGATTTCATATCCTGAGACTTTGCTGAAGTTGCTTATCAGCTTAAGGAGATTTTTGGGCTGAGATGATGGGGTTTTCTAAATATACAATCATGTCATCTGCAAACAGGGACAATTTGACTTCCTCTTTTCTTAATTGAATACCGTTTATTTCTTTCTCCTGCCTGATTGCCCTGGCCAGAACTTCCAACACTATGTTGAATAGCAGTGGTGACAGAGGGCATCCCTGTCTTGTGCCAGTTTTCAAAGGGAATGATTCCAGTTTTTGCCCATTCAGTATGATATTGGCTGTGGGTTTGTCATAAATAGCTCTTATTATTTTGAGATACGTTCCATCAGTACTTAGTTTATTGAAAGTTTTTAGCATGAAGGGCTGTTGAATTTTGTCAAAGGCCTTTTCTGCATCTATTGAGATAATCATGTCGTTTCTGTCATTGATTCTGTTTATGTGATGGATTACGTTTATTGATTTGCATATGTTGAACCAGACTTGCATCCCAGGGATGAAGCCTACTTGATCATGGTGGATAAGCTTTTTGATGTGCTGCTGGATTCAGTTTGCTGGTATTTTATTGAGGATTTTTGCATCGATGTTCATGAGGGATATTGGTCTAAAATTCTCTTTCTTTGTTGTGTCTCTGCCAGGCTTTGGTATCAGGATGATGCTGGCCTCATAAAATGAGTTAGGGAGGATTCCCTCTTTTTCTATTGATTGGAATAGTTTCAGAAGGAATGGTACCAGTTCCTCCTTGTACCTCTGGTAGAATTCGGCTGTGAAGCCATCTGGTCCTGGACTTTTTTTGGTTGGTAGGCTCTCAATTATTGCCTCAATTTCAGAACCTGTTTTTGGTCTATTCAGAGATTCAGCTTCTTCCTGGTTTAGTCTTGGGATGGTGTATGTGTCCAGGAATTTATCCATTTCTTCTAGATTTTCTAGTTTATTTGCATAGAGGTGTTTATAGTATTCTCTGGTGGTAGTTTGTATTTTTGTGGGATCAGTGGTGATAGCCCCTTTATCATTTTTAAATTGCATCTATTTGATTCTTCTCTCTTTTCTTCTTTATTAGTCTTGATAGCGGTCTATCAGTTTTGTTGATCTTTTCAAAAAACCAGCTCCTGGATTCATTGATTTTTTTAAAGGATTTGTCTCTATCTCCTTCAGTTCTTCTCTGATTTTAGTTATTTCTTGCCTTCTGCTGGCTTTTGAATTTATTTGCTCTTGCTTCTCTAGTTCTTTTAATTATGATGTTAGGGTGTCGATTTCAAATGTTTCCTGCTTTCTCTTGTGGGCATTTAGTGCTATAAATTTCCCTCTACACACTGCTTTAAATGTGTCCCAGAGATTGTGGGACACATTTGTGTCTTTGTTCTCATTGGTTTCAAAGAACATCTTTATTTCTGCCTTCATTTTGTTATTTACCCAGTAGTCATTCAGGAGCAGGTTGTTCAGTTTCCATGTAGTTGTGCAGTTTTGAGTGAGTTTCTTAATCCTAAGTTCTAATTTGATTGCCCTGTGGTCTGAGAGGCAGTTTGTTGTGATTTCTGTTCTTTTACATTTGCTGAGGAGTGCTTTACTTCCAAATATGTGGTCAATTTTGGAATAAGTGTGATGTGGTGCTGAGAAGAATGTATATGCTGTTGACTTGGGGTGGAGAGTTCTCTAGATGTCTATTAGGTCCTCTTGGTGCAGAGCTGAGTTCAAGTCCTGGATATCCTTGTTAACCTTCTGTCTCGTTGATCTGTCTAATATTGACATTGGGGTGTTAAAGTCTCCCATTATTATTGTGTGGGAGTCTAAGTCTCTTTGTAGGTCTCTAAGACTTGCTTTATGAATCTGGGTGCTCCTGTTTTGAGTGCATATATATTTAGGATAGTTAGCTCTTCTTGTTGAATTGATCCCTTTACCATTATATAATGGCCTTCTTTGTCTCTTTCGATCTTTGTTGGTTTAAAGTCTATTTTATCAGAGACTAGGATTGCAACCCCTGCTTTTTTTTTTGCTTTCCATTTGCTTGGTAGATCTTCCTCCATCCCTTTATTTTGAGCCTATGTGTGTTTCTGCATGTGAGGTGGGTCTCCTGAATACAGCACACTGATGGGTCTTGACTCTATCCAATTTGCCAGTCTGTGTCTTGTAATTGGGGCATTTAGCCCATTTACATTTAAGGTTAATATTGTTATGTGTGAATTTGATCCTGACATTATGATGTTAGCTGGTTATTTTGCCCATTAGTTGATGCAGTTTCTTCCTAGCATCGATGGTCTTTACAATTTGGCATGTTTTTGCAGTGGCTGGTACCGGTTTTTCCTTTCCATGTTTAGTGCTTCCTTCAGGAGCTCTTGTAAGGCAGGCCTATTGGTGGTGAGAAAATCTCTCAGCATTTGCTTGTCTGTAAAGGATTTCATTTCTCCTTCACTTAGGAAGCTTAGTTTGGTTGGATATGAAATTCTGGGTTGAAAATTCTTTTCTTTAAGAATGTTGAATATTGGCCCCCACTCTCTTCTGGCTTGTAGAGATTCTGCAAAAGATCTGCTGTTAGTCTGATGGGCTTCCCTTTGTGGGTAACTTGACCTTTTCTCTGGCCGCCCTTAACATTTTTTCCTTCATTTCAACCTTGTTGAATCTGACAATTATGTGTCTTGGGGTTACTCTTCTCGAGGAGTATCTTTGTGGTGTTCTCTGTATTTCCTGAATTTGAATGTTGGACTGCCTTGCTAGGTTGGGGAAGTTCTCCTGGGTAATATCCTGAAGAGTGTTTTCCAACTTGGTTCCATTCTCCCCGTCACTTTCAGATACACCAATCAAAAGTAGATTTGGTCTTTTTGCATAGTCCCATATTTCTTGGAGGCTTTGTTTGTTTCTTTTTACTCTTTTTTCTCTAAACTTTTCTTCTCAATTTATTTCATTCATTTGATCTTCAATCACTGATACCCTTTCTTCCGCTTGAACGAATCGGCTGCTGAAGTTTGTGCATGCGTCACGTATTTCCCATGCCATTCTCCATCAGGTCATTTAAGGTCTTCTCTACACTGTTTATTCTAGTTAGCCATTTATCTAATCTTTTTTCAAGGTTTTTAGCTTCCTTGTGATGGGTTTGAACATCCTCCTTTAGCTCAGAGAAGTTTGTTATTACCGACCTTCTGAAGGCTCCTTCTGTCAACTCGTCAAAGTCATTCTCCATCCAGCTTTGTTTCATCGCTGACGAAGAGCTGCAGTCCTTTGGAAGATAAGAGGCACTCTGGTTTTTAGAATTTTCAGCTTTTCTGCTCTTGTTTCTCCTTGTCTTTGTGGTTTTATCTACCTTTGGTCTTTGATGTCGGTGACCTACAGATGGGGTTTTGGTGTTGATGTCCTTTTTGTTGATGTTGATGGTATTCCTTTCAGGTCCCTCAGCTGCAGGTCTGTTGGAGTTTGCTGGAGGTCCACTCCAGACCCTGTTTGCCTGGGTATCACCAGCGGAGGCTGCAGAACAGCAAATATTGCAGAACAGCAAATATTGCTGCCTGATCCTTCCTCTGGAAGCTTCGTTTCAGAGGGATACCTGCCTGTATGAGGTGTCAGTCAGCCCCTACTGGGAGGGGTCTCCCAGTTAGGCTACACGGGGTCAGGAGGAGGCAGTCTGCCCATTCTCAGAGCTCAAATGCCATGCTGGGAGAACCACTGCTCTCTTCAGAGCTGTCAGACAGGGACGTTTAATTCTGCAAAAGTTTCTGCTGCCTTTTGTTCAGCTATGCCCTGCCCTCAGAGGTGGAATCAACAGAGGTAGCAGGCCTTGCTGAGCTGTGGTGTCCTCCACCCAGTTTGGGCTTCCCTGGCTGCTTTGTTTACCTACTCAAGCCTCAGCAATGGCGGACGCCCCTCCCCCTGCCAGGCTGCTGCCTCACAGGTTGATCTCAGACTGCTGTGCTAGCAGTGAGCAAGGCTCTGCCAGCATAGGACCCTCCGACTCAGACATGGGATATAATCTCCTGGTGTGCCATTTGCTTAAACCATTGGAAAAGCAGTATTTAGGTGGGAATGTCCCATTTTTCCAGGTACGGTATGTCACAGCTTCCCTTGGCTAGGAAAGGGAAATCCCCGACCCCTTGCACTTCCCAGGTGCGGTGATGCCCCCCCCGCTTTGGCTTGCCCTCCATGGGCTGCACCCACTGTCCAACCGGTCCCAATGAGATGAACCATGTACCTCAGCTGGAAATGCAGAAATCACCTGTCTTCCGTGTCAATCATGCTGGGAGCTGGAGACCGGAGCTGTTCCTATCTGGCCATCTTGGAACGGACCACCTATGCTTTCATTTCCTGTGTCCTGCAAATAAATTTAAGAAAAGTTATTTAAGACCAAAATAAGTTTAACAGATATATAGCTAATTCTCAGACTAATTACACCAAGGGAAATTGTGACCCTGAGGTAAACATAATGGAAAACACTCTTCAGAAAATACTCTTCAGAACTGCTCTGGTTCTTGGGAAGTGGCCTATTTCTATGAAATAGGCACTGCATCTAAGAATGGTGAAGCTGAGTTTAGAGAAACTAACTTATCAACATCCCTAACTCATAATGAAGTAAGCAGAGACGAGTGTCCAAGGAGTTCAACTGCAATGCCCATACTCTTAACCAATTCCCAGTACCTGTACCACAGGATTACAGTCCCTCAACAAGTCATGGCATTGAAGGAAGATAATCCAGAGAGGGCTACCCTTGCAGCTTTGGGGGCCAAAAATGCAATTCCAGGTGATTTTAACCATCTGCAAGTTCTTGAGACTGCCACTAAGAGGAGTGAGGAAATGTTTATAAAGTTTTATTTTATTTTATTTTATATTTACCTCTGGCTATAATAGCTGGTTTTTGTGAGCCAGGGGAAAATGAAGGAGAGGTACCAAGGTCATAGGAAAGAATGGAGTGAGTGAGGGGAAAACCTTATGAAGTTTATATTATTGTAAGCAGATTCACTTTTTTCTTTTAATGCACAAGATCTTAAAGAAAAAGAAGAAAAAGAACCAACACCTATTAATCAGCATTACCAAGCAGTCAGCTATGTGCTTTATGTACCTTATTTCACTTAAAACTTGCATTAATCCTACAGCGATGCTCAGTCAGGATAAGGTAGGTTATCCTGTAGAAGCCAATCTCAGTAGCTTAAAATAGAAGATTTACAGATACAGGTGATTCTCATAGGCACTTGTCCTTCACTGGTGGCACAGCCTTGCAGGTCTATATGATATCAACACATGCTTCCAAAATTGTTCGAGAAAAGAGACATTTCTGTAAAGTTTCACAATGCCAATTAATGCCTCTTTCCAGAAATGACATATTACTTCCACTTATACCTCATTGCCCAAAACAAGTTATGGCATCATGCATAAACTCAATGGGGAAGAGAATAACATTCCTTCGTTTTGGCTCAAGGCATGAGAGCCAGAAATACTGGTGAGCAGCACGATGTCTATCACAAAATGTGGCTTCCTACTTTGAAGGTGAAGAATATCAGATTGAGAGAAACATTTAACAACTTGGGCAAAATCACACTGCTCATTAATGCCATATTGGAATGCAAAGACCCCAAATTTATGTTCTTTCCATTGCATCATGTCACTTCACATATATTTTCTTTCATATTTGTATTAATGTAACACACAAAGCAGGTACATTCCCTGCTTCAATCAATGCAGAAGTGAGCATAATAGCTTATTTCATAGCCAGATAAACAGAAGTGTACCAGTTATTGTAAGAACCACTAATATTATAATTATGTACTTTGAAATGAGTCATTCTTATTCACTATTGATAGTGAGATAAGATACTTTCAATTTTGTTGTATTGGTTGTATTTTTTATTTTTTTATTTTTTTGTTTTCTAAAGGACTTTGCAGTCATGCCTCCTGAACCAACCTCTGTTGAGCACTTACAGCATAGTAAAACTCACGGCAGGCAGTTCAAAGGAAGTACCCCAATTAGGCTAAGAACATTTTCCAGAGTCAAGGAAGCCTGCACATTTAGAGCATGGTCTATGGATCAGTGAAGACAGTAGTTCAAAGGGACTAGTCAGTTTAGTAAAATAAGTACCCTGGTTACGCATTAAATTTGCCTCTGTAAATAAAGTACAGTGAGTTTCCCTTTGATCTTATGAAGATAGTTCAGTATGCTATACATAGCACAGAGATGAAAGTAGATGAGGCTGCTTAGAATGAAATACGCCACCAAGTGATATAAAGCTTTCAAACGCTTCTGAGCAGAAGCAGAAATAATCTTACAAGTAATGTCCTTGCTTTGCAATATTTTCATTGGGCATTTGGCATTAATTTCAGGTTATTTTTTATCATGAGTAAACAATGTTTGCTGCAGGAAATGTTATAAAAATGAGGTGTAAATATGATCAATGATTTATGATAGGCTGCCTCTATCTGTTTTCATTTCTTTAAAATTCTATCTATCTTTCATATTATTTCATCAAGAATCCCTTGTCAATCTCCTCTCTGGCCAAGACATTAATTTTTTTTAATTTAATAAAAATACCTCTATATCCATATATTTTCTCTTTCACTAGCTGGCTGGCATGACTTGTCTTACTATTGATAGAGGGTGGTGCATTAAAAAATGGAAAATAAGGGGAAGTATGATTACTATATTTTCTATTTCAGTGGCCCACTGCTAGCTTCTGGTAGCTTTCTTCTGATGCATATCCTTCCTCAAATGTCAAGTGTTATCCTAGTTTTGAATAAATCCAGGCCAAGGTTTTTGCTAGTAGTTAGCTTTTATTCTGGGGACTAGCATTTTAATAGAGGATTTGAATCCTAAGGAATGGATTCCTGTTGGAGGAACTTTTAACACAGATAATACGTGGAGGGTCAGAAGTAGGTGGGATAGTGTGCACCAACTGCCTCCCACTGCCATTCATTTCACCTGTTTGGAAAGCTGACCCTGGTTTAGGGATACAGATAGTATGTAAAATAATTCTTACTCCTCCTTTGTAGCAGTATAATTTTATAGTCTGTGTTAAAAGTTTATTGAAAAAAAACCCATTTTTTAAAAACCCCAAATTATTTACTTTTAGTATTTACATGATTGCATTTTCCTTTGACAAATCTTGAAAAGTACCTATTTTTTTAATTGGATCATTATCATAGCAATGTTTTCCATTTTTTGTTTAGAACTTATTTTTAATAAATTATGTTCATACTTGACAATATGCTTCCTGAGGTTTAAAATACATTTATATGTTTTTAAAATCAGGAGAAAATTATACATGGATAAATGCAGAACTATATTTCTGTATCTGCAAGCCAGATATGGTAGGCAGAATGATGGCCACCCAAGTATCCCTGTTCTAATTCCTGGCATCTGTTACCATACATGAATAAAGGGACTTTGAAGATGGGAGTTAATCTTGAGGACCTTGAGATCCAGAGATTATTCTGGATTATCCAGGTAGGCCCAATCTAATGTCATGAATCCTTCAAAGAACCTTCTGGATAAAGAGAGAATCAAGGGAAGAATGTCACAGAGATGGAAGAAGGCGCCACAATACAACACATAGAGACTGCCTCTACCAACTGAAAAAGACAAAACAATGGATCATCCCTAGAGTAGTCCTGCCGACATCTTTATTTTAAACCAGTGAGACCTGTTAGCTTTCTGACCTCCAGATTTTTAAGATGATGCATTTGTATTGTTTTAAGCCACTGAATTTGTGGTAGTTTGTTACAGCTACAACAGAAAAACAATACATGGGCCTACCACCCCAAATGTACCTGATCTTGAAAGCTAAGCTGGGTCAGGCCTGGTTAGTATTTGGATGGAAGTCCAAAAAAGGCTCTTGAGACTCAGAAAAATAATACAGATTTTGATTACGAATGGGGTTTGAACTCATGCAGCACACAATATACTGGGTATTAACTTTAACTAGAAAAAAATAAATGTGTAGGAATACAATTTAATAACAATTTGGAAAAATAAAGCTACCTACATAATTTCATTTAATGACTTTTTGTGTATAGGAGTTTTTATTCAAAATGAAAAGAGCTTTATTGATTTTTCTAATTATATGCATATCATATGAACACTGATTCACACAGAAAGAAACAAACAGAGTTTGTTTTTGACTTTCTATGTCAAAATCTTATTAAGCCATTTGAAACATTAGTATCTTGAGAGATCTGCCATTAACATTTTGATGACCTGATGGAAACTGAAAACATTCTGTTCTCATTCCCAGTTGATATTTCAGTGAGTTTAGACCACTAGATTGGTAATAATTTTCTGTCAGGATTTTGATATTATTGTTTCATTTTTCTTTTGGTTATACTGTCTCCCTTCCATGTTATAGTATTTTCTTGGATAATCTCTATGTAATGTTTCCAGATAAAATGGATACATTTTATATGGAAATAAAATGCCTGTTTGAATTTAAGTTTCAGATAAATATGTACTTTTTTTTTAGAGTAAATAGGTCTCAAATAAGTATGACATCTACTTATACAAAAAAAATCATTGTTTATTCAAAATTCAAATTTGATCATCCTGTATTTTTATTTGCTAAATCTGGCAATGTTACCAGTATGATTTGGTTACCTTAAGACTGGGAGACTAAAAGTATAGTTGGAAACTCTGAGCACATACAGGTTTGCTGATATTGACCTCTACAGTAGAGTGTGCTGCACAAATTTTTCAGAAATCCTTCACAATACAATCTTCACAACAGAATCTTTAGTCTTCTCTCTTAAGCTGGACAGATTCTTCAGAGAAGAATCTCCTAGTGGCCTACGTGGGATTCTAGAGTCAGCATTCTGAGAGCCCAGTGAGGAAAGGATGCTGGAAGACTGGGGTGGGAGCCTCTATATTTGACACTTAATTTATTAAAAATAAGTTCTAAACAAAAAATGGAAAACATTGCTATGATAATGTTTTGCTAATAGTTAGCTTTTATTCTGGGGACTAGCATTTTAATAGAGGATTTGAATCCAAAGGAATGGATTCCTGTTGGAGGAACTTTTAACACAGATAATACGTGGAGGGTCAGAAGTAGGTGGGATAGTGTGCACCAACTTACCTCTATATTTGACAGCTACCCCTTGTGGCTTTGCAGGGTACAGCCACTTTCCCAGCTGCTTTCATGGGCTGGTGTTGAGTGTCTGCAGCTTTTCCAGGCACAAGGTGCAAGCTTTCAGTAGGTCTACCATTCTGGGGTCTGGAGGACAGTGGCCCTCTTCTCACAGCTCCACTAAGAAGTGCCCCAATAGGGACTCTGTGTGGGGGCTCTGACCCCACCTTTCCCTTCTGCATTGCCCTAGCAGAGGTTCTCCATGAGGGCCCCGCCTCTGCAGCAAACTTCTGCCTGCGAATCTAGGCATTTCCATACATCTTCTGAAATCTAGGCAGGGGTTCCCGAACCCCAGTTCTTGACTTCTGTGCACTGGCAGATACAGCACCATATAGAAGCTTCCAAGGCTTGGGGCTTGCACCCTCTGAAGCCACAGCCTGAACTCTATGTTGGCCTCGTTCACCCATGGCTGGAGCTGCTGGGACATAGGGCACCAAGTCACTAGGCTGTACACAGCATAGGAATGCTGGGCCTGGCCCATGAAACCATTTTGTCCTCCTAGGCCTCTGGACCAGTGATTGGAGGGGCTGCTGTAAAGACCTCTGACATGCCCTGGAGACATTTTCTCCATTGTCTTGGGGATTAACATTCGGCTCCTCATTACTTATGCAAATTTCTGCAGCTGGCTTGAATTTCTCCTCAGCAAATAGAATTTTCTTTTCTATTACATTTTCAGGCTGCAAATTTCCAAACTTTTGTGCTCTGTTTCCCTTATAAAACTGAATGCCTTTAACAGCACCCAAGTCCCATCTTGCATGCTTTGCTGCTTAGAAATTTTTTTCCGCCAGACACCCTAAATCATCTCTCTCAAATTCAAAGTTCCACAAATCTCTAGGGCAGGGACAAAATCCCACCAGTCTCTTCGCAAAAATATAACAAGAGTCACCTTTGCTGTAGTACCCAACAAGTTCCCCATTTCCATCCAAGGCCACCTCAGCCTGGACTTTATTGTCCATATTGCTATCAGCATTTTGGGCAAAGCCATTCAACAAGTCCCTAGGAAGTTCCAAAATTTCCCACATTTTCCTTTCTTATTTTGAGCCCTCCAAACTGTTCCAGCCTCTGCTTGTTACTTAGTTCCAAAGTTGCTTCCACATTTTTGGGTATCTTTTCAGCAGCACCCCATTCTCGGTACCAATTTACTGTATTAGTTCATTTTCATGCTGCTGATAAAGACATATCTGAGACTGGGCAATTTACAAAAGAAAGAGGTTTAATGGATTTAAAGTTCCACGTGGCTGAAGAGGCCTCACAATCATGGCGGAAGATGAAAGGCATGTCTCACATGGTGGCAGACAAGAGAAGAGAGCTTGTGCAGGGAAACTCTCCTTTTTAAAACCATCAGGTCATGTGAGACATTCACTATCATAAGAACAGCACGAGAAAGACCTATCAACACCATGATTCAATTATGTCCCATCGGGTACCTCCCACAACACGTGGGATTTCAAGATGAGATTTTGGTGGGGACACAGTGAAACCATATCATATGACATCATCAAAAGTAAGACAGAAATGTCATTGGCTTGGAAGAAAATCTTAGATCCTTCCTTAGAAACGTTTCAGCCTTGATGCTGTTGATGGAACAGAGGACATTATATGCAGAACAACATGAGTATCAATGACACTGGGCCAAAAAGTGACCTAGTATAGTTAAACTTTGAGTGTAAAATACTATAGTTGACCCTTGAACAACATGAATTTGAACTACATGGGTCTACTTATTTGTGTATTTTTTAAATAAACACATTGGAAAATTTTTGGAGATTTGTAACAATTTGTAAAAAAAAAAAACATGCAAACTGTTTAGTCTAGAAATCTAGAAAATATTCAGAAAAAGTTATGTATGTCATAAATGCATCAAATACATGTAGACACAGGTCTATTTTTATCACTTACTCCCATAAAATATGCACAGCTCTATCATAAATAGTTAAAATTTATCAAAACTTACACACATCCCTTACAGATCATACATACATGGTACCATTTGCAGTCAAGAGAAATGAAAAAAAAAAAGTCAAGATGCAGTATTAAATCGTAACTTCATAAAATTAACTGTAGGCATACTGTAATGTTATAATAATTTCATAGCCATCTCCTGTTGCTATGGCAGTGATCTCCAGTTTTGGTAGTATCTGCTTAAAATGCCATGTGATGCTAATCATCTCCATGTGAGCCATTCATCTCTCCAGCAAACTGCACATCACATTAAAAAATTGTCCCTCACAGTTCTTGTGCATTTTCATCATGTTTTGTGCAATATTATAAATCTTTAATGACACCATGGGACCCATATTAAGTGCTGCTAGTGATGCTGGAAGTGCTCCCAAGAAAAAGAGAAAAGGATGACATTACAAAAAACGTTGAATTGCTTGATATGTACTTTAGATTGAGGTCTGCAGATGCCATTTCTTGCTATTTCAAGATAAACAAATCCATTGTAAGGAATATTGTAAAAAAAGGAAACAGAAATTCATAAAGTAGTCACTGCAGCTATGTCAGC
Source organism: Homo sapiens (assembly GCF_000001405.40). Taxonomy (NCBI): domain Eukaryota; kingdom Metazoa; phylum Chordata; class Mammalia; order Primates; family Hominidae; genus Homo; species Homo sapiens. The sequence continues at coordinate 120,893,424 of NC_000007.14, read as the reverse complement.
AGGCACGAAAATCATGCATTTTTTGAAAAATACCTTTTTATCTTGCATTGAAAATGCAGCTCTTATGTGGGTCCAGGATTTCTATAGGAAAGGCATACCTATAGACTCTAATATGATTCGAGAAAAAGCAAAGTCATTATATGACCACTTGAAGCAAAAAGAAGGTGAAAGATCTAAAGCTGGAGAATTTAGTGCCAGCAAAGGATGGTTTGATGCTTTTAATAAAAATGTCAAGATAACAGAAGCAGCTTCTGCTGACCAAGAGGCAATACATGAGTTTCCAGACACTATTAAGAAAATGATTAAGGGGAAAATATATCTGCCTGAAGAGGTTTTAATGAAGATGAAAGTGTGCCCTAGTCTAGAAAAAAACATGTCACTAAGGACGTTTATTAGTAAGCAAGTGAAGTGAGCACCAAGATTTAAGGCAGGAACAGGCTAACTCTACTGTTTTGCACAAAGGTAGTCAAGTTTATAATCCAGACTACTTTTATATATAAAGCTGCTAACCCCTGAGCCTTGAAGGGAAAAGATAAACACCAGCTGCTAGTCTTTTGGTTGTACAACAAGAAGGCCTGGACAACAAGAACCTTTTTTTCTGGATTGGTTCCACCAATGCTTTGTCTCTGAAATCAGGAAGTACCTTGCCAGTGAGGGGGTGCTTTTAAAGTTCTTATGATATTGGACAATAACCCTGGTGACCGAGAAATCCATGAGTTAAACACTGAAGACATCAATGTGATATGCTTGTCCCCAAACACATATAATTTAGCCTTAGTCCAGATTAGAGAGTCATAAGGACCTTTAAGGCCCATTACAAGGACTATTCTATGGAAAGGATTGTCAGTGCTATGGAAGAGACCCCAATAAAGAGAACGTCTTGAACATCCGGAAGGATTACATCACTGAGGATGCCATCATCGTTACAGAAAAAGCTGTGAAAGCCATCAAGCCCCAAACCATAATTTCTTGCTGGAGGAAACTGTGTCTAGATGTTCTGCATGACTTCATAAGATTTATGACAGATCGAATTAAGGAAATCATGAAAGAGATTGTGGATATGGCCAAAAAAAAAAAAAAAAAAAGGTGAGAAGTGCAAGATTTTAAGATACAGATCCTGGAAAAATTCAAAAGCTAATAGACACCACACCATAGGAGTTAACAGAAGATGAATTGAAGGAGATAAGTGTTTCTAAACCAGTGCCAGATGACGAGGAAGAAATTGTAGAAGAAACCATGCTAGAAAACAAGACAATCTGGGAGAAGTTTCAGTGATTCAAGACAGCCTTGACTTCTTTCTAAGACATGGGCCCTTCTATGATATGGGCACTGAAACTAAAGCAAATGGTGGAAGAAGGATTGGTACCATATAGAAATATTTTTAAAGAAATGAAAAAGCAAAAAAGTCAGACAAGAATGAAAATGTATTTCCAAAAGTTATACTAAGTTTGCCTGCCTCTCCTGTTTCTTTTCCACCTCCTCCATCTCTTCTGCCTCTGCCACTCCTGTCTGTGCAAGACCAAGTCTTCCCCTTCCTTCTCACCCTACTCAATGTGAAGATGATAAGGATGGAGACCTCTTGATGATCCAGTTCCACACAGTGAATAAAAATATATGTTTTCTTCCTTATGATTTTCTTAACATTTTTTCTCTAGCTTACTGTATTGTAAGTATACATTATATAATACATATAACATACAAAATATGTGTTAATTTACTGTTCATGTTATCAGTAAGGTCTCCAGTCAACAGTAGGCTATTAGTACTTAAGGTTTTGAGGAGTCAAAAGTTATATACAGATTTTTTGACTTTGCGAGATGTTGTTCAAAGGTCAATTGTATTGGGAATGTCTTATATGGTTTATTTTCCTTTTAATGTAAATACAAGAAAGACATGTATTGGAAATCTTTGCCTAAATAAGTCTAAGGAGGCGCTTTTAGTAAGCATAAAATAAAAATACTGAGACTTAAGAGACCTTCATCTTTAAGAAGGTCATTGCATAACAGTGTCAGTTTTATTTTAACAGATGGCACTGTCAGGCCTCTGAGCCTAAGCTAAGCCATCATACCCCTGTGACCTGCACTTACACATCCAGATGGCCAGTTCCTGCCATAACTGATGACATTGCACCACAAAAGAAGTGAAAATGGCCTGTTCCTGCCTTAACTGATGACATTGTCTTGTGAAATTCCTTCTCCTGGCTCATCCTGGCTCAAAAGCTCCCCTACTGAGCACCTTGTGACCCCCACTCTGCCCACCAGAGGACAACCCCCCTTTGACTGTAATTTTCCTTTATCTACCCAAATCCTATAAAACGGCCCCACCCTTATCTCTGTTTGCTGACTCTCTTTTTGGACTCAGCCCGCCTGCACCCAGGTGATTAAAAGCTTTATTGCTCACACAAAGCCTGTTTGGTGGTCTCTTCACACGGACGCGCATGAAATTTGGTGCCATGACTCGGATTGGGGGACCTTCCTTGGGAGATCAATCCCCTGTCCTCCTGCTCTTTGCTCCGTGAGAAAGGTCCACCTACGACCTCAAGTCCTCAGACCGACCAGCCCAAGAAACATCTCACCAATTTCAAATCCAGTAAGCAGCCTCTTTTTACTCTCTTCTCCAGCCTCCCTCACTATCCCTCAGCCTCTTTCTCCTTTCAATCTTGGCACCACACTTCAATCTCTCCCTTCTCTTAATTTCAATTTCTTTCATTTTCTGGTAGAGACAAAGGAGACACATTTTATCCATGGACCTAAAACTCCGGCACTGGTCACGGACTAGGGAAGGCAGCCTTCCCTTGGTGTTTAATCATTGCAGGGATGCCTCTCTGATTATTCGCCCAGGTTTCAGAGGTGTCAGACCACGCAGGGACGCCTGCCTTGGTCTTTCACCCTTAGCAGCAAGTCCCGCTTTTCTGGGGGAGGGGCAAGTACCCCAACCCCTTCTCTCCATGTCTCTACCCCTTCTCCACCTTTCTAGGGGGCAAGAAACCCCCAACCCCTTCTCTTTCACCCTTAGTGGCAAGTCCCACTTTTCTGGGGGAGGGGCAAGTACCCCAACCTCGTATCTCTGCATCCCGATCCCTTATTTCCACACTCCAACCTCTTATATCTCTGCGCCCCGATCCCTTATTTCCGCGTCCCAACCTCTTATATCTCTTCACCCTGATCCCTTATTTCCGTGCCCTGACTTCTTATCTCTGCGCTCTGACCCCTTTCCCGCTTTTCTGAAAAGTAAGAACCCCTGAACTGCTTCCCTCTGGGTCTCTACTCTCCCTTTTCTTTAAACTTGCCTCCTTCACTATAGGCAACCTTCCACCCTCCATTCCTCCTTCTTCTCCCTTAGCCTGTGTTCTTAAGAACATAAAACCTCTTCAACTCTCACCTGACCTAAAACCTAAATGACTTATTTTCTTCTACAATGCTGCTTGACCCCAATACAAACCCGACAGTAGTTCTAAATGGCCAGAAAATGGCACTTTTGATTTCTCCATCCTACAAGACCTAAATAATTTCTGTCAAAAAATAGGCAAATGGTCTGAGGTGCCTGACATCCAGGCATTCTTTCACACATCAGTCCCTCCCTAGTCTCTGTGCCCAGTGCAACTGGTCCCAAATCTTCCTTCTTTCCCTCCTGCCTGTCCCCTCAGACCCAATGCCAAGCGTCACTGAGTCTTTCCAATCTTCCTTTTCTACAGACCCATCTGACCTCTCCCCTCCTCCCCAGACTGCTCCTCGCCAGGCAGAGCTAGGTCCCAATTCTTCCTCAGCCTCCGCTCCACCCTATAATCTTTTTATCACCTTCCCTCCTCACACCTGGTCCAGTTTACAGTTTCATTCCGTGAGTAGCCCTCCCCCACCTGCCCAGCAATTTCCTCTTAAAAAGGTGGCTGAAGCTAAAGGCATAGTCAATGTTAATGCTCCTTTTTCTTTATGAGATCTCTCCCAAATCAGAAAGCATTTAGGCTCTTTCATCAAATATGAAAAACCCAGCCCAGTTCATGGCTTGTTCGGCAGCAACCCTGAGACGCTTTACAGCCCTAGACCCTAAAAGGTCAAAAGGCCGTCTTATTCTCAATATACATTTTATTACCCAGTCCGCTCCTGACATTAAATAAAACTCCAAAAATTAAACTCCAGCCCTCAAACCCCACAACAGGACTTAATTAACCTTGCCTTCAAGGTGTACAATAATAGAGTAGAGGCAGCCAAGTAGCAACATATTTCTGAGTTGCAATTCTTTGCCTCCACTGTGAGACAAACCCCAGCCACATCTCCAGCACACAAGAATTCCAAACACCTGAACCGCAGCTGCCGAAGTTTCCTCCAGAACCTCCTCCCCCAGGAGCTTGCTACAGGTGCTGGAAATCTGGCCACTAGGCCCAGGAATGCCCACAGCCCAGGATTCCTCCTAAGCCGTGTCCCATCTGTGCAGGACCCCAATGAAAACTGGACTGTTCAACTCACCTGGCAGCCACTTCCAGAGCCCCTAGAACTCTGGCCCAAGGCTCTCTGACTGACTCCTTCCCAGATCTTCTCTGCTTAGCAACTGAAGACTGACACTGCCTGATCACCTCAGAAGCCTACAGGACCATCACAGACACTCTAAGTAACTCTCACAGTAGAAAGTAAGTCCATCCCCTTCTTAATATGGAGGCTACTCACTCCACATTACCTTATTTTCAAGGGCCTATCTCCCTTGCTTCCATAACTGTTGTGCGTATTGACGGCCAGGCTTCTAAACCTCTTAAAACTCCCCAACTCTGGTGCCAACTTAGACAATACTCTTTTAAGCACTCCTTTTTAGTTATCCCCACCTGCCCGGTTCCCTTATTAGGCCGAGACACTTTAACTAAATTATCTGCTTCCCTGACTGTTCCTAGGCTACAGCCACACCTCATTGCCGCCTTTTCCCCCAGTTCAAAGCTTCCTTCACATCCTCCCCTTGTATCTCCCCACCTTAACCCACAAGTATAAGACACCTCTACTCCCTCCTTAGCAACCGATCATGCACCCCTTACCATCCCATTAAAACCTAATCACTCTTAACCCGCTCAATGCCAATATCCCATCCCACAGCACACTTTAAAAGGATTAAAGTCTGTTATCGCTCGCCTGTTACAGCATGACCTTTTAAAGCCTATAAACTCTTCCTACCATTCCCCCATTTTACCTGTCCTAAAACCAGACAAGGCTTACAGGTTAGTTCAGAATCTGCGCCTTATCAACCAAATTGTTTTGCCTATCCACCCCATAGTGCCAAATCCGTATACTCTCCTATCCTCAATACCTCCCTCTACAACCCATTATTCTGTTCTAGATCTCAAACATGCTTTCCTTACTGCACCCTTCATCCCAGCCTCTCTTCGCTTTCACTTAGACTAACCCTGACACCCATTAGGCTCAGCAAATTACCTAGGCTGTACTGCCACAAGGCTTCGCAGATAGCCCCCATTACTTCAGTCAAGCCCAAATTTCATCCTCATCTGTTACGTATCTTGGCATAATTCTCATAAAAACACACGTGCTCTCCCTGCTGATCATGTCTGATTAATCTCCCAAACCTCAATCCCTTACAAAACAACAACTCCTTTCCTTCCTAAGCATAGTTAGTGTGGTCAGAATTGTTACACAAGAGCCAGGACAGCACCCTGTAGCCTTTCTCTCCAAACAACTTGACCTTACTGTTTTAGCCTAGCCCTCATGTCTGCATGCAGCAGCTGCCGCTGCTTTAATATTTTAGAGGCCCTAAAAATCACAAACCATGCTCAACTCACTCGCTACATTTCTCATAACTTCCAAAATCTATTTTCTTCCTCATACCTGACGCATATACTTTCTGCTCCCCGGCTCCTTCAGCTGTACTCACTCTTTGTTAAGTCCCACAATTACCATTGTTCCTGGTCCGGACTTCAATCTGGCCTCCCACATTATTCTAGATACCACACCTGACCCTTATGACTGTATCTGATCCACCTGACATTCACCCCATTTCCCCATATTTCTTTCTTTCCGGTTCTTGACCCTGATCACGCTTGATTTATTGATGGCAGTTCCACCAGGCCTAATTGCCACACAGCAGCAAAGGCAGGCTATGCTATAGTACAAGACACTAGCCTGCCTCTTAGAACCTCTCATTTCCTTTCCATCATGGAAATCTATCCTCAAGGAAATAACTTCTCAGTGTTCCATCTGCTATTCTACTACCCCTCAGGGATTATTCAGGCCCCCTCCCTTCCCTACACATCAAGCTCGAGGATTTGCCCCCACCCAGGACTGGCAAATTAGCTTTACTCAACATGGCCCGAGTCAGATAACTAAAATACCTCTTAGTCTAGGTAGACACTTTCACTGGATAGGTAGAGGCCTTTCCTACAGGGTCTGAGAAGGCCACCACAGTCTTTTCTTCCCTTCTGTCAGACATAATTCCTCAGTTTAGCCTTCCCACCTCTATACAGTCTGATAACAGACCAGCCTTTATGAGTCAAATCAGCCAAGCAGTTTTTCAGGCTCTTAGTATTCAGTGAAACCTTTATATCCCTTACGGTCCTCTGTCTTCAAGAAAAGTCGAACGGACTAAAGGTCTTTTAAAAACACACCTCACCAAGCTCAGCCACCAATTTAAAAAGGACTGGACAATACTTTTACCACTTTCCCTTCTCAGAAGTCAGACCTGTCCTCAGAATGCTACAAGGTACAGCCCATTTGAGCTCCTGTATAGACGCTCCTTTTTATTAGGCCCCAGTCTCATTCCAGACACCAGATCAACTTAGACTGTGCCCAAAAAAACTTGTCATCCCTACTATCTTCTATCTAGTCATACTCCTATTCACCGTTCTCAACTACTCATACATGCCCTGCTCTTGTTTACACTGCCAGTTTACACTGTTTCTCCAAGCCATCACAGCTGATATCTCCTGGTTCTATCCCCAAACTGCCACTCTAAACTCTTGAAGTAAATAAATGAACTTTGCTAGCAGGACTATGCTGAATCTCCTTAGGCGCTCTCTAATCAGATGTCCTAGGTCCTCCCAATTCTTAGACCTTTTATACCGGTTTTTCTCCTTCTCTTATTCCATTTAGTTTTTCAATATATACAGAACCATATCTAGGCCATCAGCAGTAATTCTACACGACAAATGTTTCTTCTAACAACCCCACAACATCACCCCTTACCACAAAATCTTCCTTCAGCTTAATCTCTCCCACTCTAGGTTCCCATGCCGCCCCTAATCCCACTCGAAGCAGCCCTGAGAAACATCGCCTATTATCTCTCCATACCACCCCCAAAAATTTTCACCATCCCAACACTTTACCACTATTTTGTTTTATTTTTCTTATTAATATAAGAAGACAGGAATGTCAGGCCTCTGAGCCCAAGCTAAGCCATCATATCCCCTGTGACCTGCAAGTACACATCCAGATGGCCGGTTCCTGCCTTAACTGATGACATTCCACCACAAAAGAAGTGAAAATGGCCTGTTCCTGCCTTAACTGATGACATAAGCTCCCCTACTGAGCACCTTGTGACCCCCACTCTGCCCACCAGAGGACAACCCCCCTTTGACTGTAATTTTCCTTTATCTACCCAAATCCTATAAAACGGCCCCACCCTTATCTCTGTTCACTGACTCTGTTTTTGGACTCAGGCCGCCTGCACCCAGGTGATTAAAAGCTTTATTGCTCACACAAAGCCTGTTTAGTGGTCTCTTCACATGGATGCGCATGAAAGGCACCTTGCTATGTTGCCCAGGTTGGCCTCAAACTACTGGGCTCATGTGATCCTCCTGCCTTTTCCTCCCAAGTTGCTGGGGCTACAGGTGCATGCCAAGGTACCTGACTCCAGTGCCATGTTTTAGTTAGCAGTATTTTTCATTTATTAATGGAACATAATTAATTCTTCATCATACAATTAAAAGGAAGTCAGGGTAAATGAAATACAGTATTGTTAATGGAACATTAAAGTTGCTGTTAAGTCTTGTAAAAATATAGTGTGTCTAATTACCCCTTCCTCAAACCTATTTGATCAAGAAATTGTTTTTATGTAACATAGTTTAATCCTTAGAACTAGTGTTCAGTGGAACTTCATTTGGGAGACACAATGTTATATAAAACATTGATTTTTGTTATTATAACATTAGGATCTCATAGTGGGTTCAAATGTCATAAGTAAATTGTTGTTGAATGGAAATGAGAACACAGATCTCATCTCTTATTATCATCCAATTTTTAAATCTATTTTCCTTGTTTCCTTTTTCAAAGAATTGCTAGTAAAGCAACAGGTAGGAACCATTCAGGAATTAAACCCATGCTGTGGAATTCTATGTATCAACAGGAGTTCAATAAATACAACATTTGGAGTTTCTGCTATCAGGAACAGAAATAATATAGATAAATTATATGAAAGATACCTTTTAAAAGCCATTCTAGTAAGAAACATGTGAAATATTTCATGAATTCTCCTTCATGGTAGAAACACAGTCTAAAAATAACTGATTAAAATGTGCACAGAAGGAGGAGGTAGGAAAGAACTAAGACGCATGCTTAGAGTGCAAATGAGATAATTAGTTCTTAGATGATCAGTAGTTGATAATATTTTCACTCTATTCAGACATATTCCCTATATTATAACTTTCAATATTTATAATAGAAGTACTAAGTATGAGTTTTTTGGCGGAGTTATGGGGAGCGTCCTTCATGAATTTGGAATTGAAGGAATTTAGATTGATATATACATAATGGATCAAAGCAGAGACATGCAAAGACTGTTTAGAGAGGCCAGATAGCTTCCAGGCTCACAAAACTTGACACCAATCTGGATTAATGTATTAACAGAACTTAAAAAAACTGCAAATGAGGAAAGGGATTGGACTGCAATAGAAGCATGGAAAGTTGAGAATCACAGAGACGTAAAACAGCAGTCTCATCCTGACTCCATTGTGGGTAGAAGCACTTCTGATCCAGATGCACAACTCTTTCCTGACCCTTTGGCATATATATCCTTTATGTAAAGATGAATGTTGCTAGGACTTAGGAGGCATTTATCCTTCATTCCTTCTGTGAAAGGATTCCGTAAGAGAAATAGTCCTAACTCTTAATCCTTCCCACAAGAGAGTAAATGTCTTATCTAATAAGTGAAATTTGTGAAAGAAAAATGACATTCTTTGCTCTCTCTCATATTATCTGTTTCTCTCTTCTCTCCCTCTCTCTCTCTCTCACCACCCCGTTCCGGAAAGCAGTCTCTTAGCACAGGTGGGATGCTACATGCATTTTGGTCCTCTACCGCCCTGTGGTCAGGGGCATGGTTAGGGACATAACTGGGTTTGAAGAGTTGTATCATAACAAGGTTAGTAATCTAACCTATTGAAGAAATATTTTCAAGTTCATTTAGTTGCATTGTTAAAGCTGTGTCTCTAACCTAGCCTTAATCAATAATAAAGCTGACACTTTGAGCGCCATCTGTTTAACTCCATATTTGCCTTTTAGTTGGTACCAAACTTGGCAGGGAAGGAAGGGCTGCTGTCTATTAGTGTCCTCCAAATTCTGGCAGATATATCAGATTATTTCATGCTGAGGTCATTAATTATCCAAATAATATACATAACTCCTCTTATTCTGATTCCATACTCACCAGGCAGCTTTCAGATAATAACTTGCCACTTTTTGAGGCTTGTTTATAGGAAAATTTTGTGTACATCAAAATATTTTTAAGTGCCTGTCCTCCTTAGCAGTTATATTTTTCCTTATAAATGAATACATTGGCATTTTGTTTTGATACTTTTCTTTTGTGAGTCTGGTTAATATGCATCTGCCCTTTAGAGATAGATCTATCACTTGAATGACCTTGAAATTTATGATCAAAATAGACAAAACTCCAAAAGAGTTCAGATTACAATCCAAAATGCATTTAATATTAGGAAGAGTTGTATGATTTGATTAAAGTGAGAAAAGGTAGGATTGCCTTACACTCAAATGTCTTTACCCCTAGGTGTGAATACATCTACTTATCTTAAGAACTAAGGAAAACAAAATCCAATTAAGAGATATGGCCACCTAGGTGGAAGTTATAGATTCTAACCTGACTTGAAAATTAGATAATAATGTAACTCATTTTTAATGGATATGAGCCACATGAAATGTTTCTCTTTCATTTTTGAAGTCCTATTAACAGTGTGTTATAATTTATAGGAGCTGATACGTTCCATCCATATCAGAGACAGGATCCAGTCTCATTGCTCAACTATCCTCTGATCATTGAAAAGCTGAGAAGGCAGCTCCAAAAATTATGTAGGGATATAACCCCCAAAATGTTGTGAGATGGTATGTTTCCTTTGTGGAAAAGCATTTTTTATATCTGGGGAGACTTAGAATTAATAGTAGATATGTTTAAGGCAACCACAATGTGATATTACTATTTTTACATTAATTAACATGCATGTATTTGCTATAATAAGCATCCATAATGATTAAAGACTTTGTTAGAATAACAGATCAAGCTTGTAACACCATTTTAAAATGTCTAATTGAGAGTTGATTTAGAAATGTGTATGTAGACTGAATACAATTAAGTATAAATGTGATATTTGATTATTTAAGGAAAATTAAAAGAAACCATTTAAAAGTTTTATTTATTAATTTTATAAGTATTACTTAATACTTGAGAAAGTTTATTAGATAAATGTAAGTATGTGTAGAAAGAAATTGAGTATATAAAGGTATTAATGTAGTTTAAAATGTTAAAATGAGTTTAATTAACAAGGTTTATAACTGGTTCTAGATAGTTACTAAGGGCTTCCTTTAAAGAGATTGAAAATTTGCTAGCTTTGTAAATGGAGTAATAAGGCTTTTAAAATGAACTGAAAACCATAAAAAGAAGTAATCATTTTAAATTATGACATGAATAAATTGAATAAAGAAACTAACATAATCTGTTAATAATTTTTTACGACATAAAAATTAGTCTGGTAGAAACAAAACTCTCATTTAATAGGAATCACTTTTAGCATACAGACAAATCAAGTTTCTGATGTTAAAAAATTGAGGTAGGTTTCTATATCAGACCACGGGAATTCATCAAGATAATGCTAACCCAGGATGACTGGGGAGGCAGACAACTGACCTTTAACATACCACATTCTAATAGCATTATTAGCAATTCCTTCCATTTTAGAATTAATATAATTTGTGGCCGGGTGCGGTGGCTCACACCTATAACCCCAGCACTTTGGGAGGCTGAGGCTGGTGGATCCTCTGAAGTTGGGAGTTCAAGACAAGCCTGACCAACATGGAGAAACCCTGTCTCTACTAAAAATGCAAAATTAGCCGAGCGTGGTGGCACATGCCTGTAATCCCAGCTATTTGGGAGATTGAGAAAGGAGAATCGCTTGAATCCCGGAGGCGGAGGTTGCGGTGAGTGAGATCGCGCCACTGCACTCTAGCCTGGGCAACAAGAGCGAAACTCTGTCTCAAAAACAAAAAAATTAATATAACTTGTTTATTGCCTCATTAAAATACATTATCTTTTTAATAACTGAATATTTAAAAATACAACATATCATCAAGATTAAAGCACACAAATCCCAGCACTTCGGGAGGCCGAGGCGGGTGGATCACGAGGTCAGGAGATCAAGACCACAGTGAAACCCCGTCTCTACTAAAAATACAAAAAATTAGCTGGGCGCAGTGGCAGGCGCCTGTAGTCCCAGCTACTCGGGAGGCTGAGGCAGGAGAATGGCGTGAACCCAGAAAGCGGAGCTTGCAGTGAGCCAAGATCGCGCCACTGCACTCCAGCCTCGGCTACAGAGGGAGACTCCGTCTCAAAAAAAAAAAAAAAAAAAAAAAGATTAAAGCACACACTTTAAGTGATAATCATAGGTTCTTATGATAAGCAAGTCAGTTCTACTAATAATGAAGACAGGATTGTAACTTTAATAATGTAATTTACTTAATGATTTTTTCATGAGTTTGCACTTCAAAATGGCTTTTGTCCCTTCTCCAGAATTTATTGTGATGACTGAATAGATCACTAGTTATCAGTGACAAGGGGGTTGGGGAACCAGAGAGACTTTGGTTTGAATCCCAATTCAACCTTGTACTAGATCTGAGAACTTGGGCAAGATATGTAACCTCTTACTTTTCTAATTGGGGATGATAATACTTATACTATAGGGTTGTGGTGAAGCTTAGAAGTATTATATGAAAAGAATTGTTACATAATGACCTATAAATAATAGATGTGATTCTTAATGGTAGTGTGAAAATAAGGTTGTTTGTGTTGTTAGGTGAGAAAGGGTTAGTTTCTGCAGAAGGGTCAGCATGGGTGTGTGGATGAAAGACTAGCTGCCTTGACAACATGCTGCTGCAGTGAATCATGGCTGGCAGCCAAATGGAGGCTCCAAAGACCCTTCTGCAAAGTTAGCCAATGGTCTACATAATGTAAATAATACCCTGCCAGAACTCTAAGTCATAGAGTTGGAGTTCTGGCCTCATGCAATCTCCCAGAGATTGCATACCCTACACCCCTAAGTGACACAATTGTCTATATAGATTTTGGGCTGTCTGTTTAATTCCTTAGGATCTCCTTCTTTCACTAGCCATATTTTCAAGTGTTTCCTTTTTTCATATAGCCAGTGGATGCTTGTGCCCCCCAGTCCTTATGACTATTTGAGGCAAAGCATCAGACTTTGAATCTCCTCTCTGGAAACTCTAAAAACATTATCTTCTACTTACTGTCCCAGTTGATGAAATTCTGAAAGTGACATTTTATATCAGACCCCAACTCTAAACAACATTCAAAGAATCAAATAGAATGACCTGGAAGAGAGAGAGAGAGCAAAGATCAAAGATGCTGACAAGATCTGGATGCAAAAAGGGTGAGGTTTTTTTTTTTTTGAACTATATAAATGCGGAAAGATATCTCCTGCACTTACAGCCTTACTGAAATTCACTATTTTTCAGTGAAGTCTTTGTACATCTAAACACACCTTTTAAATGGAATAACAGAGATAGAATCTAATGAATAAGAGAAGAAAACTGACACCAATTCCATGCAGTAAAAGAACACTGAAATCAAATACTTGACCATCATCCCAAATACACTTTGTAGATATCTTCTGTTTGGTGTACCAGAAGTCAAAAATTTCCAGCTGATCAACTGTTCCGTCGAACTTTTCCCAATCTGGCCTACAGTTAACTGAATCTTTTAGGGATAAAACATATGTTGATTGACTAACTTTATACTTCTTATGATGTAGATTTTGATTGAGGAAAGACTACTGGTTTTTATTATATTATTTTAAAGAAGTCAATTTTTTAAGTCCAACAATATGTTGAGAGAGTGCCTATAGGACATTGCTAGATACTAAGGAGATGAACAACGGGGCTGCCTTTGAGCAGGTTATCATCTAGTGAGGACTATACAAACAAATAACTGTGATATACAATGTACATGCTGAAAGAAGTTCACATAGGGTGTTATGGGAGCATCACTGAGGGGCACTTAATTTAGCTTGGGGCTGTAAAGAGTTTTCTTTTAGGCCTATTGTTGTAGAAATGCCACTGAGTTGTCAGTAGGAAGCTGGATTTGTGGTGCAGCAATTTTAGACTGAGTAAAGGTTATTAATGGAACTCTAGGGAATAGTCACAACTATGGAAAAAATCAAATATCTCTGAGAAGCATTTGTCACTTGTGTAAATAATGTACCATTCCTTATAATTAATTTCAGGTATACATGAATATACAATTTAAATGTAAATATTACTTAGGGTGGCTTTAGAATTAATAAAAAAAATTGATGAATTGGCTCAGGAAAATACACAGAGGAAGCAAAGTCTCAGAAGATTATAGTTTCTAATCTCAGTTGTATGGCGCCTTTGACTAATACAATATATAAAATTAGTAAAAAAAATCCAATAAATTAATAAAACATATGAAAACAATGAAAAACTAGTCATAAAATTAACATAAAAGGATCAGATGTTTCCATTTAACTTACTTTTTTAATTATGTTTTTGATATAATCAGACCTATTTAACATTTTATTGTGGTTTTCTAATTATGACAGGATATGTTTTTAGTAGTAAATTTTGAAAAGTGCAGAAAATTATGGATGAAACAATAAAATTACTTACCATATTACCTCTCTCCTGCTCTCCCCCTCCCATAGTCTCTTACCATTTTGATAGTGTCTACAATATATAGAAAACGTGTGTGTGTATGTGTGTGTGTGTGTGTGTGCGTGTCTGTGTGCGTGTGTTTTCTGGTCTGTTTTAAGTTGGGGGACATGAAAAGTATTTATCTAGCCACTATTCCTTTAGATATAGGGCAGCAGCATAGTTCAGTAAAAAGAACTCAAAACTCTTAACTAGAACTGGCCAGATCCATTTTCTAGTTATCTGAAATGAGGTAGATTTTTTAACTTCTGAGCTGGTTCAACTGGTTTAAATTTCCAGCTCTATAGTTTATTGGCATGCAACCTTGGGCAAATTTGTTTGCCATCAGGAACCTCAGTTTTCTTACCTGTCGAATGAGCTCAATAATATCTATTGCACATGGTACTTAGGAGAATTAAATGAGATAGTACATGTGAAATAAGTAAAAGTTGTTTACCGGAAAAAAATATAACAGCTGAGGTAAACAATAGCTGTGGAATGGGGCCTACTTTAGGTAAGGTCAGTGTGCATGATATCTTGAAGGAAGCTTTGAAAATTAGAAGGAAATAGTCATGAGAAGGTCAGCAGCTAGAGTATTTCAGGCAAAAAGCACAGCATATCAAAAACCCAGGGCAGAAAAGAGATTGATACAGTTGAGAAATCAAGAATAAACTAGTGAGGTTCTAGTACAGTGATTGAGGGGAAGATGTTAGAGGTATATATAGGGAAAATTTCATGCAGGGTGAACCATAGTGAGTAGTTTGCAATTTATTCTAAATACAGTGAAAAGATGCTTCACTGCTTAAGTACATACATTACCTGATTTTATTTGTATTTTATAAATATTGCTGTACTTTTTTTTATGGAGAATGAACTAATCAGAGCAGATATGGATGCAGCAAAGGCTGTGGAAGTAGTCCAGTGGTGGGGTGGCAGTTTTCTTGTCTAGGCTGGTGGCAATGGAGACAGAGAATGAAATGGATTTGAAGCATGTTTTGTAGTAGAATTGATAGAATTTTCCATTAGCGTGAACACAGTATAGAAATAAGTAAAGAAGAATCAGGGATAAAATCTAGGTTTCTGGTTGAAAGAATGGTTTGAATGAAAGGAGATGCTGTTCCTGACTTACTGAAAAGTTGTGTGATATTCTAGCCAGGAAAGCTTCATCTTGTGCACATTCAGCTTGAGATCTCCTATAGTTGGTTGGATACAGAGTCTCAAGTTCCCAGTAGAGGGATTCCAGGCTAGAGACGTGTGTTCAGGAATCATCAGGATATACAGTAAATGTATTTTAAAGCTTGGGAACTAATTGAGATTGTACAAGCGAAGGGAGAGACTGTGGAAAGTAAAGGAAGGGAAATAGCTAGAAGGGATAAAACGGCTCAGAAAATGCAGCTGCTCCCCATTCCATCATCTCCCAGTGCCCTACAGGGAGAAAGAGCTCTTGAAATTAATCCTGAGTTAATTTGGGGGAGTAGGGAGGGAACAGCAAAGACATATATGAAAGCCTTAAATAGAAGCAGCTGCTGACTCTTCTGGGTAGTAATTCGATAACTATTTAGCTTCAATTGCATAATTTTGTTGAGTACATGAAATAGTTTATAATATTCTTATGCTCAACTGTGTATACTTCTACGTCTTACCAATTTTTTAAAAAACTTCATGGGTGGATTTACAGAAGGGTATTTTCAGGTAGAATTGAAATGTTTTTAGAGTATAAAAAACTTGGATTTGCCATACGCTTCAGTTTGAGTTAGCATAATGAGCAAATACTACTATTAAAATTTAAAAGCACTATATATCTGTTAATGATGAATGATCATTTCTATTTGTTCTTTACACATTGCTGTTAAATAAAGTGAAATTATATTGGCAGTTTACATATATTATGTCTGTGATAGTGATTTTTGGTTGGTATTTATTGGAAAGCAATAATTTAATAAGCCAATGATAGTTTTAAATGGTCATTTTGTAAACTAAAAATCTTTTCTTCATTCCACTTATTTAGCCTGTAAGCTTGGGAACTTTTTTTTCTTTCTTTTTTCCTAGGCATGAAAGAGATGAAAATCTAAAACATCCCTGTTTTGGTTCACACTGAAGTTACTAAGTTAAAAAACAAGTTCAGCAAGTTTTAAAGAAAAGACCTGTTCGTTAAGTAGAAGACAAATATTTTCCTCAGTGCTGAGTGGAAAAGGGAAAGTTTCATATGACACATCAATGTTCCATCACTTCTCACCTGAAGCCCTTTTAACTCAGAGAAGAGAGAGACAACAAAGTAACTAATATGAAATGAGGAGAATTTATGTCAGCAAAACATTTTTTCTTTTCACAAAATGCGGAAAGAAGAGACAGTGCTATTTTATTCAGCACCTCTGTATTTTTTAATGTAAAATATAAACTCATGCAATTATTTTGAATATGTTTTTGACTAGGATGAAACAGTTATGGATGATAACTAAACTGAAGATGCTAAATTTAATAAGAAAACCAGGAAAGGAGGTACGTGCTTGTAGCCAGCTCCATTGTGTGTCTGTGGTGGAGATGGAGTTGGTTTTTCATCTCCTGGGCATCATTTCAGGCCTAGGTGGTGGTTGGTGCACCCAAAGGTTTTATTTACCTCCTAGAAGATGTATGATGTCTGAGCACATTAAACTGAAATGAGGCTTTGGGATGAGGCTCTAGAGCAGTGTGATTTTTCTCAACAGTGGTCTTTGTTTCAGGGGATTCAATGTGAAAGGGGAGAGTAAAGCTATTCAATGTTAGAGCTGTGAAAGGAATTATTAGTGAGAAAGGTTGATCTCTGCTAGTTGCGGTACCTTCAACCCAGATCCAAAGGAAGTTTGCCCCAGGAAACTAAATGAATAATTTACATCCAAAATTTGTACAGGAAAATTCTGGGATCCTCAGCCTCTCTGCTCATTAACTATTTAAAGAACTGCTGTGCTGGTTAGAGGAGGACAAGCTTACACATTATACATCCTTCTTCTTTTACTGAGGGAGGTGGAAAAGACCATGGAAGAAAGAAGACAAAATGCCCTGATTTGCCTACATCACCAGAGAAAAGGAGGCCAATGGAGGGAATGGAAGTTGAGTCACTATTTTTGCACCTGTGTCTGTAAAACAAACTTTAATGATGCCTAGAGACTGAATGAGATAGGCTGGGCCTTGCCAAAGAAAAGAAAGGTATGAAAAAACTTGCAGTTTAAAAACAATCAACCAACAAATAATCAAAAACCCATGGTTATTCAATAACCCGATTCATCCCTGAAAACATATTCTCTCATGCTGGTGAAACTGAAATACATATTCTATTCAAGGGTTATATTAAAACATATTTGATACCATTATGGTCCAGGCACCAACAATTTTAGGTTGGATGTTCCAAGTTATTGGAACAGATACTGGAAGACACAGGGTGTCCCAACATTAATGCTTTATTTTCTAGATAGCACAAAGATTTTGAAAGAGTGGACAGAGTAACCAGGGAGTCAGTGGACCCAGAGCAGCAGCTATTTACCAAGAATTCAGAATTCAATATTTCAAAGACTTTTATGGCCAGATCAATCCTTCCCAGATGAATATAAGCTCTAGTAAAATTAGATAGCAGTTCCCAAATGTTTTCTCCTTCTTGAAAACTTGAATCAATGGTGTGCATAGTATTTTTTATGTTTTAGTTCAATCAATGTATCTCAGCATGCATCCTGGGTAATTTATCAGGTATTTATTTTACTAAACATTAATTTTGATAGTAGAAGAGATTTTAGAGCCACTATTTTCTTTACATCTCAGATCTATAATCAAAATTGACTTACTATCAAATGGATTTTAGAGGTACATTTCAAAATGCCATTTATGTATTGAAACAACATTTTAATGTAGATATGCATTTAAAATATCTCAGGATCCTTCTACATAAATATTTGGGAAGAACTCATTTAGCATAGCCTTTCCAAGCAGTTTTAAAAAAGACAATCAAAATAGCCTATAAACTTAGCTGATAATAAATTTTTAAAAATTATTAATGAGGAAGATTGACCTTTTTTTCCATGTTGCAAACAAGTTGGAAGGAAATCCAGTTGGATGCTGATATGGTTTGGCTCTGTGTCCTCACCCAAATCTCATATCCAATTGTAATTCTCAATTTTCATCGAGGGATTTGGTGGGAGGTTCTTGGATAATGGAGGCAGATTTCCCCCTTGTTGTTCTCATGATAGTGAGTGAGTTCTTCCAAGATCTAATGGTTTAAAAGTATGTGGCACCTCCGCCTTTGCTCTTTCTCTCCCTGCCACCATGTGAAAAAGGTGCTTGCCTCCCCTTTGCCCTTCTGCCATGATTGTCAGTTTCCTGAGGACTCCCAGTCATACTTCCTGTTAAGCCTGTGGAACTATGAGTCAATTAAACCTCTTTTCTTCATAAATTACCCAATCTTAGGTAGTTCTTTATAGAAGTGTGAGAACAGACTAATACCGATGCATTGTTTCCTGAATTGATCTCATTTATCATTCTCTCCAGCATGTCCAGATGGAGCAGATGTCCCAACCATCCCAAATCAAGCGTACACATATGTTGCTTTTCAGCACCAAAGTGAAGTTTGTTTCTTCCCTCGTGCAACCCTCTTGGGGATCAAAGGCCACATTTTCCATGGGGCAGCAAGAACTTCTGATCCTGGGATATAAGACTGAATCAGTCCAACTGGATAGCCCAAAGTTTTCTTGGTTACAGAAGGAAGAGAAAAAATTGTTAGGGAACTTGAAGAATTTTCTCTTTTGGAGAATTACAGGCAGAATTTAGTCCTCTCTCATATGTTTTTTTCTCAGAGATAGGAAGATGATTTAACAAAACAACTTCCAATGCCAGATAGGTAGGTAGGTAAGTAGGTCAAGTAGCAAGATAGCTAGAGAGATAATTTTTTAAAATCAGGCTTGGACACCAATGAGTGATATGAATGCAAAACAATCTTTGTGTTCCTGATTCTCTTCCTTCCAGTCATCTCATTAACTCTTCTTTTTCTCATGCCTCCTTTCTTTATTTAAATCTCCTCTCCTTTCCTCCCTTCTCCTCCCTTACTTTCGCCTTTCCTCCACTCTCCTTTTCTTCTCTTTCTTTCCTTCTCAGTATCTGTTCTTCTCCCCACTCCTCTCTTCCTCCTTTCTCCTTTTCTTCTCCTTTCTCCCCCCCCCCCCATTTATTCTCTAAATCCAGTCACACAATGTTTCCTTAATCCCCTCTCTCCTTGATAATGTTTCAATATATATAACCATGCACAGTGTTTGAATTTGTTTGGGATAGGAGGTAAGGGTGTGTAGGAAAGATTTTATGATGTGGGTATTGTGAAAGACTTAAACCATTAAAATATTCAGCTTTCCTATAGTTAAGATCTTTAGAAAAAAGTACATAAAAGGGTACAGATTAAACTAAATTTGTCTTAGTGTTGCTAACTAATTAAACTAAGCGAATACCCATGATTTGTTTTATCATTTTTACTTGAAGAAAATTTATCAAATGGAAGATAATTACAGCAGAAGCCTAATTAGACGCTAACAGACCATACTCTTCTGTTCCGATGCATTAATGATCTCTTTTGTGTTATAATTGTTATATTCATCAGGGCGTGTTAAGTGTTTCTTTTGCAGTATTCATGTGGAGAATGCAAAGTGCAAAGTGAGGAATGTGACTCTTAAGAATGAGCCAGCTATTTGAAATGAGTTTGGTATTTCTAGTTGAATTCATCGCAGTTTCATTATCTGCATTACAAAAATTTCTAAAACATTTGACACTACTGTTAGTTTTAGCAGAAAACATGTCTTTTGAAAAATCACACCTTTCACTCAGTCTTTTCAATTGAGAATTGCAATACTTGTATGGAGTTATTATTGATTTACTGACACAGTCATTGTTTTGTGATGACTATCAAGTCATGTAAGTCATGAAATATTGTTATTTTTATTCTGCAAATGAAAGAATATAGGTTAAATGCATCGAGATTTATGGGCTTGAATCCAAGTTAACAAAGGAAATTAGTAGCTACCAATTAGCACCTGCAATGAAGGTTCAATGTACAAAATAATTATATGACTACGTATGAATGTGGATTCATAATACAATTGTATGTTTTAATCACAACTGTCTTCAAATTTGAAAAACCAAAAAAATAAAAATAAAGAAAGCAAATCTAACACTTATTAATCTAGATACACCCAGAGGAAACTTGAGTATCTGATTTTTATAACACACGGACTATTTCCAAAGCTCTCTTAGAAACAGGAGTTTGATTTTATTATTATTTTTTGACCAAACAACATATATAAACTAATATTATAAACCTAACTTTGACCCCTAAAAATTGAGATGTACTTTGTCATTTTCATAACACTGAACTACTGTTATCAATAAGATTAAAGGACATTCCCCATATTAGCACTTAGTGTTTAGATTTAAGAAAAGGCTGTAAGGTCATGGATATTTTACCTCTGAAAAAATGTCTATGATACTGTAAAATTACACAAAAAATTATCTTTCCCACCTAGAAGGGATAGAATTTTAAATATGTGATCTAATTTCTCAAAATTGAAACTATAATAATAAAATTAAATAAGTTAATAGAATGTTTGAAATGAAAAGCTCTTTATCCCTGTGGATGGAGAGCTATTAAACACTCTAGGTTTCCTGGCTCAGGAAAAACCCGATTAGAACCTTAGTTTTCTTCCCAGTTTACTGGTCATTTCGCTGACTATAGACTTGAAGTAGCTCAGATACAAAATTAGACTTGGAAATAAAATGATCTGCTAAAAGTTAAACTTTCTTGAAATATTTTCTCAGTCTTTTTTCAAAAAGTTAGCTCAATAATTCTTTAATGACCAGAAGCCACTTATCTTAGAACCTTAAGTACACAAAACATAGATGACTAAACACACACCCACACAATATTTTTACTTTAAATCCTTATGCAAAAACAGACATCACAGAATCCTTACACTAAAGCTCATTAATTTTTCAAGACTCTCATTAGAGTGTATTTCTTCTGACTTTGAGTTCTATTCTATCATCTTGGTTCTCCTGATTTTCTGTCCAAGGTAGATTATAAAATCTGTTCCTTTGCTTTTGGCAAGAAAGAGAGCAGGGGATAGGGAAGGGGAGAGCTATGTAGCTTGCAGCAAGCACACCTATGATCAGCAAAAATAATAAATCAGCAAAATCTTGAGAGTGAGGATACAAAAAATTATATTATAAATTTACTTACTAGAGAAGCTTATAAGCCACTCACGTTCATCAGCTCTGAGATTAATACTGAGAAAACAGTTTAATGTATTCACTGTTAAAATTCAGGCACATTTAGGCAAAACAAAAACAAAGTCACAAAACCATGCTAATATCCACAGGTTCATGTAGGCAGGGGCTGGGAAAATACCCCAGCTCTAGGGCTTGAGGGACATGTCAGAAAGGTCAAAGCAGACCCTGGCTTGCTTCTTGCAGGTTTTAGTGTCCAAAGTATCTAAGGAAATTCAACACTGAGAGTGTGTGTGTGTGTGTGTGTGTGTGTGTGTTGAAGGGTGGTCATAGTTGTGGGGGCAGATGGTAGACAACATTCAAAAATTGTCACTAAGCAAGTGGTAACACTATAGCGGTTTAAAGCTCCCTTCTCAACAGGTTCCTGCAAAGTAAGAAGACAACTAAATTATAGGGAGCAAGGTCTACCCTCTAGAGGGAAATATTAAGAATAGTAATGAGGCTTAGCCAAGCAGATGGAATTTGGGAAAGATTTTTGATTCCAAATAGGATTCTAAACTGCAGTGTTAGGCAGGGAAAGTAGAGGCAGGAACCCATAATTAGTGTTTGGCCGATAGTGTAGGGCAAATAGGGCAGGCAAGCCATAACTGGGAGACAAAGAGATTCTAGGAAGGCCTGGCAGCAAGTGGGCTTGTCCTTCCCGTTATACTGTCCACAGCATCAGGATTGTTTCAGGGGTTCAGCATGCAGAAGAGGGGCATCAGGAACTTAGCAAGTGTCTGCTAAGAAAGATAAGGGCTGGCATTATTAACTTAGATGAAGCAGGCATGGGCAATGTTTTTCCTTTATTTCTTCCCTTCCCTTCCCATCTCTTCCATTTCCCTTTCCCTCCCTCCCTCCCTTCCTTCCCTCTTCCTTCTTTTCTTTCTCTCTCTTTTTCTTTCTAGTTATTACTTCATCCTCTGTAGTCATTTCTTAGACCATTACAACTTTGCTCCCATTCACTTCTTTTGTACTGTTATTGGCAAATATATTTTACATGTATTATGCTTTTATACGTTATAAGCCTAACAATTTTCTCTCTTGCTCTCTCTTAGTATATAGATATAATTTTATGCAGTTGCTTTTAAATCAACTGAGAGAAGAAAAGAGAAAAATATGTATTGAAATTATCATTTAGAGTCACGCAATATTACGTTTATTGGTGCTCTTTGTGTGAATTTGAATTACTTTCTGTTATCATCTTCAGCCTGAAGAATTCCTTTTGTATTTCTTATAAGGAGGGCCTGCTAGCAACAAATTCTTTCAATTTTTTGTTTGTCTGGGAAACTCTACTTTGCCTTCATTTTTGAAAGATAGCATTACTGGATATATAATTTTTGGTTCACTATTTTTTACTTTGAGCCCTTTGAATATATTATCCCACTGTCTTCTGGCCTCTCTTGTTTCTTCAGAGAAGTCAGTTGTTAAGCCTATTGGGGTTTCCTTGTAAAGAACATGCCATTTTCCTCTTTTGACTTTCAAGATTTCCTTCATGTTTAGACATTTAGGATTTTTCTATGCTGTGTCTGTTTGTGAGTATCTTTGCACTTATCCTATGTGCTTTCTGGAAATGCACTAGGACATTCTGGACATGTATTTTATTATTTTCTAATAAATATGGGAAGTTTGCAGTCATCATGATTTCTAATATTTTTTCATCTTTCTCTCTCTCCTGTCCTCCTGGCACTTTCGTTATGTGTATGATAGTGCACTTAATGGTGTTCCAATATTTTTCTGAGGTGCTGTTAGTTTTTCTTCATTCTTTTCTCCCCTCTGTTCTTCAGCTATATAATCTCAACTGATCTACCTTAAAGTTTGCTAATTCTTTTGCCAATTCAAATCTGCTGTTGAGTCTGTCCAGTGAATTTTTCAATTTAACTTCTTGTACTTTTTTATTCCAGAATTTTGTTCTGTTTTGCAATGTTTAAATCTCTGTATAGAGATTTTCTATTTGATATGACATTGCCATCACACATTCCTTGACTTCTTTACTCATGCTTTCTTTTGACCTGTGAACATATTGATGAGGGCTACTTTGAAATGTTTTTCTGTTCGATCTAACAGCAGGTCACTGTCACAGGCAGTTTCTGTTGTCTGTTTTAGGTCTTTTATGAGTCATACTTTCTTATTTTTTGTCAGGCCTCGAAATTTTTTATTGGAAACTGCACATTTTAGATAATATATTTTTAGCAACTCTAGATATTGGTCCTCTTTTCCCCTTTGGGGCTAATTATTATTTGTTTATTTTTTTTTTTTTTTTTAGTAACTGGCCATATTATTTTTGTGAAATCTATTTTCTCCTATACTGTGAAGCCTCTGAGGTTGCTCTGTAGGGAAGCACAGCACTGTTTTTTTTTCACAGTCACCCTGGGATGACAATGGTCCTAATAGGAGGCTCTTCTATTCTTTTCCTGACTACAGTCAGCTGTTAAACTCTACTAACTAACTTGGTGCTGTGGCATGCACCTGTAGTTTCAGCTACTAAGGAGGCCAGGATTTCAAGGCCTATGAAGTGCACTATGATTGTGCCTGTGAATAAATAAAAAATAAATGAAAGTTTCCTGCTGATTGTTGTATCATTTTCAACAATGCCTCTGACATATATTCCTCTACAAATTAATCCAATCAAAATGTAGCTTCTTCAAAGGAATAGTTTCTGAGGTCAGTGTTTGATATTTGTTCTGACTGCAGAATGACTCTGCCCAGCTGTCTAAAACCCCGATTCTGTCTTCATTCATGGATCTAATGAAGGTACAGCCTAGACCATATGGTTTAGGCTGTACCTTCATTAGATTTAGGAGTGCCTTTTATCACAACCATCACTGTTTTTGAGAGCAGCCTTAGGCTCTAACTTCCTGTTTCCTGGTAAGCAGGTATATGCAAACCTACCCAGAAAGGCCAAGGAAGTTGGAAAGCTGAAGAAAGGCTGACAAATCCAGTTTCTCAGCAAGAAATATTTAATAGGGACTTATGAACCAAAGAAATGTCTCGGGCAGCTTCAAGAAGATTGATCCTGTGTCCAGCCCTCTACAAAGTTGTTTTCTTTTTTTGTTTTTTGTTTTTTGTTTTTTGACATGGAGTTTCACTCTGTCACCCAAGCTGGAGTACAGTGGCATGATCTCGGCTCACTGCAACCTCCACCTCCTGGGTTCAAGCGATTCTCCTGCCTCAGCCTCCTGAGTAGCTGGGATTACAGGCACCCGCCATCACGCCTGGCTAATTTTTGTATTTTTAGTAGAGACGGGGTTTCACCATGTTGACCAGGCTGTTCTCGAACTCCCAACCTCAAAATGATCCTCCGGCCTCGGCCTCCCCAAGTGCTGGGATTACAGGAGTGAGCCACCGCGCCCTGCCTAGAAAGTATCCTGTATATAGCAAGCTTTTAGGGAAAAGGCATGTGCAGGGGTCACACTTCAGACTTTCTTGCTGAAACTTGTGACCACTGGGGAAATTAGAAAGCATCTCTGTGAGGGGCTATCTATGCTACAAACATCGTTTAAACATTTTGCTGTAGAATACGTTGGTATACAGGAGTCAAATATCTGTCATCATGGTTGTTTAATTCAAGATGGTGTCACTCTTTCCATGCAACTGGCTGTTTTCCTATACTTGTCCATGCTTTGTTGCAAATAAAATCAGTTCCTCTGGAAAGAGATTAGAAGCTATCTGTTTTATGTCTTACTTCTACCCCCAGGCAAAATCTCTGAGACAGAGCTCTGGAGATGGGGATGAGGACAGTGGTAAACTTCTCTTAATGATACTCATACTCTAGGAGCTGAGATGAGTCAGGGAGGCAATAGCCTGAGGTCCTCTTGGCTTGCCTCTCTTAGCATGAATCCTTTGGTCAATCTCATGCACTGGGCAAGGGTGACTGGGGCAAAGGTGACTGGGCAAGGGTGACTAGGACCCAGTATTCACCCTGTACCACACTCAGGGACTGGATGAGTCTGAAAGAGGAAGAGAAAGGTGATAAGATGTCACTGGCATGACGTAAGAGAATATGGTACTGAGAAGAAAAAAAAGTATGCTTTGTTTTGTTTTTTAATTACTTCTAGTTTGTGGTAGGTATCTAAGCCACTGGATATTTATCAAAGGAGGTTGCTTTTTAAAGAAGAAATATGTTGGGGAAATGCAGCAGTTTAAGCACAGACAGTCTCAGGAATTCTCCTGCCCTCCCAAATCTTGTCTTTACACCTTCTGACATTTGTGAAACTACTTTTAAGCCCAGTGATGACAAGGCTTCTTATGAGCTTCTTATGAGATCTTTAGCCTTGCCAAAGTAGATGTAGTGTTTGCTATGTATATTTCTCTCTCAGTTAAATCTCTTTCTATAACCTATTATACTCTTAAAAATATAGTATAATTTCCTGAGTATGCAGTTTTGCTCTATGACTGTGTCACATGAGCTTCTAGGGTCAGTCTGGAAGGACACCACTACTAGTGCTCGGAACTGCTGGGCTTGGAGGGTTCAGTTCTGGGGCTGGCCCAGACTAGGAAAGATGGTCACTTATGATGGCTTGGGGGAGTCAATAAATACTGTGACTAAAGACAGGAATAAAGCTTGTTGTTAAGGCAATGGCCTAGTGTCAAATCCAAAGATCAAATGAAGGTGAAAAAGAAGCAAATAACAATGATAGAGGCAGGGAAACAAGGATTTGAAAAATATTCAAGCATGAAGAACTGGTTGCAAAAGTGCTTCGGTGTTGTGGAGTGTCTGTTTTCTTCAAGTTTGTAATGGAGTGTGGAAGTGAGGACAGTGGCTTAAAATAGATGTATATTATACAGGCTTTGAGAGTGATCATTGGATCCTCCAAGTGAATGAACTGGACCTTGGGGTAGGGCACGGTAGACATGAGGAGGTACTTTAATGCTTTTGGACAAATTTAAGTTCCTTATTGTATTAAGCCGTTCTTGCCTTGCTAAAAATAAATATCTGAGACTGCATAATTTGTAAGAAAAGAGGTTTAATTTGCTCTCAGTTCTGCAGGCTATACAGGAAGCAAAACACCAGCATCTGTTTCTGGAGCGGCCTCAGGAAGCTTACAATCATGACAGAAGCCGAAGGAGTAGTAGGCATCTCACACGGTGAAAGCAGGAGCAAGGAGGTGGGGTGGCACCACATACTTTAAAATGACCAGATCTTGTGTGAACTCAGAGCAAGAGCTCCCTTATCACCAAGGGGATGGCCCAAGCCATTCTTGAGGGATCCATCCCCATGATCCAAACACATCCTACCAGAGCCTACCTCCAACACTGGGGATTACGGTTCAACATGAGACTTAACAGAAACATACATTCAAACTATATATCACTTATATTTCCCCTGTATTTCTATATCTTTGTGCCTCACATCTATTTAGCTGCTAGGTCCTTTGAAATAGCTCTGTATTTCTTTGTAGAAATTGATATTTCTCAAAATATGTGCAATTGAGTATTAGGTCTATTCACTATTAATAAGAACTCTCTCTGTCTTTTTTTCTGTCTCTCTCTCACACACACAGGCACAAATACACACAGAGATACACAGAGATTACTTGATCGAATGTATTTAGGAAGTGCTGGGTTATACGAAGTGAAAGAAATTCCTTTCTTATAGGAGTTCTCAGAATCTCTACTACGCTAGAGTTTGCAAAAGTTCTAAGGGGCAAATATAATAGTTAGCATTTCCTAAATGCATTTGCCTATAGAATGCTCAAAAGTTTAGTGCTCCACAGAATCTTCTTTGTTAAATACTGCCAAATAATTGTCTCACTACTGTTATCCCTGTCTCAAGTTTACCCTACATATGGTTATCAGAATAATCTTCCTAATAATTGCACAACCATTTATTTCTAGGCACTTGTTTGGTGCTATCAGCTATCACAAGACTCTGGAGCCACAACACCCCGCACTGAATTTTGGCTTGACCTTTACTAACTGCATGATCTGTTTTGTTTTTCTCATATACAATATGGGCTTTTTTGAGGATTAAATTATTAATATATGTATAGCTCTTAGAATACTTTCTGGCATATAGTAAGCACTGTAACAGTGGCTTTTTTCTTTCTTTCTTTCTTTTGTTGTTGTTTTAAGTAAAAAGCACCAGAATTTCTTGCAGGGAGAGAAGTATGTGAAAGATGAGATCTCTGAGGCCTAGACTGAAAGAAGACAGTAAAACAAAAAAGATAGCTATGTTGTCTGCCTGAGAAGTTACCAGGAATTTAGAATTGGGGTGTAAACAATGAGTGAGATCAGAGAAGAGGCAGCCACTCAACATGGGAACTGCAGGGAAAGACTACAAGGAAGAAATAAGTAGGACTAGAGAATTTCTGATATTTGGTTTTGAGTTGTATACAGTGCTGCTACAGCAATACTTTCAGATTCTTTGTGACTTCACTCAAAGGCAGCTATGAACATAGACTTTTGGACAGGGAAGAAATCTTTTCTTGAAGACTGTTCACCCTTTAGAGAAAAGAACAGCATGTATGAGTTGGAAAGATGATCCATAAATGGATTCAGAACTGGAGAAAAAGTGTTTCCTCCTTCTCTCCCCATCTCTAGAATCCCCAGAGGGATTGCAAGGGGAAAACATTTTCACCCACTCCTTGTGGGAAAGAGGCTGGCCTATTCTATTTAAACCTTAAAGGGCAGTGTGACCCCAGCTAAATTTAGGCTCATAATTACATATTACTCATGACCACTTTCGGTGGTAGGTATACAGATAAGGAAACTGAGGCTTGTGGACATGAGATCATTTGCTCATAATCCCATTACTAACATTTGGTAAAGCCAGCATTTAAATCCAGGTCTGACTTCAAACTCCTGCTGTTGTTTGTTTATGTCATTTTTCTGCTCATATCAACATGTTTCAGGATTGTCATTGCCTCTGAATAAACTGCAAACTCCTCAGGACAGCCTTTAAGATCTTCCTTAATCTGGAAACCTCTAACTTTTAAAATCTTAACATTACCACTTTTAAAAGTAGGGTCTAGAGAAGTTTCTCTGGGATGGTGTTTTTTGCTTTTGAATCTTGCTTTTCTAGGGACCTAAGTTCATCTCCCTGGATCAACTTCACCGAGTGTTGGCAGAGACTGGCTAATTTGTCTTGACATGGACTGGGGTCTTTCCTTACTTGCGTGACACTTTTCATGTTTTTTGCTGACCGATTCCTGTGCCACTGAGTTTTCTTACCATTTGCTGGGATTCTGTGATATTGCCATCTGTCTTCCTGCCATAATTTCCACCTAGTGCTTGCCAACACATTCCCTTCATACTTGGTTCTGCTTGACTGCCTGAATTTACATTGCCTTTTGATGGGTCTTCACTCAAATTCCAGTCACACCCTAATTGATTGGTCTAGTTTTTAGGTTCTGGCCATCCATGCCTGTTCCCATAACTGAATAAGGCACGTTTGTAAAAACTTGGATGTCTAGCAAATGTGATAAATTCATGGGATAGTTGGGAACACTGGTCTGAATAGAAGGAAAGTTGTGGAGAAAAGGAAAAAGGGGAAATGATTTATGATGTCATTTGCATATGTGCAAGCTAGTGACAATAAAAGGAAGAAAAGATCAAGAAAGAGAGCCCACTTGAGCAACATGATTTTGGTAGCTATATTCTCAGTTTTTATGTCTCACCCGAGGAAGAGCTGTTGAGACCTAGTTAATTAAGTCAACATATGGTCAGCCTTGCAGCCCAAGCTGGCTGCTGCCATTTTTTAAGCCAAAGTGAGAACCAGCTCATCTCCATTTCGGCAGAATTGGTAAGATTCTTCTCTATGAACCAGTGACTCGTAAAACACCACCAATATAAAACTCACAACAAAATGTATAATTTAATTTCTAGCAGTCATTTTGGAAAAATATGTATGTTTCTTAAATCAAACATACTATATCCCAAGTATTTTCTCTAGTCAGTTATAGGGAATAATATTGCTGATAAAGCCAAGAAATAGATGAAAATTATAGAAATATGTATAGTCAATAAACTAACTGTATGAGTTATTTATGGGTGTCTTATGTTGCTGACATGATATATCTTCCTTTATTGCTGTGAGTAGTAATCAATCAGTTAACATTGCTTTCTACAAAAGAAAACTAACCATACAAAGATAATAGAACATAACGGCAATTGCTAGAAATAATAATTCTTTGCAGCGAAAACAAATGCATTGAGAAGAAATGCATTCTTCTAGAAGAAACCAAGGACACTAACTTTTTTTCTTTTTCATCAGTCAATCATTTCTACATTCAAACCATGAAATTTGAAATGAGAATTTACAACATCTCCAGTTTTCCATACATGGTTATTGCTAGTATACATACACACAAATAATAATCAAATGGTTGTTTTACACGTGGTAGGATGAGGACACTTGTGAGTTCGGATTAGCCAGCTAGAAATAATTTTAAAAACAAAAGATTTTATCTAGTGTCACAAACAAGTGTTTTATTTAGTACAGCATTGGAGTAAGCTGGAAGTTTTAAAACACACCAAGAAAATGAAAAGAGCAGCAGGCGAAGACAAATATCTAATATTCTTGGTAACTATTTGATTATCTTTCCCCAGTTGTATTGTGGGTGTGACAAAAAGCTGATGTAGTGGAATAACAGTATAATTCCTGAGGGATCTTTCTGAGAAAAGTAGAAATTGGCAGCTGTTTGTAAATAGACGTGTATTCCTTCCTTTTCCTTACATTTTGTTTCAAATAACTGAAAATTAAGAGAAGAGTTCTTTGTTATTGTTGTTGTTGTTGCTGTTTGAGAGAGAGAGAGAGAGAGAGAGGGTCTTGCTCTGTTGCTAAGGCTGGAGTGCAGCAATGCAATAATGACTCACTGCAGCCTCGACTTGCTGGGCTGAAGAGCTCCTCCCATCTCAGACTCTTGAGTAGCTGGGACTACAGGTGGGCACACAGCATCTGGATAATTGTTTTTATGTTTTGTAGAGATGGGATTTGCTATGTTTCCCAGGCTGGTCTCCAACTCCTGGCCCAGCCTCCCAAAGAGCTGGGGTTTCAGACATGAGCCACCAAGTCTGGACAAAAGATCTCTTATATTCTATAAATTTTGCTTTCTGAAGAGGAAGCATGCTAATGAAGTTATAAATTTTTGAGAGCCAAAATTATGGTAGAACTCTTGGTATCTCCTAGCACAGTTCTGAGTTTGTAGTAACAATTCAATAAATATTTATTAAATCTGTGGGTGAAGTGAGTCCAAATTTCTAAACTTTGCATGAAGGTCAGGTTTCAATAAAGTTTAAGAGAAAAGTTTTCTAGGATTTCATAGGAGGGTACTGATTTGGGCACTTCTTTAAAGAATTACCTGGTGTGTAAATGCAAATGACGATGCTGAAAGTAAGCTTATGGCATGGGATGGAAATGATGTGATACGAGTTTTCTCAGGGTCCTTTGCTATTGCCATGAGGTTCCTGCTTCAGTGGTTCTTTCAATAACTAAGAAACTTTGCTAAGTAGTGCCCCAAAATGGTTGGCTGAGAGCTGGGTTGTCCTAGCAGTGAACAGGAGAGAGGATGGTACTATGCCTTCCTTTCTCTATCCCTCAGTTCAAATAAAAATCTGACTGTGTTCAGTTATCTACCTTCCTCTCTTTGGCCCTGTGCTTTAGAGAAGGGCTGTCCCAGGCACAGGTAATACATCTTGATTGGTTTAAAACCTGGCCAGTCATGGTGGCTCACACCTGTAATCCTAGCACTTTGGGAGGCTGAGGTGGGTGGATCACCTTAGGACAGGAGTTTGAGACCAGCCTGGGCAACATGGTGAAACTCTGTCTCTACAAAGACAAAATTAGCACGACGTGGTGGTGCATACCTGTAGTCCCAGCTTCTCGAGAGGCTAAGGCATGAGAATCACTTGAACTCGGGAGGCAGAGGTTAAGTGAGCAGAGATGGAGCCACTACACTCAAGCCTGGGTGACAGAGTGAGACTCTGTCTCAAACAAAACAAAACAAAACAAAACAAAACAAAACAAAACAAACCAGTTATGGTAGAACCATAGTTCTTGTGAATAATTGGTAGATATATGAGTATGTGACCAGGTTCTAGCCAATCAATCAAAGGGATAATCTGCTGCAGAACTCCTGGGAGAGGTTTGCTAGATCCTAAGAGAAACTCATAGGAGAAAATACCTTCTTCCTTTGGAAGTAATGGTAACTGAAAATGATGCTTGAATTTGCACAGCCATCTTGTGACCATAAGAGGAGGTACCTGAGTATAGTATGATTACTCATTGTGTGTGTCAGGAGAGTAAGGAGGAAAAAGAACTGATTCCTTGATATCACTACTGGGCAGATGAATCGCTATTCCTGGACTCATTGTTATGTGAAACATATTTGTTTTTGTGGCTCTTTGAGTGCATTTGCTAGTTTGCATAGGGAGGCCAGATTCAACTAATACAAATGTAGGGTTTGCAATTCAATTTGAATTTCAGGTAGACATTGAATAATTTTTTAGTATATGTATGTCCAGTGCAATATTTGTCCCATGCAACATTTGGGACATGCCTATACCAAAAAATAAAAAATTGTTGTTTATCTGAAATTTAAATCTAATGAGGTGTCTTGTATTTTATCTGGCAATCCTAAGCTTACAGTAGAAAGCAGTCTACTTAATTCAGTAATGAAAGGATTTTCTCAGGTCTTATTAGGTCTGTATACTCTTTTAGAAGTGAGGTGAAAGTAGATTTACCAGTCATAGTTTAAGTACACATATTTGAATTTCAGCTTCATATTCTCGAAAACTAACTTTAAAAAGTTCGAAAATTTTCCTCTTAAGTCTTGTCCAACCAGATTTGAAATTTTATTGTAATGCAGATAAACAGTGGAAAGAATCAGACAGATCTTAGAATCTCAGCTTCTTTATTTACTACCTGTGTGGGTCTGGCAAAAATCAGCTATCTGAATTGATTTCAAGTATCTCAACATATAGTTATGAGGAATTAATAAGATAAATTGTGAGAAGCACCTATTATGTCAGACACATGTAATTTGTTCAAAACACATTAGGTGTCTATCCCATATTAATTGTAAAGTACTGGCTTAGGAGTACTTGTGAGGGTCTTGTACTAAGAAGGAATAGCAACTCATACATCCAAACTCCTGTGTTATCCTTTTTCTCTCCACAACTTTAGCAGAATGAATAGAATAAGATATGAACAAACAAGCTGCCATACGGAGTGAGGAACTTGTATTCTCTTACATATAGCTGAGTTTTACTCCTGACACTGGGACTGACATGTATGTGATTCCTTGTAAATGCTTATTTTATTACTTTTTGATGTCATTATTATTGTTATTATTATTATATAATAAGAAAGGATAGTTTTGCCTTTTCTTGGAGGGTAAGAACTTGTCTTAGTATCTTCAGCATGAGGCACAGTAGATACCACCACTGAAATGATACTTATTGGAGAACACCTGGCCACAGAATTGGGTTCCTGACTAATGGGTAGTAAATAGACCATACAATTTTCCTAATATGTTATTACATATTCAAATTTTTATGTGCATATTATGATATTTCTATCCTCCTTTTGTTCACACACACAAAAAAACAGATCTCACAGAGAAAAATATAGAACCCTCAGAATGACAGCTGCGATGTGAAGTCTTACTGTGCTTCCACAATTCTGGGAAAGAGAAGAATTGGAGAGGGAGGGAAGAACAGCTGCCTTCAAGTAGTTGAAGGGCTGTCATATGGGAGGAAGGCTTGCTCATGCCATGGACTCCAAGGGCGGAACTAAGGTTGAAGGGTAGAAGTTAAAAGGTGGTATGGTCAAGTTTAAGCAATAAAAACTGCCCATTACTGCAATGTCTCAAATGTGGTGAGGTCTCCTCTACTGAAATGTTGATTCACTGTCTCTGATGACCATTTATCAGGAATATTAGAGCAGTAACTACAGCTCTGTTTTCTTCTTAACTTGTAAAATGGGGATAATAATCCCAATTTATCGACTCACAGGAGAGGGATTTGATCCAACGAAATCTAAAGAGACCCTTTTGCTAGTTTTTAGGCAGCTGTAAAGCCCTCGTTGCAGGGTTTTCAAATTTTGCTGCAAACTAGAATTACCTTGGGAGCTTGGAAAACCCTGTGTGTCTAGGCCTCACCTGCAGAGACTCCGATTTAAGTGGTATCAGGCATGCCAGAGAATTAGGGTTGTTTCAAAGCTCTCCAAGTGATTCTCGTGTACAACAATTTCGAGAACCATTAAACTAGAGTACTAAGAGCCATTATTCTGGATTTTACTTTGGAATCTAGGTTGGACTACAGATGTGACGTTGAGCAACTACTTTATCTTGGATCTGTATTTCTTGTTTACCAGGAAGAAGAGGACATGCATACTTCTAAAGTAACTTCCTCTAGTATTTTATTACTTTAAGGCAGTTGACCCTTAAAGGTATACGAATTAAGGAAAGGGCACTTAACTACCTTCTAGGAGTAGAAGAGGATCTCTGCTTTGACACATGGGAATTGTTGGCACTCTTTTTCTCAGTTTTAATAGCAGTCATGGACTCCTTTCAATGCGGGGATGTTTATACCTCTCCGGGGAATGTATGGCACCAACAGCATTTGGATGGCTGGTTGTTTCAGCAGTCCTTTGCTTAAAATAGGCATGCACCCTAATT
Source organism: Homo sapiens (assembly GCF_000001405.40). Lineage (NCBI taxonomy): Eukaryota > Metazoa > Chordata > Mammalia > Primates > Hominidae > Homo > Homo sapiens. The sequence goes on along the minus strand of NC_000007.14, from coordinate 120,859,391 downwards.
TGAGAAGAAACTGGCAGAGGATAAAAGTGGGTTTCTTTGCTCTTCCCCAGTATTCTAGAAGCTGCTTCATTATCAGAGTTGGAGTCATCTGATGGATAACTGGACATGTTTCTTGGTGTTTTTTTTGTGTATGGCTATACTTCTTTATACTCTTTTGGGTTGCTGTCTTACATACTGCTTAGTGACTTGCTTACCAATAATTTTCCTAGCCTAACCCAGGACAACCATGTTGTCTTTTGGTCTTGACTTTTCCATATGAGACTGCATGTCTTATTGTCACTCCAGTCATGCAGCAACTAACTCTAGACAGGCAGTCATGGACATAGGATTCCATTTTTTTTTTTTTTTTTTTTTCTGCAAGGAAATCCAAGGACTCCAGTTATTAGGTCAAAGATGTTGCTCGTATTCCAGGTAATTCATATTTGCTGGTGAAGTTTTATTTGCCATGCAGTGCCCACAAAAGTAATCCTAGAAATGAGCAGTACTGTGAGGCATAGCACAACACATCCACATTTTATGTGGAGGATATGATCCAGTGGCATTTTATTTAGTGTGAAACTTCTGTCTTCTAAAAGGGAAGATTCTTTTGGAAGGATGGTCTCCTGCTGTGTAATACTTCATGAATTTCTAGTTTAAAAAAATTAGATTTTCCAAAGATCCACTACTATGTACACATTTCAAAATAAATCACCCAGTTAACTCAAAACAATCTTATCGTGAGAAATTTTGGAAAGCTTGAGTTACTTCTAAGAGTTAAAAATGTTCTTTCCTCCTCTTCTGCATGTCAGACTGCACATGATTACTCTGATGTTTCCGTAAATGCTATTAGTGCACTATGAAAGTGGGAAAGAACTTAAAAAAAAAAAAATCCGGGAGGGCAACAAAGCAATAAGAAGGATCATAGGGCACCATGTTAATAACAAATCACAGGAGGTGGCTCCATAAAGGTTGTGAAAACTAGTTTCTCATTGCAGGAATTGGGTTGGGCCACCCCTTCACCCCCCTTCTCAAACACAAATATTATCATATAATAAAAGCCTGCTTCTCTATGCTTATAACCCAGCCTCCATTCCTTCGACGCCACCATTTTAAAGGGATTTACTGCACGGACTTCTCCCAAGTTCCTAGGCATTATCTTCTGGACCCTATCCTGCAGAGGTGAAGCGTCCCTTTGGGGACTCTCGCTGGGTGAGAGGGACAAGAAACACCCACTAGGACCCAACCCCGGCAGCCAGCGGCTCGAGCATGCGCTGAGAGTTTGTGCAGCTGGCCCTGGCTGCCGCCGCTGCCTCGTCCGGACTCGGAGAGGACTTGGGAGGGACAGCGGCGCTGGGAGGTGGCTTAGCAGAGACTTTCCAGCAACTGCTGCCCAGGACTTTTTTTTTTTTTTTTCTTTTTCCCAGGAGGCGGCGACGGCGGCGGCGGGGGGAGAGGAAGAGAAAGAAGCGTCTCCAGCTGAAGCCAATGCAGCCCTCCGGCTCTCCGCGAAGAAGTTCCCTGCCCCGATGAGCCCCCGCCGTGCGTCCCCGACTATCCCCAGGCGGGCGTGGGGCACCGGGCCCAGCGCCGACGGTAAGTGGCCACGCGTCTGTCGCCTTTCCTGCCCGCTGTCCCGCCAGCCCGCCGGCGGCTGCCCTCCGCGCTGTGTGCTAAACTACTTAAGGGCTGGCTCTGGGGCTCCCTGCCGCCGGCGCTTCCCCTCGCGCCCTGCCGGGGGCGCGCGGACGCGATGGCTGGGTCGGTGGCCGCGCTCGCTTTGTGCTCCGCGGGCGGCTTTGAGCGAGGGGTCGCGGGAGCGTCCCGGGCGGGGGAAGCGGGGTTTGAATGACTAACCCGGCGTCTGCACAGCTGCATCGGCCCTAATTCCCCGGCGCCCCCCGCCCCCCGCCCACTGTCCCAGGCTAATCCATCATTCTGGGGCCGAAAACATCATTTCTCACGTTCTCCCAGAGAAACCCTAGTAGCCGGGCGGAATCTCAACTCCGCGCTGCCCCCTCGCCCCCGCCCCCGCCCCCGCCCCGCCGCCCCAGTCCCTTGCATTCACACCCGAGCTGCGGGACGGGGTAGAGGGGTGCGGAGTTGGAGTGCCCAGGAACTGTCCTAACTAGAAGGGCGCTCATTCTCTCGGGCTTGCCGGTGGCGCCTCTGACGTGTCCGGGGTAGGGGGCAGTGTGGTTTCTCACCTTCAGGACAGTGCCGAGCACAGCTGTCCTCGAGGAGGGGCGTGGAGTGAGGGAGGTTTTCAAGAGCGTCTCATCAGAATGCACAGGGCTCCGCCGCGTGTCCCCTGAGAACGCGAGTTTACTGTGCGACTTCATTCATCCGGATAGTTGCTCTTTTCTTTTCCCAGCAGGTGTTATCTGAAGCCGGTTTGGAACTTTTGGGAGTTTAGTTACCATTATGATTTTAACAAATGATTTTTGATGAGGCGATGTCTCGAATGCACTGGGCCTCGGGACCCTCTGGACCCTGCTGAGGGCGGGTGGAGGAGGGACGGGCAGGCTGTGGGAAGCGTGATGGTGAGATGTCCCGTGTTCTCTCTCCCCCGCCCCCTGCAGATCGCTGCCGTTTTGCCCTTGGGAGTAGGATGTGGTGAAAGGATGGGGCTTCTCCCTTACGGGGCTCACAATGGCCAGAGAAGATTCCGTGAAGTGTCTGCGCTGCCTGCTCTACGCCCTCAATCTGCTCTTTTGGGTAAGTAAGTTTCACTGCACCAACAGGTGGGAACGGCTGGCTCTGGTTTTCTGCAGCCACCGGATAATGCGCCAAAGGGCATGGCTAAGCATTAATTAATTACATGGGATAACACCCTTTATTTTTCAGAGAAGTAAAATTTGACCTTCTTAAAATGCCTTTGATCTAGCTCAAGTTCCATTTGTAATTAGAACAAAGAAATCCACCCCTGGATACTACTGGCAGTAAAATTAGACTTGAAGTTAATCTAGGGATATAAATAAATGCACGTGCTTCTACTCATAGATAAGAAAATTATGACATACTACTTAGGGAACTGCTTGTTTGCGGGAATTTTAGATAATTGTGCAAGCCATAAATTGTTTCTTTACATCTCTGTCGCCTGTAAAATCTAGTTGGGCCAAGTCTTAATATATTTTTTGTGGGCGGGGACGAGGGGGAGGTGGTGGTGGAATTCACACCCAGATAACCTATCACAGAAAGGCTGAGTAGATTTGTCTAGGGGATTCCATACGGTCTGAAGGGTGATTTTTATGTAACTAATTCTAAGTTGGCAAAGTTTAAGGAATTGTGTGTATGCTTTTGGAAAATCCCATAACCATTTAAGGAAATAAAATACATAAAATGTAACAAGCTCATGGAAATCTTTATGCCCTATGAGTTAATGACTTTTTATGCTTTAAATCTTAATAAAGTATGATTAATAATCGTATTATTACTTATAAAACTTAGGAAAATGTAACAATTTAAACAGTAAATGTTGCTTCAGGAGGCTGCCATTCTTAAGCAAATTGTTCTTTCCATTTTTTTGTGTTCTATTAATAATTTTATTCAAAATTTTCTGTTACAAATTTTATTGTGCAATTTATTTATGTGGCTGACTGGCTGGCGTGCTGACTGGCTGGCATTGCCCAGCCTTTTTTTCATAGGGCTATTACATGTGGTCTCTAGAAGATGACATTTAGGTTGAACTGCACCTTATAGATGGCCCCATTTTAAAGGATAAATTAAGTCTTACTTCAGTGAGTAATCTGAAAATATCTAAAATGGCAGCATTCCTTTTCTCAACATTAAAGCATTAATTTCTCAAAATTAAAGCATTGGGTAGTTAAATTCACCATTTGGAAATGTAAAATCACAAGTTGATCTTATTGTAGTTTATACTTCTTAAAAGCTTGATTTTTAAGTGAATCATTAAATTACCTGGATCATTAAAAGTTATTAAGAGTTTAAACTCCATTTCTTTAAGATGTATGATAATTATCACTCCTGTTTACTAGTTTTTCACTTTTCTACATTGTGCTTTTTAATTATAGAATCATCACATTCCACTTCTAAAAGGAGCTTTAAAGATGGCCTGGTTGAACGTCCTTCCTTTGTGAGTGAGGAAATTAAGTGCAGATTAAGTGACTTGCCAAAGATCAGATAGTCCAATGGTGGCAGTGCCAGGAACAGAATTCAGCTTTCTTGCCCCTAGACAGTGTCTTTCACTTGACCCTTACTGAGTTTTGAACCTTAGAATTACTAAGATTGTTGTTGTTGTTGTTTAATAAAGAATAAAGCTTTGAAAAATTTGTTAATACTTTACATTGTGTGGGAAAAAAGAACCAAATCATTCAACAAAAATATCACTCCTCTTGGAAATGAAATTTGCATAAAAGCACCTATTCCTGAAACTCTTCCAGGGCTCTTTGTGTCCCCAGAGAATGTAAACGTTATTTCTTTGTTGTTACCCTGTACTTAAACCTTCTAACTTTCTATGTTTGTGTGTGGTGTGTGTGTGTGAGTGTGTTCTGGTTTATTGACTTATTTAGATTGCTTCCCTATTTCTCCAGCCCTCCTCTTCTCCCAATATCACCTACGCTTCAACAAAATAATCCAGGTTAAGCATCTTGTATACGTTTTTCTTTATTTTGTTTCATACAAAGATAGATTTACTCATACCTGTCCACAACAGATACACAATGCTATACATGTAAATTCTTGATTTTTTTGCTGTTAAATTAGTTTCTCATTTGGGTTAGAGTCATAGGAGTGGAATTGCTATGTAAAAAAGTATGTGATAACAACAACAAAAACAAAAGTAGCCAACCTATCTAACTAACATACAAAATAGCTAACGCTTCTTACTATGTTTGCCAGGCACATTTAGTGTCTGTTTCCTAGCCTGTAAAATAGGAATCATAGTTCCCTATCTTTTAGAGTTGTGAGGAGGATTAGAGTTAACATATATACAGCGCTGAGAACAGTGGCACATAATAAGTGCTATCTCTGCAATAGCAGTATTGCAGTTATTACTATAACTACTACAATGATGATGATGTTCTAGCAGATTACCAGGAGGTGGATTGCTACTATCATTATGGTACTAATCATAGTAATTGTTACTGTTATGATTAATACTGCTACTATTGCTACCACTACTGCAATTCCTTTGACCCAACAATCTTGTTCTGGGTATCTGTTCCCTAGAAATAAAAGCAGTAATTACCCCATTATATGTACAAAAATATTTGTTGCCATCTTGTTGGTAATATGGCACTTCTAAATCTTTGCCAATCTGAAACATTTAAAGTATTATCTCATTGTTACTTTATTTTGTACCTACCCTACTACCAGTGAGCAGGAGCATCATTTTATGTATATTTTTCATATACATCATTTCATTTCATATTCATTAACTATTTCATATTTATCATTTAGGTTTGCCCTATATTTTAAGTGTTAATTTCATTTATGTTATCTGTTTCTATACAATAGTTAAACAAACTTTTCTATATTCTGTGTAATATAACTTTCTTTTCTTTTCTTTTTTTTTTTTTTTTGGGACGGAGTCTCACTCTGTCACCAGGCTGCAGTCCAGTGGCGCAATCTCAGCTCACTGCAACCTCCACCTCCCGGGTTCAGGCGATTCTCCTGCCTCAGCCTCCTGAGTAGCTGGGACTACAGGTGTGCACCACCATGCCCAGCTAATTTTTGTATTTTTTAGTAGAGATGGGGTTTCATCATATTGGCCAGGCTAGTCTCGAACTCCTGACCTCATGATCCACCCACCTCGGCCTCTCAAAGTGCTGGGATTACAGGTGTGAGCCACTGTGCCCGGCCTGTAATATAATTTTCTACAGGATTTTATATGTATAAATACGAATATATTATGTATAAAAATAAATATAAATATATGTCTAAATATAAATATGTGTGTGTATATATATATATATATATATATCTGCATTTCTTGACTTGGTTAAGGTTTGTTTTTAAAAATGTTCTTTAAGATTATTTTATCCAATTAAAAATATCTGTTGAGGCTGGGTGCAGTGGCTCACACCTGTAATGCAAGCACTTTGGGAGGCCAAGGCAGGTGGTTAATGAGGTCAAGAGATTGAGACCATACTGGCCAACATGGTGAAACCCTGTCTCTACTAAAAATACAAAAATTAGCCGGGTGTCGTGGCGTGCACCTGTAATTCCAGCTGCTCAGGAGGCTGAGGTAGGAGAATCACTTGAACCTGGGAGGCAGAGGTTGCAGTTAGCAGAGATTGCCCCACTGCACTACAGGCTGGTGACAGAGTGAGACTCTGTCTCAAATTAAAAAAAAAAAAAAAAATCTGCTGGGATTTTTGTTAGAATAGTATGAAATGTATAATAGGCTAATTTTAGGGAAACTGATTTTACTTCTTCAGTGTTAAGGCAATGTTTGCAGATCCTATCATTACCAAGTCAGAAGGTGTTTTCAGCCTGTGCTGGAGACATTCCTGGCCATTGTTAACATTACTCTCATCTAGTTCTCATAATAGACCCATAAAATAGTTTTCTTTCTTAGTCTCTCTCTCTCTCTCTCTTTTTTTTAGATAAAGAAACTGGTACTCAGTAGTTCAATAACTTGCTAGTAAGTAGCAGAACAGGAATTGAAAGTCCAGTTTTGTTTTTTATCCAAGTGTAGTAGAAGTTAAATTGCTGGAAACAGTGATGGATTTATTTGCATGAGAGAAGTCAAGTAAACATCCTCAGAAGGAAGGGATTAGCTGTCCACCTGCTCATTCCAAGTTCTCTAGAACAGTGCTTCTAAAACCTCAGAGTGCATGCACACCTGGAGATCTTGTTAAAATGCAGATTTGGATTTAGTATGTTGTGCGTTCTATCTGAGAGTGCATTTCTAACAAGCTCCTCTGTGATGCCAATGTTGCTGGTCTGAGTGCCACACCCTGAGGAGCAAGGCTTTAATACTAGCTTTTAGTTCTCATGGGAATTACAAGTAGAACAAACCAGTGTGGCATATGAACCCCACTTCTTAAACCAGACTTTACATTCTGACTATGGAGAGGGAGATTGTTCCTCCCTCTGGGTCTGCAAGATTGACAACCTTGTCCCCATTACCCATGAGGTGAAAAGCTATAGGCTTTTACTCTCCACTGGCATTTTAAGTAGTCTTAGTTTTTTTAAATCTATTTTTACTATATTGGTACCTTCTTACCTTTTCTACCCCACTAGGATTTTAGGGAAAAAAAAATAAATCTTAATCACAAAAACATTGGGAACCCATTCAATTTTGTTTTCCTGTTCTGAGAGTCAAAAATCAAACTGAGAGTTTTTTTTTTAAGTTAAAAAGTATATCTTGAGTACTTTTTAAAAAATGTAAGGCATAGATGTGTTTTTAAGTGTAAGCTATAAATGCGTCTAAGAAGAAACAATCCATAGCACATTCAAGATCACACATGCTCTGCATTCTCTTTATTGTATGGATCCAGTCACCTTGATTTGCCATCTGTAGAGTGTCTTTTCCACATCATGAAGAAGCCAGATTCTAGTACTATTGTACTGGGGTCGGCACAAAAGTATTGGGCCTTCTAGGTTTGTCATGAGTATTGTGGGTCTGTGATGGGAAGGAGCACATAGGAGATGGTGTGGGTAGGTGAACTGCCTGAGGGTTCTTTTGAGACCATGATTCACCTTCTCTCCATGGTGGAGTAAGGACGTGGGTTACCTTTCCTTCAAATTTATACGCTTTTATTACTAGTAAAATTTAAATGGCATATTATTTAAAGAAATGAGAGCTTTCTACCATTTTAAAGACAGTTTCTGTAGCTTTTTGGTCATTTGTATTTCTTAGATGGTAATTTTCTATTATTGCAAATATAGATAAATATGGTTCTCCTTGAAAATTTCTGACATTGGTGAACATTTAAAATTCATCAAATATGTGTTTGTTTCTAATTTTCTAAATGTATAATATAAACTCCCATATCTCACCATTATATAAGAACCATTGTTTTTTACTTACCGTTACTAAAGATAATAGCAATAGAGAAGAACTACCCTGATTAAATATGAAAAGTAACTTATAAAAGAAAGTCTAAAAAAGTAGACAGGAAATTTAGTTTATGCTTTTGAGATATATGCGTGGCAGATGAAATGACAGGAGGCTCAATGCTCTCTTTCTTTTTCTCTGGCCATCCGTAGTGAACCTTAAGTGTTTGATCCACACAGAATCTGAAGAGTTAGATCCTTGGCAAGTAGAAGTTTGAATTCACAGGAAGGACATTTATGAATCATATTAAAATACTACATTTTAAATTGGTGTCCCCAACTTTACGCTATGAATGGTATTCAAGTATTTTTGAACTCTTCCTAAGGAATAGTGGAAAGCCCTCCAACAAATATTTGTGGTCTTTTAAAATAAATTTTCACCATAAAAAATTCCTTTAGTCAGCCGGACGCGGTGTCTCATGCCTGTAATCCCAGCACTTTGGGAGGCCCAGGCAGGTGGATCACCTGAGGTCAGGAGTTCGAGACCAGGCTGACCAAAATGGCGAAACCCTGTCTCTACTAAAAATACAAAAATAAGCTGGGTGTGGTGGCATGCATCTGTAATCCTAGCTACTGGGGGGACTGAGGCAGGAGAACTGCTTGAACCTGGGAGGGGGAGATTGCAGTGAGCCAAGATCGTGTCACTGCACTCCAGTCTGGGCAACAAAGTGAGACTCTATTTCAAAAAAAAAAAAAAATCTTTTAGTCTCAGAGCAAAGCTGATCGACCTTTTTATATATACATTGTGGCTCAGCTGAGCAAAGACTTGAGCCGCTGCATGCTTCTTAAGGAATGTTTTTTGAGAAGTACATGGAAGATTCTTCATAGCACATTCTGCTGCATACTGAGCAATAGGCTCCTCCCTCATTGACTCCACTCAGGGAATAATCCTGAGCTGGGACACTGGGGAAGTGGAGTTTACTGCAGTTAGACTGCACAGAAACTATCATGTAGAATGAGGCATTTTACTCTTCTTCTACTTATAGTGACTTTAGGGTGATCATATACTTTATCATGGCAACTAGGACAATGTGGAGACTGAAGAAAAGGGGATGTTTCTGCTAAGAATTATGCCCAAACAACAGAGGCTTATAGTGGGTCTCTTCTGGTCAGATCAGGATGCATGGTCACCCTATCTATAGGAAAACATGGTGGTCTAGAAAAACTATCGGTCAGAACAGCTCCAGGGTGATACTGATTTATTCAGCTCTAATTAATTGATGTTCATTCTGAAATGATACCCACCAGTAATCTCCAGACTGTATTTCAGCCATCATTTACATTGCCTATTCTTTCACAGCTTTAGCAAATAGTGTTACCTGTTTGCTCTCTTTCCTTCTGCCCTTCCCCTGGTAGAGGGAAGCTGAGAAGGCACAGACTCACAAAAAGGCAAAAGGGAGCAGGCCTGGCAACATGAAACACACGTGTGACTCACCTCGTGTGACCAGCCTCCAAATAATCAAGGCTTGATCTTACTTTTACATTTTAACAAATAGCAATTTAAAGGCTAAGTATGGTGGCTCATGCCTGTAACCTCAGCACTTGGGAGGCCAAGGCAGGAGGATCAGTTGAGCCCAGGAGTTCCAGGTGCAATGAGCTATGATCATGCCTAGGAGACAGAAAAAAACACCAGAAAAATTTAAATTCTTTTTTAAAAGAAGGAAAGCTTCTGGTCCAATTTTCCCATTTTCAAGATTAGCCAATAAAAATTATGAAAGTTTGAATTATTTGTCGAAGTCCTTTTCTATACAGACAAAGCTGTAACTAAGATTCAGGTCTTTTATGTTCCTCTCTTTGCTAACAGGTTTGACATGAAAAGTTTAGGTATGTGGTTTTAGACAGCTGTCATCCTTGAACAGAAATTATTTGTGTCACTGTCATCTTATGTGGGACTATATGTTACAGATGGCAGACAGTTTAAAGATAGAAAGGACTGTTTCTTGACCGTGACCTTACTATTTTATGGAAATTATAGGTACACATTTCATAATACACTTAGGAAATGCGCATACACATACAATTCTGATTCAGAAAACAACTTGATTCAAGACTTGTTTTTATATAATTAGATGCAAGCAAAAGCAGACCATGTCCTCAACACTGCAAATTTTATGTTTCCAAATATTTGTTGAAAGCTAGCACTTTCTAAGTATTTTGCAAGAGACATTGTGACAAATGTCCTGCCAAATAATATATTAAATGTATTTCTATCAAGTAACACTTTGTTTAGTTTTAAAATATCTCCTTGAGCTTCAGGTAACATGTTGCAATACTGGAGAAAGCAAAAGGAGCTATAAAACCTAGCTGCCTGTGATAACTATAATGTTCCTAATAATTTAGCCAATGTGAGTGGCATTTGAAGGATTATTTTCATAGTTACTTTGGAAAATTAGCAGAAAATAACATGTTTAGCAAGGAGTCCTGAATTCCTCACATAAGTTGTGCTTCTAGGTTTAATATCAGGTTTAGTTATTGAGTTGACCTAGTCTCGTTTTAGTTCAGTTTCTTGCTATAGGCATGCACTATATTTGTTTTTATTGTTATCATTTTCTCAAGCCCAGTGAGTAAAGCCTCACTTGTTGAGGATGAAACTGTTCTCAGACATTTAATGTTGCTGGAATCAATTCCTTGAGAAAAAGCCATTTTATTCCCAGGGTTGCTTGTTTACTATAGAGTAAGGCTTGGTGTTATTATTTATTTTGACTAATGTTCTGTGCACAGCTGCAATGTTTGGGTATACTCCTGTGAAAAAAAACATTGGGACAGAGTATAGTGCAAAGTTTTAGTTTAAAGTACTTTTGAGAACACTTTAGCCAGCTTCTAATCTGATATATAAATCTTTGACTTTGTTTTTCAGAAACCATCTTTCTTCTGGAAAACTTCCAGTGATAGAAAGCTCGGTTCTTATTAAAACATCTTCTAATTTGTTTAAAAATCTCTAACAGCTTATCTAGCAGGATGAAACCATCTCCCTTTAATTTAATTATTTTCTCATTCACTCACCTAACCTATATTAGGCACCACTACTGAGCCTGGTACTTTTCTGTGTGATGGGGAGATAGGCCATGTTCTGTGCCCTCTACTGGGATGAGATGGAGGGACAGAAACAAGAACAATAGGATAACTGCTTTATGAGGTATTTGCAAAGAGCATTAAGAGGGAAAAGATCTGTAGGTAAGGCGGGAGTTGGGAGAGAATCTTTACACTGGACTTGATGTTCAAGCTGGGCTTGAAGGAAAAGTAGATGTTGCTCAGCACATGAGAACAGGAAAGCTGGGGCAGGATGGTATTCCAGGCAGAAGGCACTGCAGGAGTGAAGATGTATAGGCACTGGGAGGTGTGCATGGTGCATTTTGGAGATGTGCAAGCAGTTTTGTTGTTTTCCATATATAGAATGTGTCTAGGAAAGAGCTGGCAGGAAGCACGGTTTAAGAAAAAGTTTAAGGGGTAGCTGAAGAGGGCCTGGTGTGCCCTGCTCAAGAGTTTAAACTTTGTTCTCTCAGAGGCAGTTGAGGGAAGACGAAATAAATGGTAGTTGAAGAAGAACCATAAAGGGTAGCTATAAGCAGAAGAACTTGATCTATGTTCTATAAAAGTAACCGAAGGGTGAATTGGAGGTGAAATCTGTGAGCTGAAGAGTTCTATTATAAAGTAATTATAGTTGGATAGCAAAAGAGGATGAAGGCCTGAACTAGCCAGTTGTGGCAGAAAAGGGGGAGGAATTCACCCGACGCCTTGCCAGAACAATTTGAAGGACTTGAGACTAATTAGATATAGAGCTGAGGAAAAGGGAGAGGTTCAGCTTCCCTGCCAAGTCTCTAGTTTACATGATTGAAGGATTGATTATACCATTTACAGGAAAAACAGTGGGAGGGACATACAGGTTTTGGAGGAATGGAGGTAAGTTTAGTGTTAGAGATGTTGAAATTGACCGTGATAGTATGATAGATAGTTATATCCCAGAGTTTCCTTTCTTGTCCATCTGGTAGACCTTCAAACAGCTGAAGATTCCATTTCTGAATTGATTTAGGAATAGTCTAATCTTTCAGACTGACTGAGAAAGATTAAGAGAAAACCCTTAAGTCTAAAGTGACTTGCAGTAATTATAGGTTATGTATATGAGAGTCTCACTCTGGTTTTTTGTTTTTTTTTTTTTTGTCATATAGCTCTTCTATGAAGTAGGACTTATTTTTATATCATTTTACAGGTGAGAAAACTGAGGCATAGGAAAGTTCAAGCTGAATGTCATATAGCTAAAAGGCAGTAGAGCTGGAATTCCTAGCTGAAATTCAAAATTCAGTGGCTTCTCATTGTCATGATGGTGAAGCTGATATACCTTGAAATGGCTTCCAAGACTCCATGCAGTCTCACCCCTGCCTGCTTTTTCCTTCTCACCATGTGCCAATTTTGCTTACCATGTCATGTTGCCTTCCCTCGTGGGGCCTTTGTTCTTTCTGACCAGAAGGTTATTTTCAACCCTCCTTTTCCTGAGTAACTTGATAATTATCCTTTAGATCTTAGCTCTCTTAGAGAAGTTCCTTTGACCCCGTGGAATGGGTCAGGCCCTCCCAAAGGAATTTGTACAGAAACTTGTACTATGTCTTCTCAGCGCTTGTTACAGTTCTGTTACATATTTATATCCCTGATAAGTTGATTAACCTGTGTCCTCTTCACTTAGTTAATTGCACCACAGAGGCAGTGTCTGTTACTGTTCATCAGTGTATCCCTAACACATAGCACAGTGCCTGGCAAAGAGTGGGTGACCAATATATGATTTTTGAATGGAAGAATGACTTCAAAGCCCAGGCTTTTAATCATCCTGCCATATAAGAAATGTCTTGGAATACACCACTTAAAAGATATACACTTTTTTTGTTGTTAAAAATGGAAGACCTATATGTAGTAACTAAACTGATAATGAATTGTACACTATGAAGAATGAAATAATGTTTTGACACGACTAAAAGCTGTGTTACTGAAAACTGGCTAAACAGCCTATAAAGCCAGTATAGAACAGAGAAACCAACAGCAGTCATTACTTTGAAGAGTGATAAAGAGAGGAGTTTTTTATAACTGTAAAATAATTTTAGATAATGAAATAAAATACCACATGATATGGTTTGGATTTGTGTCCCTGCCAAATCTCATGTTGAATGTTGGCTGAGAGGCCTGGTGTGAGGTGACTGGATCATGGGGACGGATTTCCCCCTTGCTGTTCTCATGGTAGAGAGTGAGTTCTCAAGAGATCTGGTTATTTAAAAGTGTGTAGCACCTCCCCCTTCTCTCTCTTACTCCTCCTCTGGCCAGGTAAGATGTGCCTGCTTCCCCTTCCACCATGTTTGAAAGTTTCCTGAGGCCTCCCCAGCCATGCTTCCTGTACATCCTGTGGAACCATAAGCCAATTAAACCTCTGCTCTTTATAAATTACCCAGTTTCAGGTATTACTTTATGGCAATGCTAGAATGGGCTAATACAGAAAATTGGTATCAGGAATGGAGCATTGCTATAAACATACCTGAATATGTGAAAGTGGCTTTGTAACTCAGTAACAGGCAGAAATTTGAACAGTTTGAAAGGCTCAGAAGACAGAAAGATGAGGGAAAGTTTGGAACTTTCTAGAGACTAGTTAAATTGTTGTGATAAAAATGCTGATAGTAATATTGACAAATGAAGTCCAGACTGATGTGGTCTGAGATGAAGATGAGGAACTTACTGAGAACTGGAATAAAGGTCACTCTTGCTATGCTTTAGCAAAGAGACTTGTGGCATTGTTCCCCTGCTTTAGGTATCTGTGGAACTTTGAACTTGAGAGTGATGATTTAGGGTAATCTGGCAGAACAAATTTCTAAGCAGGAAAGTGTTTAAGATTTGGCCTGGTTGATTCTAAAATGTATGGTCATATATGTAAGTAAAGAGATGTTCTAAAACTGGAACTTATATTTAGAAGGAAAGCAGATCATAAAAGTTTAGAAAATTTGCAGCTTGACCATGTGGTAGAAAAGATAAACTAATTTTCCGGAAAGGAATTCAAACTGGCTGCAGAAATTTGCATAAGCAAAGGGGAGCTGAATATTAATATTCAAGACAATGAGGAAAATGCCTCAAAGGCATTTCAGAGACCTTCATAGCAGACCCTCCCATCACAGGCCCGAAAGCCTAGGAGGAAAGAATGGTTTCATGGACTGGGCCCAGGGCCCTGCTGCCCTGCAGAACCTTGGGACACTACTCCCTATGATCCAGCTGCTTCAGCTCCAGCTGTGGCTTAAAGGGGCCCAGGTACATCTCAGGCCACTTTTCCAGAAGATGCAAGCCATTAGCCTAGGCAGCTTCCATGTGGTGTTAAGCCTGTGGGTGCACAGAGGGCAACAGTTAAGACTTGGGAGCCTCTGACTCAATTTCAGAGGATGTATGCAAATGCCTGGATATCCAGGCAAAAGTCTGCTGCAGGGACAGAGCCCTCATGGAGAATCTCTACTAGAGCAGTGCCGAAGGGAAATGTGGGGTTTGAGCCCCCACAAAGAGTCCCCACTAAGGCACTGCCTAGTGGAGCAGTGTGAAGAGGGCCACTCTCCTCCAGACCACAGAATGATAGACCCACTGACGACTTGCATCATGTGCCTGGAGAAGCTTCAGGCACTCAATGGCAGCCTGTGAAAGAAAGCAACCACAGGGACTGTACCCTGCGGAACCACAGGGATAGAGCTGCCCAAAGCCTTGGGGGCCCACCCCTTGCATCAGTTTTGCCTGGATGTGAGACATGGCGTTAAAGGAGATTATTTTGGAGCTTTAAGATTTAATGACTGCCCTGCTGGGTTTGGGACTTGCATGGGGCCTGTAGCCCCTTTGTTTTGGCCAGTTTCTTCCTTTTGGAATGGTACTGTTTAGTGAATGCCTGTACCTCCATTGTATATTGGAAGTAACTAACTGGTTTTGATTTTACAGTCTCATAGGCAGAAGGGACTTGACTTGTCTCAAGTGGGACTTTGGACTGTGGACTTTTGAGTTAATGCTGGAATCAAAGTAAGACTTTGGGGGACTGTTGGAAAGGCATGATGGTATTTTGGAATGTGAAAAGGACATGAGATTTGGGAGGGGCCAGGGGTTGAATGATATGGTTTGGATTAGTGTCCCCACCGAAATCTCATGTCGAATTGTGATCCTCAGTGTTGTGGAAGTGACCTGGTGGGAGGTGATTGGATCATGGAGACGGACTTTCCCCTTGCTGTTCTTCTGGTAGTGAGTGAGTTCTCAAGAGGTCTGGTTGTTTGAAAATGTGTAGCACCTTCCTCTGCTCTCTCTTTCTCCTGCTCTGGCCATGTAAGATGTGCCTGCTTCCCCTCCCACCATGATTGAAAGTTTCCTGAGGCCTCCCCAGCCATGTTTCCTGTACAGCCTGAGGAACCATGAGCCAACTAAACCTCTTTTCTTCATAAATTACCCAGTTTCAGGTATTTATAACAGTGTGAGAATGGACTAATACACCACATTAATAGACTTTTCTGTCCCGGAGATACTTACAAGGTTTTAAGGACCCACATATAGCCAAGTAGAGGGAGAACATGTGCCCACAGATTTCATCAAAGAGCCAACAGTCTTCTGCTAGCTCTGTGTGTTTTAATATGTTCTGCTGTCAATTAGGTATGCCAAGGCCAACAGACCAGGAGATGGCTGCCATTGAGAAGACAGTTTATTATATTCGTAAATCCCAAGACATGGAGTACACATCTCATTATGGGGGGCCAAGAGGGGAAACACTAGGGTCAGTCACAAGGCACAAAGAGAGATGGGAACTGTGGGCAAGTGCTTATACCATGGTTCCTATGGGAAGGTATAGGTGAGGCAGGTAAGTGGGTTTAGGATTGGCCAGTTTGAACAATTGGCCTTGGGGTGATTAGGGCAGGTGTGTAGTGGCCCCTAAGTGGGAGAGCCCCATAAGGGAGGTACTTAGGAGTTTGGATTCTGGATTGCATGGTTTGTATTTGAAAAGTGCACCCCTGGGAGAACATCTCCTCTTGAGGATGGAACAAGCAACGAGGGAGGCAGCAGGCCAAGGCAAGGTGACTCAGGCACATTTTTAGGTTCTCCAGAGCAGGATGTGTCTGGCATATATATGCAGAACAGATGTTAATGCATCAAAAGAAGCTAGAAACATGGCTAATTCACTGCGACTGACTCACTTATAACTTTTATGAGTTTTACAATCTGTTCACTTCTAACAGACATGAGAATAATAATAACTGGCCTAATTCTACTCTTGAATGTGGTCCCAGGGTTCTTAACCTAACTTATAGGCCATTGACTCCTTTGACAGTCTTATAATTTTCAGAATATTAAACTGTATTCTAATTTGTGGATTAAAATACAGATTAATAGTAATATTAATTAACAGTGATTAATTACTAATAGTAATTAATTACTATAATCTGAATTTTATTTCAGATCCATTATTTCAGAAAGGGTTTTTAAATGGTGATGCTCTAGAATGCGTCCTACAAATATTAGCAGAAATTCTTCTATAAAAGATTAATATAATTAATATAATATTACTATTAATCTGTATTTTAATCCACAAAACAAAATGTATTGGCTTACAAAGGAAATTAATTATATCGAAATACATTTGTATTTACAGGTCAAGAACCACTGAGCTCCCATTCACCAAAGAAAATAGTTCAGACATTTAAACTGAACCTGACTTCTGCAGGAGACCCACTGCCCATCTTTCTAAAAAGGAATTCTACATGCTGTGTAGGGTAGTGTTTTTACCCTCTGTGAAACATACCATGCCTGTTTCTCAACTTGGGAGACAGTGACTAACCCTGGCACGTCGAAGCCCAACAGCTTGAATTTGAATCCCAGCTCTTACCTCTCAGGATCTGAGAGACCTTCAGCAGGGTATTTCCCTTTTCTGTGCTTCAGGGCACTTTTTTTTTTTTTTTTTTAACAGTTTGTAATTGTCTTCTTTGTGTAATTATTGCCTGTGTTCCCCAAGAGGTTCCAAGAAGGCCTGGATCTTATTTCTCTTATTTATTGTCAGTCTCTGAATCTTGCCCAGTCCAAGGCACATAGTAATTGTTGGGTAAATATTTGTAATGAATGATGGAAGTGTGAATTCACTAGCTGATTTTCCAAGCAGATAGCCATAATTTACTGTTCAAAGCTGTAGAGCTCTACACAGTCTGTTTACCTTGGAGCTTTCATGCAGAAAGCACGTTTCATGGCCACCAGCTGAGTTAGCGCAGACTCATTTCTACCTTCTGTATATTCATTGTATCAGCATTTAAAGCTAAAGCTGTAGCAAGTAATGGTAAGTGATGTTCATTACAATGCCAGAAATTATTAAAAATCAGGGTAAGTCGAATTTCCCTACATTGTACTTAAGAAGATAAATACACATTTCAAAAAGATTTCCATCAAAATAGGAAAGACATTCAGAACTTAGGGGTTAATAATATGCAGCTTTTAGGAAAGCTTCCCAGGAAGACTTCTTCTTAATAATGAAAAAATTTAAAACATGTACCAAAGTAGAAAAACACAGTGTAATTAATCCCCAATTATTCATTACCCAGTTTCAACAATTATCAACATGCCCTTCTCTACTTCCCACCTAACTTCTACCGGTCATGGTTAATTATTAAACCATATCCCAGTCATCATTATGTTTCGGTTTTTTTCTTACAAATATAGATATCAATATATTTCATTTAAAATTACTTCAGTATATAAGTCTAGAAAATAAAGACCTTTTAAAAAATAATATATTCTCATACCTAAAATAATCAAAGTAGTTTCTTAATATTTCCAAACATTCATTCAGGGTTAAACTTTCCTCAGTTGTATCATAAATGTTTCTATGTAGTTGATTTGTTTGAATCGGGATCCAAACCAGGTCAATGTATTGCACTGGGTCATGTCTTAAATCTATTTTAACCTATAAGAGTTTCTCCTTCTCTCCTTTTTGTTTTAACTTTCCAATTTTTTTTTTCAATTCAAGAAAGCAGGTCATTTGTCCTGTAAAATTTCTCATATGCTTGATTTTGCTAATTGCTTCCCGTGGTGGCATTTAACATGTTTAAATCTATTTCATGTATTTTTGTATTGACTGATAGTGCAGGAGGATTGATTTGATTCAAGTTTGACCTTCTGGTGAAAATACTTCATAGGAATTTCTGTGTGCTTCTGACCGTACCATGTTGGGAGACACATTATGTGTAATTGTCTCTTTTTGTGACACTAGGAGTGACCAGTGTGGTCTGGATCATCTGCCTACTTTCTCTATTCTGACTTCCCACCAGCCTTTCATTTAATGCAGTGGTTCTCAGCCCTGTCTGCCTGTTAGAATCTGTGAAGTTGCTACACATTTCTGATGCCCAAGCCCTACTCCCTAGAATTAGTCCAGGATAAACCTGTGTTCAGTAATTTTTTTGAGCCTTAAATGATTCAAATGTACAGACAGGATTGAGAACCAATGACCTGATAAAATTGCAGCCATTGAGGATCTTTTTTCTAGAGATCCATTATTTGAGAAAAGGTTGTTAAATGGTGATGCTCTAGAATGCTTCCTGCAAATATTACAGAAATTCTTCCATAAAAAGTTTAATCAAGTCCTTTGTTCTTCCTTTAGTTTGTACAGGAAAAGTAGGATAAAGAGAAATGATAGATTCTTGTCAGTTTTCTGAATAATGAGTTGAGTATTCAACTTTCTACAAAGACCAGAGAATTTTGTTCATTATGAGTTTATATACTTTAGCACATATATGTGTATGAGTTTATATACTTTAGCGCTTTATGAATCAAAGGATTACATTTAATGTTATTACTATTACTATCATTTTAATGCTTAAATTATTTGAATTTTAGCCAATAGAAGTCGTTTTAAATTAACTTGTGACTTTTTTTGACAATATTTAATTGTTCAGTAATAGTATTTAATTGCTTCCTTGCCTTTAAGAATGACAATGTGTTTTAGACACATCTTATATGTTTGATAATTTATTTGTTCTGTGGCCTCCTTATCTTGTGCAGTTTCTGTCCTGAACCTGGGATCAGCCACTTAATAGTTTTGTTTTCTGTATCCCATTTGGGTGGTATTCCATTTGGTGCCTAGGACATGATTACAAAATGGAATGGCAGTTATTTATAGTAATAGTAAATTTCAAGATGCAGCAAATGGTAATTGGGAAAGATATTATGTAACAAAATCCTTAATTTTCCTATTATTAATCCTGCAGTGAATGTTACGTAAATCTTTGGTAACCGGTTTGTACTTTTTTCTCCCCAGTTAATGTCCATCAGTGTGTTGGCAGTTTCTGCTTGGATGAGGGACTACCTAAATAATGTTCTCACTTTAACTGCAGAAACGAGGTATACTTTATAATTATTGATTGAATTCTTTCTTGCTGATTTTAAGTAACTTTGCCCTCAGCTATTTATATGGTAGTGCTCTTCCTTGATCTTTTGGAAAAGTTTTTCCTGCCCATAGCAACCTTTGTCACAGACACTTGCATCCTCCAGAATTCTCCTTAAGGTGCGCCTCTGGTCCTAGCAGGGGATCAGGTGGCAGCATGTTTATACAGACATTTCTGGGTATGGTAATAGCAGTTGCCTGTCCTCCTGATTGTGCATCAGCCATGTCATAGGTGCGTGTAAAGAACCAGCATAGTTACTTTTCCCTAAGAAAATTACCGTCAGCTTCCTCTTACCTTCATATTCTTGGGTTAATGAAAACCATACACCACAATGATTTTTTTTTCTCAAATTTCAAGGGTTAATCTACTAACATCACAGGGGACAAATTACTTTTTACTCCATCATCTCTGAATGGAGATTGTATTATATGACATCTGAATTGTGGTAAGGATTAAATGAAAACCATTTTTTTCAAGTCCTTAACACAGGGAAAGTTAGCTTAATAATGGTTAATTTTTATCATTAATACTGGTTTCGGTTAATGAATTTTTCATCGTGTTCTAGCAAAAATCATTTCTACCTATTCCTTTCTTTAAATGTAGATTGATTTTCCTTTGCATAGCAGTCTTTTACATTTTGGGGGAGGATCAATTGTCAGGGAGAAGAAACGTAGTGCACATGGGATCAAAAATTAGAGAAGAGGAAGGAGATTCCTCCCAGCTGGGAAATAGCAAAGGCTCCCATGTGATTTACTTAGGCTAAGGCTTCGGAGATAATAATAGATGGACCTTTTATCAAGGTCCTGTATATTATATGTTAAATGAGTTGGGGTAGGAAAGCTACCACTTGTATTAAAAAAAACAAACACTGCAAAACCAAAAATAAAGCAACCGAGCAAATAAACATAAAAACAATAGCACAGTGATTTTGAAAATAACAATGCAGTCACTAGTTTTGAGGCATCATGATTGAAAGAATTATTAACACAAATCACAGTTGTGTCTTCTGCTATGTCTTGGGTGCATTTTGATTATATTTTCTTTCTAATACATTATTTTTCTTCTTTCAGGGTAGAGGAAGCAGTCATTTTGACTTACTTTCCTGTGGTTCATCCGGTCATGATTGCTGTTTGCTGTTTCCTTATCATTGTGGGGATGTTAGGATATTGTGGAACGGTGAAAAGAAATCTGTTGCTTCTTGCATGGGTATGATGTTATATTTTCTCTTTATTATAGTTAAAAAGATTAACCAGTAATATATTATTTTTTAATCAGTTCACAAGATTAGGGAGCAGTGATAGCAGTAACAACATCCTGTAAGAAGGGACGCTTTCGTTTCACAAGAGATTATTTGAATACACATATTTGCTGTACCGGATGAGGTATGGAAATATATATAAGCAATTTAATTATTTCACTCCAGCTACGTGTTGACATTTTCATTTGAAAGTATGAGTTCTTTCTAGTGTCCTTGTAGTTATTAGCACTCAAAAAGGCCCCTTGGGACTGGAACTGAGAAGCCATAAAGGAACTGTTTCTTTCTCTTCTATTTTTAAACAAATCCACCCTGTAAGCTCCTATGGAAATTCAGGTTGTGAGGTAGCAGACGTATGTAATGGTCCTGTCACTGCCTTTATATAGTTTAGAGAACATAAGCGAGTCTCAGTTTCTATAATCTTGGTTGTTGTTTTTTTAACTCTGAGAGTTGCACTAGGTACTTTTTAAATTAGTTTCACCATTCAAATTCTGTGACTAGTCTTTTAATTCAAAAGTAGGCAAACATTTTTAACATTAAAAAATTGAGTTGATTAAAATACTGTTTATATAGATATTTTTAGAAGAGCACTTAATGTGCAAAATATATACTAGTGGCACCAGGTAATGAGATTACTAACATATAGTTGCAGACATATAAGGCTGAAAAATTAATTCATTGAGTATACGCTTTTTTTATAGTAGGTCTCAGCCCTGGCTGTGTATTAATTTCATATAAAGAACTTAAACAATTTGAGTGGTGTGCTGGTAAGCTGGATCACTGGGCAGAAAAAAAGCTCAGATTTGTAGCATTTGGGGATTTCCGTGGGGTAAATTCTCCCAGCATGGTCAATTTTAAGTTACCAACATGAAATCACTGAATGTGGAACTGGGGACAGATGAGTACAAATTGGCTCAAGGAGCCAGCTCCCACACACTCGTGCTTGACTGGCTCCCATGCCAAGTCAATTAAAACAGAATCTTAGTGTGAAGTTGAACTAAAGCTTTGAATTTCACAGTATAACCTGTGTTAATGTATTACTTAGCTTCTTGGAGGGTAACTGTTCAGGTCGAATATTGAAAAACACAAAATGCTATAGAAAATAAAGCACACTCAGGCCGGGCAAGGTGGCTCACGCCTGTAATCCCAGCACTTTGGGAGGCCGAGGCAGGCAGATCACGAGGTCAAGAAATCAAGACCATCCTGGCTAACACGGTGAAACCCTGTCTCTACTAAAAATACAAAAAAATTAGCCGGGCATGTTGGCGGGCACCTGTAGTCCCAGCTACTCGGGAGGCTGAGGCAGGAGAATGGTGTGAACCCGGGAGGCGGAGGTTGCAGTGAGCCGAGATCACGTCACTGCACTCCAGCCTGGGCGACAGAGCAAGACTCCATCTCAAAAAAAAAAAAAATAAATAAATGAATAAAATAAACCACACTCAGAGATGGGGAAACATGCCTACTGCTTTATTTCTCTTCATATAGGTATATAGTGAAAGGGAGAATGGTGGAAATTTGGGATCTTATTTTGCAATTTTAGATATTTGGGCAATAATTTAAACATAAACAAAAGGACTTACTTTACATGAACCTTCTATAATTTGAGTAGAGTATAACATATTTCAAGTTTTAAATAAAGAGTCTCAGAATTCTTTTTTAAAACGCAGTCTTACAATGATGTCTCTCTTGCATAACCAATTAAGGTCTGACTGCCATTTCCTCCCTCCTCCCAACTTTTACTCTGCACAGTCCCTATGCAGTGGGATGCTGGAGGGAGGCAGGGCAAGTAGGGTCAGGTATTTCATGGAACCACAAAGGCTTTGGAAACACATTTTGAAAACTCTTTATGCATTCCCTTAGGCTGCTTAGATGCTAGTAATGCAAATTGACAAACAACAAAGTAATGTGGCCTGCTACTTGAAGTAGAGCAAATCTTAAACTTGTGAATGAGAGTCTAGTTTGTAATACTGGCAAGAGCATTATAATGCAAAAGTGGCAGGGATGACTGAGGTTCTAAAGGCCACTAATTTACTCATTCATTCATTCTCCAAATACTTACTGATCATGTATACCACCAATTTTTGCTATCAGACCTGTCTTTATGAGATAAGACCTCTAATAGGGTTTGCACTGGGTGCTATTGAGGCCAGAGAGGAAGAACTCTGAGCTCAGCCCGAAGGGTTCAGTGCCACCCTCTGGGAAGATGATGAGCATAGATTGATTTTGCTTTTTTCCATCTCTACTTTGCTTTTTGGATGTACTCTTTTTTACAAAGCATCTTTTTATGCATTGCTGTTCCATGTGTCCCTAGGTGACATCTACATCTTGGTTCCTCCTTCCTGTTGATTGCCTTTGGCTGTTCGTTCTCCATTCCCTTTGGGGTGCCTCTCCTCTCATGGCAGGCTTCTAGTCCTTACTCTGTCTAGACCTAACACAGCTTCCTTCTTGCTAAAGAATGATCTGTGGTCTCAACTACCATGTATCTATCACTCACAACCAATTTGCATCTGGTCTGTTTCTCAGGCTCTCCTCTCTGGCTTCCTCCCCACATCCCACTCCTCTAAATAGCTGCCTATTCCTCTCAGTTCAGATTCTACAGTCATGGGAAGTTGTCCTCTCTTTTCTGTCCTCCTCTGGGATGCCCAAGTTCAGGCTTTCCTAACTTCCTGCTCAGACAGGTGCAGAGACTCCCTATTGGGTAATGAAGTATGTACCAACACCTCAAATGTACACCAAGCCCTTCTACAATGGAGACTTGATCTGCCATTTTTTGCTTTTTTATCTACTTCATTATTCTCTGGTTCTGTATTTTCTGACCCCTGAACAAACTTTCTTGCTCCGTTCTTCTCTACATTTATTCTTGCTGTCTTCTTAGCCAGAAATTTCTTCTCAGTACTTTCATTTAAATATTACTAGCCCATGAAGACTTATCTGAAATGCTACCTCTTCAAATGATAATTATGACACTGATGATAATTGAAGTAGTTAACATTTCTTGAGTACTTACAGTGCCAGACACTGTAGAGTTTTACCTGAATTTTTTTTAAATGAAGAGTTCTTGTACATGAGTTAATCAATTTTATCCTCTCTGCTGAGTATAAAATTGGACTAAAACTTTGAATTACCCTTATTATTCACTTAATATAGATGAGGAAATGAGGCATAGAGAGATTAAGTGAGTTGCCTAAGTCTACACAGCTAGTAAAGAGAGGATCTAATATTCAGGCCATGGCAGTCTAGTTCCAATATTTGTAACAATTTTGCCATTTTACTCTATAATAGCTGATTTTTTTCCTAAGTGTTTACAAATGTGTCCTGTAATGTATAAAACATTTTCATTTTAAACCTGACGACAATTATCTGAGATAGGTAATTATTAAATGAGGTTCAGAGAGGTCAGTAATATGCCACAAGTCATTCGGCAATAAGGCTGGGAGCTTGGATTCAGACCTCGGCGTTCCTGATTGCAAAGCCCATTCTCACTGGGCCTTTACTGATGTCTCTAATAGACTTTTCCCAACTTTTGAAGCCTAGTGTATTTCTCTTATTATAAACTTCCTTTTCTTTTTAATAATCAGCCCAGACTACCAGACTACAAACAACTTCAGTAATATGAACCATTCACCTTGCTCATTGCTTTAATAAGTGTTTATTAAATCATTGAATAACAGACAGTGAATTAGAATAGTGAAAGTAGGAATGACCAGCACATCAGATTAAAGATGTTGCCTGGAAGGCAGTGATGAGAGTGAGATTTTAACAGAGGAATTTGACTGTTAGAAAAGGTTAGATTACAAGGGGAATGGCTCATGGAGGGGTGGGCGGTAAAATAGTGCAGAATGCGACATGATGTAAGGTCTTGGGCAAATATTTGCAAAGTAACTTACAGTATTTTTTGTGTGCCCTTTAACCTTTTATCCTAATTAAAAACAATTTTTTAAGGAAGTTTCTTACTTTTATTTTGGATGTAAATATTTAAACAAGCAGAATACATTCATCCAACTTGTCCATTTCCCTGTATTCAAAGTCTTGTTTTACTTTTAAGAGCTGTAAAACAGATTAGTGTGAGAAAGCTATTTTTCAAAAGACAATTGGTATCTCAGAGAGCTGCCATATCTCTTGAATGATTATATATATATAAAAAAGAGCTGGCAACTGGGCTGTTTTGCTGTTCAAGCAAAAGTAAAAATGCCATTATTCAACAGACTGATCAAGAAAAAGTAAATGAGCCTTCCTCAAAACAGGTCTTTATAACCAGCCTCCCTGCAGCCCTCATCAAAAAGCAACAGAAAACCTCTACAAGCTAAGAGGCCACCTATTGGAAAACATTTCTGAGAAACCTTGGTCATGAATTTCATCCTTCTTTTGAATGATAGATTTATAGATGTAAGTTGTTAAAGCACCCTAATTTAAGGTTCCCAAATAAAATAGAAGATGCCCAATTAAATTTGATTTCAGATAAACAATAAATAATGTTTTAGTATGAGTATATCCCATGCAATGTTTAGAATATACATATACTAAAACATTATTCATTGAAATTTAAATTTAAATGGACATAGGTATTTTTATTTGCTTTATCTGGCAAACGTACTCATTAGATTTGTTCTTAGCAAGTGTGAAACTGTCATAGAACAGAAATTTTTATGTATTTATATGAGGGGTTTAAGAATAATTAAATTCTAATTATAATGGGAAAACAAGCCAAAAATGACTAAGAAAAGAAACTGGAATATGCCATGCCTTTCACGGTAATTTCAGTAGTAGAAATTCCTTCTCCCATTAACAGAGAAAGTGAAGCTAAATTGAAATTGGTTTTAAGCCTTAGATGGTTACTTCCCAAGGCTTTAGCTGTAGACGAAATGAAATTCATTTGTTATTGCAGTTCTACCTTGCTATTAACATAGGCATTAGGAAAGCAGTGCCAGCTCAGGGGGAATGTAAACAGATTGAACAGACATGTTTATGATGTTGACAACAGCTGAATGTCACCATCAGGAGATCATCATTTGTCAGGATGTGATGCAAATATATGCTCAACTGCCAGCAAACCACAAGCAGTCAAGTGCTTGTCAGAAATTAAGTTGGATGTACCTTACGTATTTAATACAAATGAATCATTTTAAAAGGAGAAGTGCTTTTTTTTCCAATTTTATTTTTCCAGAGACTTTGAATATAACTATTGATTGTGTGCTTGCACTTTTAAAACTTTCTTTAAATATAGAGTGATTGAACCAGATCTGAATGTTTTCCTTAGTGGAAATCAAATGAAATTTTAATGGCCTTGGAGAAATTTCCCCTTGTTTTTTTTTTGTTTGTTTGTTTGTTTGTTGTTTAAAATCATAATGCAAATCAGAATATATTTAAGTAGTAATTGATTTTCTAAAAAGTCTCTGTTTAAGGCCTTCTCTTACATAGTCATGAATTTTATGATTATATAGCTAGTCATAAGTCCTTAAGTTAAAATTAACCTATTAAGTTGTATGTCTTTATTATTTTGTTTATATTTTTGGTTGATAGCCTAAACTTTATTTCTAAATGAAGATTCATCATATTATTTACCGTATGTTCAGTATCTGCCCAATATTTTACCTTTGTTTTCTCAAAATATACTCACAGCAACTCTATTAGACTAATTTTACAAATGAGGAAAAGTAGAATCCCCAAAGATACACAGCTGGTAGTTGTTAGCATTCAAATGCAGCCTGTGCTGAAAGACCATGCAGGTTTCACTACACCACAGTACTGTTATAAGGCATTTAACTAATTACTGGCATTGTTTCTAGAAGACTTTAACTATGCTTCATTTATCACTCCAAGGCATTCGGTAGTCATTTAATTTCTAAAAATATGGTCTTTTGGTATGCTTATTATAAAATGAACTTTAAAATTTCTACTGTAGTTATCATTTTTGCTTATCTTGTCAAAGAATCAAGCAGTTTCTCCTTTCCTTTTTACCTTCCTCACCTCTCATTCCTCTTTCCTTTCCTTTTGCCCTCCTTAATTGTGTATTGAGTACCCATCCATGATAGTTACTTGAGAGAACAAAGATGAAAGGGGTGAATAGAAAGAAAATTACAAAGCAAAATATAACATTAAATTTATAAATAATTGCTGTGGGAACCCAGAATCAGGAGCAAATGGAGATTTCCAGAATGTTTCACAGGGGAGTCTTTATTTGAACTGGATGTTGAAAAATACATAAGGGTTTGCCGGTGGAGACGAGGAAGGAAGAAGATTTACAGCAACATGAAGAGTGTGTATAAACACTGAGGAGTGAAGGGACAGGGTAAGCTTAGGCAAAACTTAGAAAGTCAGAGTGGCTGTGGTGTTGGTGCACAGTGAGAAGAAAATGAAGTTAAGTCCAATTGTGAAGGTCTTTATCAAAAAGTTAGATGTTATTCTTTGGGCTGTAAAGAACCAATGCGTGTTTCCAGCTTGTGATGAAATGATAATTCACATTTAAGCGGGAGACAATAGAAAGCCCTGTTAGTGATTACATTATCATCCCCAGAAGCCATGGATAAGGGTATGAACTAAGTAAGACTTAGGGACTGGAGGAAGGTGGCTGAAATCAGTAAACCTTGCTGAGGTAGAATTATGGATAAAGCATTACATGATAGTAATGTTTGTATTGCTTGACATCAGGAAATGAAAAATTATTCAGCATTTGTACTTTTTTATATAATAGAAACATATCTACTCAATACATGTACTTTATTTGACTTGTTAGCTAGAATTCTTTAGAAGTTATAATTTAAAATTTTTTATTTGTAATTATCAATAATAATTGTATATATTTATGGGGTACAATTTGATGTTTCAATGATGTATGTATACACGGTGGGATTCTTAGATGAAGCTAATTAACATATCCACTGCATCCACTTATTTTTTGTGGTGAGAACATTTAAAGTTTACTATTTTAGCAATTTTGAAATATACAACTTATCATTATTAAATATACACTTATACATCACTCTATAGTCACCATGCTATGCAATAGGTCACTAAAAGTTATTTCTACTATCTAACTGAAACTTTGTACCCATTAATCATCCTTTCACCCTCCTCCTCTTCACCCTACCAGCCTCTAGTAACCACCATTCTACTCTCTATTCCTCTGAGATCAACACTTTTTAGGTTCCACATATAACTGAGATCATGTGGTATCTGTCTTTCTGTGCTGGCTTATTTCACTTAACATAATGTCCTCCAGGTTCATCCATGTTACCACAAGTAACAGAATTTCCTTGTTTTTTTAGGGCTGTATAGTATTCTGTTGTATATATGGACTACATTTTCTTTATCCATTCATCTATTGATGGACACTTAGGTTGCTTTTATGTCTTGACTATTGTGAATAATGCTGGAATGAACATGAGAATACAGATATCTCTGTGGCATTCCTATTCATTTCGTTTGGATGTACACTCAGAAGTGAGATTGCTGGATCATATGGTAATTCAATTTATAATTTTTTGAAAACCTCCATACTGCTCTCCATAATGGCTGTACTAATTTATATTTACTCAAACAGTGTACCAGGATTTTTTTCCCCCACAGCCTTGCCAACATTTGTTATCTTTTGTCTTTTTGATAGTAAACATTCTAAGAGCTACAAGTTGATATTTCATTGTGGTTTGAATTTGTGTTTTCCTAACAGTGATGTTGAGCATTTTTTTTCATCTCTTTGTCTTCTGTTGGGTATTTGCATGTCATCTTTTAAGAAATGTCTGTTCAGGTCCTTTGCTTATTTTTTAATTGGGTTATTTACTTTCTTGCTATTGAGTTGTTTGAGTCCATTTTATGTTTTGGATATTAGTCCCTTAACAGATACATGGTTTGCAAATATTTTCTCCTAATCAATGGGTTTCACTCTTCTAATTGTTTCTTTTGCTATGCAGAAGCTTGGTAGTTTAATATTTTCTCATGTGTCTATTTCTGCTTTTTTTCTGTCTGTGACTTTGGGGTCATATTAAAAAATCATTGCTCAGATCGGTGTCCTGGAGTTCTTCTCATGCATTGTCTTCTACTAGTTTTACAGTTTCAGGTCTTACATTTAAATCTTTAAAACATTTTTGTTGTTTTTTTGCTTATGCTGTGAAATAAGAGTAATTTTATTCTTCTGCATATGGATATCCAGTTGTTCCCCTTTATTGAAGATACTTTCCATTTCCCATTGTGTGTTATTGGCATCTTTGTCAAAAAATCAATTGGCTGTAAATGTGTCAGTTTACTTCTTTCTGGGCTTTTTGTCCTTTTCCATTGGTTGATATCTGTTTTTAGGCTACTACCATGCTGTTTTGATTACTATAACTTTATAATATATTTTGAAATCAGGTAGTGTGATACCTGCAGCTTTGTTGTTTTTGCTCAGGGTTACTTTGGCTATTTGGGGAATTTGTAGTACCATAGGAATTTTAGGATTTTTTTTCCTGTTTCTGTAAAAAAATGACATTGGAGTTTTGATTGGGATTGCATTGAATTTGTAGGTCACTTTGGATAGTATGGACATTTTAACAATATTAATTCTTCTAATCCATAAACATGGGATATCTTTCTATTTGTTTGTGTCATCTTCAATTTCTTTCATCAGTATTTTATAATTTTCAGCATATCGATCTTTTAACTCCTCAGTTAAATTTACTTGTAAGTATTTTATGGCTTCTGATGCCCCATGAAAGTATGTCAGCAGATGTCTTCAAAAGTAAATGTTGTGTCAGAGACAGGGGCCAGGAAAACTGTGTGATATTCATGGCCTTAGTGTTGGGTCTTTATGAGAGGATTTTGGCTGTTCATTGGAACTTTGTCTTTCTTCAGGGTTTGAAATATGAATGATTCAAGTTTTTGTATGGTGTACTATGTCACCGTAAGCATTTTAAACCTTATTATAGATTGTTTTTAGATATATACATTTGAGATAATTTTAGTTAAATATAAGCCAAATATTTCCATATCCATTGATTTGGTGACTGTCCTGAGTTTGTGCAAAGTTCAAAGTCAGGTATTTTTCTGGCAGCACATGCTATTGAAATGTTCATTCCACCTGTGAATACTGGTCACCAATTCAGCGAATGCTTCCTTGAGGAGAGTTCAGCAATTGTGCTGTGTTTTCACTTTCTCATTTACTTCCACATGTCTCTCTACTAACTTCCTTTGGCAAACATAAACCAGAAAACATTCATTTAAAAGGAGATGACTGAGGAAACAGTATCCTAAATGTAAAGAGAGTTAAAACAAGAGGGCGGATAACGTTTGTAAAAGTTGAGAGAATTAAGTCATTTAAGCCAGTGAGGAAAGCAGCTTTTAGATGGAATATTTAGAAAAAAAAAAAAATCATGGTTAGTATTTGCTTTATGTGCAATGTCTAATGAAGTTGTTGGCTAAATAAGATTATGAATTAAAGAAAGCTTTTTCTTGAAACTATATAAATTTTAAAAACTCACATTTTTAGAATTGTAATCCATGTGTCTTTTCCTTTTTTCAGAGAAAAGGTAATAGGCTCAGGTTACATGCTCAGGCTAAGATAAATTTTCTCAGCTTAGATGACAGAAACAATAACTTAAATTGTATTTAAAATGTTTTAACACTGTAGTTGTATCACTTTGTATTTCTGTTAAGCAGCGCATTTGAATTATTCTAAAATAAGTGGTTATTCCTGAATTTTCTTTATACAGCCGTTATTTTAGTTATAAAACTTTAAACTTTAGAAACAACAAATTTCCTTAAAATAATGACATTTTAGAAACATAATCTTTAAGAAGAATATGAATACAATTCTAAAGATTTAATGAAATAACAGAATTTTATTAAATGATAGCAACTTAAAAATAATTTCTAATTAAGTAGAATATGAATCATTGCTGTGTCTTTTCCAGTAAACAAGCATTTAAAATATTTTACAGTTTCACATTCTGTATAGGGCTTGCACAGTTGAGTTGAAGCACAGACTGAGAACTTCTAATGAGACAATTAGGGTTTTTTACCTTTTATTATGAAAGTACTTTCATTCCGAAAGTTCTCTCTTTGTGTTTTTAAAGGTACTGTAAAAAAAAAAAAAAAAAAAAAAGGAGAAAGAAAAAAACACTAAGGAACAATCGTTGTCTTCTATTAAGAACATTTAACAAAGGGACCTGAGGAAGTATTTGAGCTGAGATGTGATGGAGAAGGGCAAGGGGCAGTGAGTGGTTGGTGGACAGTGGGCCAGAGGAGAAAGGCGCTTTGGAGGACCCAAAGGCTGGTGGAAGGAACAATTGTGATAACACTGGAAAGCTCACAGTGGGCTTGGAGAAGGGCACATGTATGTCTTAGGGTATATGTGTATCAGATATGTCTGAGACTTGGCTGAGTGAGCTGGTGCCAAATTGAATGTCATGCATACTCTGTGATCTGAAGTTTTGTGAGCAGAAGCACGATCTGTTCTATCTTTTGCTATGTATCCCTGGTAGGAGTGTCTATTCCCTAATCCTGGACCTTCTGCTCATTCACCTGGGAGAAATGGATACCTGGTCTTGTTACTCTTGGCTAAGTAAGGGAGAATTACGTTTTGATAACCTTTTTTAATGATAGAAGAGAGAATGGAGGACATGCTTTAATTCTGACAATATGCCTTTATTGATGAGCGAATAAAGGTACTCATGTGGGGAAGTCCATCTAATGTTTTAGATTTTTTCCAGATGTCATTATAAGTAAAATTCTATTAATCTAGATGTCTTTAGTTCAGATTTGATACTAAAAATATACTGACTAAGCTAAATTAGGCATCTAGACACTGGGTGCTGGGCTAAGGTGAGTTTAGGGAAACAAGCCAGCACAAAGAGGACCTTGCTGAGGGTTACAACATTAGTTCTTTGGAACGCTGCAGCGATTTTTCAGCCTCAGGGAAAAGACTTTTCTTAAACAACTAGTGTCAGTGGACTGTGGTAGAACTGCTTAGACAAACTTGGAGAACAAATTTTTACGAATAAACTTTTCAAGAATGTTAAAAACATTTACTTAGAGATAATGGATATGCTTTCCTCACGTCATCATTGGTTTGTTTATAAAAGCAGGTCTTTACTTTTCAACATCGTTATATTCAAATATTCATTGTAACAAAAGTGCATTTCTTTACAATTATTCTGTAATTTGTAGTTAATTCAAACTTCCTTCTATCATTTAGACTGAATTACTGATGTTTTGGCAACTTCGCTGATTTAATAATTTTATCGTTGTTTATACATCATTTTTCTTCTCTGAACATTGAGCATGACTGTGAATCAGAGTGTAACATTCACAAATAATTATGTTCTTATGCTTTTTTTCTGTGGGAATAAAAATATTTATGGTTTAGGAACAAAGTGTATGTGCATGAATATATTTATCAATGAAAAGAACAAGCTGTTTACTTGTAATACATATTTATATATGTGGATTTGTAAAATTTAAACGAAACTATTTCCTTTAATACCCTTTTTTAACAAATAGGGTTTGTGGTCATTCTGGAGAATATACAAAAATAAAGTATTTATCTTGTTTGAAAGCAAAAAAAAATGTGATTTAGAAGGAGATACTTTTGCAGACATAGAGTTATAGATAAGCTAAAAAGTTGTTGACAGCTATTATAGTACGAGTTTTCTTTCGCCTAATCTAACGTCTTTTAAAACTTCTCATTTCCTAACTTGTTGTCTTATGAAAGTGTTTTCATAAAGATGCTGACTATTGGTGGGGTGTAATGGCTCACGCCTATAATCTCAGCATTTTGGGAGGCCGAGGCAGGTGGATCACTTGTGGTCAAGAGTTCGAGACCAGCCTGGCCAACGTGGTAAAACCTCATCTCTACTAAAAATACAAAAATTAGCCGGGCATGGTGGTGCATGTCTGTAGTCCCAGCCACTTGGGAGGCTGAGGCAGGAGAATCACTTGAACCTGGGATGGGGAGGTTGCAGTGAGCCGAGATCATGCCACAGCACTGCAGCCTGGGTGAAAGAATGAGACTCTGTCTCCAAAAAAAATTTAATAAAAATAAAGATGCTGACTATAGTGAACTCATTCCCCTCTTTTGTTTGGGAAGTATCTGGACACATTTGGTTAGGTCTGAGGGAGAGGCACGATAAGGGTCAGAATCGTGTGTGGTATTATTTTGGCTGTGTTGCTTGAGATATTGCTAAGGCTCCTTCCTGTTTGCATGTTCATGTATGGGTTTTGGTAATGGGGACCCCTGTCTCACATTCTTAGGAATGGCCCAATAATCTGTATAGATACCCTCTTCAGAAACCAGTAACAGCCTGTAAATCTTTTGAGATAGGGCTGAGCTTGCACACTTTAGCTGACTTAGCTTACCAGGCAATAGACACCATGTACATGGTGACTTCTCTAGTGTGCTCCGATGTTTTATTGACTGACCCTTAATGCCTTGATGTACATCATTGACCCTGGGAACTTGTAGCCTTCTGCTAGACTGGCACATCCTGGCATAACACATTTCTCTGTCTAGTAGTTTGAACATCACATGAAGCAAACCCTTACTAATTTGAATTTCACCAACATCTTTAATAAGAAATTAGCTCAGCAATTATTAATGTAAATGAAATTGAAAAGGGGAGTAAATTAAGATACAATTTTAGAAAAAATATTCAATATTTATTCAAGTACAAGCATGCACAAAGGACCATAAATTTTTAATCTGAGCTTAAATTTCTGCATGTCCTGAGTAGTTATTGATACTGGTGGGCTTGGGACGGTCTCTAAGACAAGACTATTTCTTTAACCATTGGTCTATAGTTCTAATTTATTTTTCCTAAATCAGGCTGACCTGATTCTTTGACTTTTTTAAAAAAATTGTAGAGAGATATTGACGTGGTGAATGATTGACCTTCAGAAATTACCAAGTGTGTGTCTGCTATAGCTAAAACAGAGGCTCTGTGTGTATATGTGTTTTCAGCAGCAAGTACTCTTGAGGTTGTTAGTATTTTAGTCCCCATGGATTCTTAATAGAAGGATGGCTGTTCCATTATCTTGTACAAATATTTGGCAATGGAATTCCCTTATTTACTAACTGTAAGTAACATAATATTTTTAAACCTCCAATCACCGGGAAAGGAAAAATAAACAACTGCCATAAAGATACTTAGCACAGAAAGTTTGCAGAGTTTAGTATTTGACAGGATAGAGACTGGAGTTTATCATTTATCATTTAGTGAATGTAGGCCTTTCATCAAACTTTTTGTTTATTAAAAGTATTGGCTATGTAGCATGTAGATAGGAGTCAAAAGGCACCATGTTTTAAAAATATTAAAATGTCCAGTAAAGTGTGTTATATTTTGAAATAACTTTTAGTTGGGGGGAGATGAATCACAGGTTGTATCAATTTTACAAGATAAGCAAATCTGACTTTTGTGGTTTTAAATCATGTTGAATGTTACTCATGAAAAAACCGTCTGAGTTTTTAGTTATAAATTCAGAGAACAGTAAGTTAAAATAACTTTTATGTTGTTTATACTTTTTACTTTTCTTTCAGTGTAGCAGATTCTTATTGAGGGGGATTCTGTGATACTTGGTGAATTATCTGCTTGCTTGCACACAAAAAAAACCTTATGTAAAAGTGTTCAAGGAAAACATTACAATTCTTTTAATGTAAAAATTCTTTTGCAGTGGCATTTATATAGAAAAACAGTTTGGAAAACAATTGCCTTTTCTATTTGTGGTGAGGTAGATACAGAGTTTTTTGTTTTCTTTAGATAATGTATATCATAGAGTCCTCTCTTTGTAAAGTTGAAAGGAATGAGGGTGTTAAGTTTTACATGTAGAGAGTATATTTTCTCTAAACATGCTCTTAGTAATTGAAAGTATCTTTTCCTATGTTTTTCAACTGCTTTTACCAAGTTTAATACTTTCCAAAATATAGGCACTCAATAAATTGATTGACTTTGTTAGAGAAGATTGCTTTTTTGTCTTCATTAGATGAATAAAAGTTAGAAATGAAAATTTTAAAAAGTCAAGTTTCCCCAAAGTGAAAATCATTGGAAATATTTAATACAAAAGCAAATATTGTCTTTTTAGAAAGTTTGTTAATACCCATTATTAACAGTAAAGAAGTAAAGACGTAAAAAGAAAAAATTTACTTTTTCATTCATTGAGAGGCAATAGAATACAAACAAACAAAATTCAGACTATCATTGAATGAAATTGACAATAACAGAATTCTAGGTTCTATGATTTTGTGATTGAACTGAACGAACATGGAAAATAGTTCAACTCACACTGATTTGAGCAAACAGTATGGATAGGTTTTTGTTTTTTTTTTGAAATGGAGTCTCGCTCTATCACCAGGCTAGAGTGCAATGGTACCATCTTGGCTCACTGCAACCTCCGCCTCCCAGGTTCAATCGATTCTCCTGCCTCAGCCTCTCGAGTTGCTGGGACTATAGGGGTGTGCCATCATGCCCAGCTAATTTTTTTTTTTTTTTTGCATTTTTAGTAGAGATGGGGTTTCACCATGTTGGCCAGGATGGTCTTGATCTCTTGACCTTGTGATCTGCCCACTTTGGCCTCCCAAATGTATAGTTTTAATGGGCAATATTGCAGAAGAAATTCATATTTCAAAGCAGGGTCTAGCCTGGGTATACATTTTTTATATTTTTGTTATACCATTTCTATTTTGAATTACTGAGGATACATTTAGGGAAAGGAAGACTGTACCTGAGCAGTTAGAATATTTCCAATCTCCACTCACCTCCTTTACCTCGCATAACCCTGAAGTATAATTGCACCACTTACAATTTTCTATGTAAAACATATTTAAAGTCCTTCAGCTACCAAGACTTTTCTCTTTGGTGTCAAGGCCTCCAGAGGGCTATTGTTTGTTTTAATTTTGTTTTTACTTTTATCAGTGTGCTCCAAGCACATAATTTAGAGAGCTAATTTAGTTCCAAAAAGCTTATGATGAAACATTGCAGTCATTTATCCTGGCATTTTCCACACCCATGAGGCAATTGCTTTCAATTTTGTTTGAGCAGATTCCTTTGGAATTTACTTCCGTATCTCTAAATCATATATTTATGTAACTCTTCTTTTAGTTTTTAGTTTTGGGCACTATCCATTGGCTTCCCCTTATGGAAGATGAAGAACTGGCACCCTTTCCTGCTGTGCCTCACCCACCATACTTCCTATCTCACCTCAACCCAGACATTTCATAATTTTGGTTAGATTGGTGTTTACATGAGTGTGACCATGTAAATGCTGTTTACAGCTGGGTCTGATAAAGTACTAGGTTTACATTTTCTTTCTGGAATGATCTGTTGTTTTTCTTGAAATTCATCAATTTCTTTGTTTTGTTGTTTTGTGTATTTATGTTTAATTCAACTCTGAATTACTTCCTTCTGGTGTAAGTTTTTTCTTTATATAGTCAAATATATTGGGCATTTCATCGAATATATATATATATATATCAGAACATTCTAGACCTGCTCCAGCCTAGGCCTCCTGAAGCTATTGCTTCAGGTAGTAAAAGGATATCATGGGATATCCCTTTACTACCGTTCTGGAATTTCCTTTGCCTCCCTTTTATTTTAGACCCTCTGTTTCCTGGATTCCAAGTCATTGTCCTTCTCTGTTTAGTCTCTCATTTTAGGAAGCATGTCTTCCAGTAATTTCCGGAAAAAGCATTCATAGGAAAATTTTTAAAGCCTATATGCCTGGAAATGGCTTTATAAACCCTCATGCATTAATTCTGATGGCTGTACAATTCCAGATTGGAAATAACTTTTTTCCTCAGAATTTTGAAGACACTCGTTTGCTGTCCTTTAGAAGTCCACTGCTAATTTGGTTTGATTTGAGTCTTGAACCTTTGTAGGAAAGGTATGTAAATTTGACCTTCAATTCTGTGTTTCTAGTACTGTACTTTGTCATCTACTATACCTGCTGTCCCCAATCCTGACTCTCTATTTTAGTGTCTCCACTTCCTCAAGCATCTCTATTGGTGAAGGTAGGGTAGTCACCCTGCTGCATAGGATGAGAGAGGGGCCTGTGTTTGGGGGAGGTCTAACTTCTTCCTAAGTGGGGTTTTCAACAAGTCCTTCTCTCTTTATCCCCACCTCAGGGCTGCCAATACCTGAGTATTTTGGGGACTCCGTGATGTGAATCAGGTTTTCCCACTATTGCTTTAGCATTCAGCTTTTGGGGGACTGCTGAGGAATTTGCCACTCTGCTCTCTGCTTTGCACTTTTCCAAAATATACTTGCTGTTATCTCTTTTTCCTTTTTTCAGTTTTCCCTGGGATTATGCAGTTTTCCCTGGGATTATGCCTTTTAAAATATCCCTTTACTATTGTTTTAGTGAAGTTTCAAGGGGAAGAAGGGATAAGGGCAAGTGTTGAATCTGCTTTCTTTAGGGGGAAATCCTAGGGGGTGGTGGTATCAGGGAAGCAGATCATTTTTATAAATAAATGTTTCTTTAAGAAAAGGGCCTTCCTTGAGATTTTACTATTTTGTCTGTGTACATATAGTGATGTTAAATAACTTTAAAAGTGGGGGGAATTAATCCTCTTTGTTTCTACGAGGGGATGCATTTACCCACACATCCCCAAGGGCTTAAATAGGAAGGTGGGTGTCAAGCCCTTCCTTTCCTCCTCAGATACTTCCAGTGGACAAAGGGACTAGTAACATGTCATTCTGGTCATTCTGTGACCAACCTCAGTTTGTTTAAGATAACAGACAAATTGATTTCACTACTTTTAAAAAAGAAGTTGTGTTCCCCACCCTCCACACCCATCCTGCTTTAGTTTTGTAATAAAGATGTTTTGGAAAATACCAAAAACAGTCTCACTGGACAGGGATTTTACTAAAAGTTCATGTCATAGCCTTTGGGATTAGACACCCTTTTGTGGGGGTGACACTGATAGTCTCAGGAGGATGAGCAATTTTATACACCGTCATTCTCATCCTCTAATCCTAATTACCTCTACTCAAGAAACATATATTAAGTGTCTGCTATGTGCCAGGTAGAGTGGTAAGTATTTAAAACACACTGATACCTCTTGTTCATGTGGAGTTTGTGTTCTAGTAGAAATTATGATATGGTTAATAATGGCTACTTTTTAGGAAGTGCTTACAAGGAAGCAGCACTTTACCTTATGGAATCTTTTGCACAGCATTGCAAGGTAATTTTAACATTCTCACTTTACAAATGAAGAAACTGAGGTGTAGTGGTTTGCCCAAGACTAGCCAATGGATATGTCAAGTAGCCAAAATCTGAAGCCAGGTCTATTTTTTATTTCAAAGCCTATGTTCTTCCATTTTTACAGCTTTTTTTTTTTTTAAGTCAACAAGACAATTTCACGTACATTGTTTTATTTAATCTTCTATTACCTAAAATATGAAGGCACTCATCTTTGAACCGAAAGTTATTTATTCTCAGCTTCAGTGACTTGGTGAAAAAAATCTCTGATTGATTACATCATTTAGGGGGTGTATCCTATTATCAGAATGCTGTGTTAGATGCAATTTTTTTTCATGAATGTAGGTTTAGGAATAAAACTTATTTGTGGAAAACAAGTTTTAGTTGGTCTATAGTAGGGGAAATTAGATATTTTCAGGAACTCTGTATTGAACAATTTTTCAAAGCAAGTAAAATACTTTATAATGGAAATAATGACATTCTAATTTCCCATATAGACACACATTTATTCATTCTTCATTCATTTAAAATGTTTAGATGGTAGTAACTTGAGATGGGGAGAGTCTGCACGTTATTCCCTTTCTTTCACTTGTAAATTGTGTTAAATGTTTAAAGGCATACTGGATTATTATAGCATAATCTACAGAAAAGACACTGGTAAAAGAGAGGCAATATTTAAAATAGAAATGTGTAGGCAGAAATCAAGGGGAGTCAAATGTTAATAAGACACTCAAGGTTCAAATTAGAGAAACCCAAGGGAATACTGAAATTGGTCTTAGTTGGTAAACTACTCATTATTTCCACTGACATTCCACCCAATACCTGCTGTGTGACAGGTGCTGCTTGGGCACTGGGGATAAAATAATGTTTAAGAACAAGATCCTTGCCAGCCAGAACTGATGATCTAGCAGTGGAGGGAGCACTGTGACTTATGAGTAGGACAGCCAAGTGGTTTATAAGCCAAAGTCTCTGAGACCTGAAATACAGCAGACAAGGAAACCCCGACACACAGAGGGAGGGAGAAAAGTGAGAAAATAAAGAATAGGAGGTAAAATACTGGAAAACAGTGATGAGGAAGACACTGTGGCACACTGCAGAGAATGAAGGCTATGTACGGAAAGAGAGGACAAGTCATTATGGATGGTGTTTCACAAACTAGTACAGAATAGCATTTTTTATAACGCTTTCCATTTTCCAAAGCATTTTCCCATGTATCAAATCTACGTTGATGGCAACTGTAAAAGGGGGTTCTTTTTTTTATCTTTATCAGGCAGATAAGCAAACTGACACAAGGACAGTTAAATGGTTTGCTAAAGGTCACACAATATGTTTCAGAGCTGGTTTTGAACTTAAATCTAACTCCAAATTCAGAGCACTTTTCATCATTCCAGAAAGAAAACCCACTAGGAGAAGAGAGGGTGAGTTGCTTTGCAAACTAGACTGGTACAGACCATCTCATCAAACCATATGCATTGGGAAAGCAAGAAACATGAGGAACACTTGCTGCCACCATCAGGGGAGATACATACCTGTTCCCAGTAATGTTGAAGACAATAGGTGTCTGTGTAGTGACATTGATAGGGATGTACACTTCATATCACAACACAGCTCAGCAGGAACTGTTGTTTAATTCTGGGCTAATTTTGTTTTATTGAAATTAAGATTAGCATCATGCTTTATAGATGCTTCAAATCTAGCTCTTAAACTAAATAGCAGCTGAGTGATTCTCAGTGCAATAATCAGTATGAGAATGACTTTATCAAGGACTCAGATCTCACTACAAAAGAAAATTTAGGGGTAGATGCAGATGGTCTCTTTATCCTGTATTAAGGATGAATTTGACATTTAATGTTTTCCTTGGAATTAGAAGACTAGATGTTTCAGGCTACAGCAATAACAACAAAGAAAAGACAGCTGACCGTGAAGCTGCAACATCATTTTAAAAATATTTTATTTGAATCAAATTTTAAATTTAATTTATTCCAAGAAAGTGTTATAATGTTGGTGAAACTTGTCTTTTCAACCTCAAAGTCAAACAAATCAGTGTTCCTGAGTGTTAGTGGAATAAAGAAAAAAAATTATTTTGTATGGGATAACTGGCATCATGTGAAACCATTGGAAATCTGAAAGATACAGTCATTTTGGAGTTTTCCCAGAGTTAAGGGTGTCTAGCTCATAGGAAACTTAGCCCCTCCCCACCAATCATGGGCTACATTTGCAAACTGATTAATGACTTCAGGAGGCAGAAAATGAGAGAATATTCAAGTACGATTTAAAAGGTTATAAAACCGGTCAAGAAATTTACATGGTTATCCTCAAGGCAAAGTCAGGGCATTTCCTGTTTTCTTTATAATCATCATCCATGTCCATGTTTTATTGATAAACATATCTTGCCTTTTCAGGGATGCTTTGGTTTTCATTGTAGCCAGATATCAAATATGAAACAAATTTAGGTTAAGAATCTGAGAGAGCAAAAAATGTCTCATAGTTTAATTTTTCTCTGGAGTCTCACTGTCTCTAAGGGTCTTTTCTTATCAAAGATTAGAAAAGTGATCCAGTATGTAGTTACTGAACATTTGGTCTCTTTGTAACATAAGATACAAATATAATATTTTTTATGTCTAGAAATCTCTTAAGTAAAGCATTAAAGAAAGGTCGGATAAAAATTGGCTTGAAGTACTATGCTCACGAAATTTCTTCTAATCATACTTTTAAGGCTGAAATCTTTAAAGTAAGGCCTAGAAATAACAATACTTTGAAATGATATCTGAGTATATTAAAGCTGACCATGAGTACTGTGTATGCCAAAAATAAAAGTAGCTTACAAAATGAGAGCCCCTTAACAAAATACTACTTTATCCTTTGAACCAACACTTATTTTGAAGCTGTGTTATTGTCTGAGAGATTATGCAGTTATATATTCTTTATTTTTTATATGAAAGAAATATGAAGGAAGCAGATTAAAACTAATAGTAATGATTTATATTTTTAAATCATAGGAGGTATGTTATGGTAGTAAAAATCAGCCCCATTTTCTATATCTTATACTCCACTCCCCCTTTAATTAGCAAATATTATGAACAAAGAAACTTTAAGTTTGAATGCTAATGGCTCACAATCCTAATTCAGTCCACTTTTTCCATTTTCTTGCCTTCATTCTACTTGTGCAATCTTTTATTAGATTCATCACACCTTGCTTTTCTACAGGTCATTTTTTCACAAAATTGCCAGAATTATGTTTTTATAATGTACATTAGATCACGCCACCTGCTAATGGATTTGCATTACCCATAGAATAAAATCCAAAATCCTTTCCATGGCTCAGTATGATCTGTTTCTTGGCACATCATAACGTCTACTTGCATACCCTGTACCCCATCCCACTCTTTCTGTGTGCCAGTTACCATTGAGTTTTTAACTAGCTAGCTCACCATGTAAGGCCACATCACACTTGGTATTTCCTCTTCCTGGATTGCTTTTTTCTGAAGTCTTAACAGCATTGCTTCTTTCTTGTCTGTGCTGACTCATTTTAAAGATCACCTTTATCAAAAGACCTTCCCTGATCACCCAGTCCAAGGTAGCTCCCAGTCCTACTCACTATCATACCTTTCTGCTTTGTTTGCATTTATTCTTTTACTTAACAAATACTCGTTGAACACCTATTATGTGATGAGGAATGCAAGAATGTACCTGCCCTTAGTGGAGCTTTCAGTCCAGTGAAGGAGGATATTCACAAATCGTCACTACCTGGTACTCCCACCCTGACCTCCCACTGTAAATAGAATGGAATATTCATAATTGCAAAGAAGTTTTATTCCTGCTAAAATTAGTAGGATGATTTTCAGAGAGCTCGTTCTTTCTCATATTTTTGCTGCTTGCCTCTGTAAAATTACCACCACAACTGGGCAAGGTATGACACAGGAACACAGCTACAGTGATCCAGTCCTCTCAAATTCATTATGCACATTCTTGTGGAAGTCACATTATCTGCTGTTTGTGTTAATTTTCTTGTTTGTAAAATGAGGTAGCCTTATCTGTTTCACAGGATTCTTGAGTGAATTAATTGTGAAAGTACTTGATAAACAGCACTATCCAAAAGTTGCTGTTTTTTTCTAATCATAATAATGGTTTTCAATTCCACCCTCGGCTATGTGGGCTTCAAATAATCTACACTTTTTTTTTGAGACAGGTTCTCTCTCTGTCCCCGAGGCTGAAGTGCTGTGACATGATCATTGCTCACTACAGCCTCAATCTCCTGGGCTCAAGTGATCCTCCCACCTCAGCCTCCCAAAGTGTTAGGATTACAAACACATACCACCATGCCTGGCTAATTTTCTTTTCTTCTTCTTTTTTTCTTTTTGTAGATATGGGGTCTCATTATATTTTCCAGGCTGGTCTCGAATTCCTGGACTCAAGTGACCCTCCCACCTCCCAAAACCCAAACGTTGAGATTACAGGCCTGAGCCACCACGCTTAGCCAAATCTACATTTCTGATACTTAGATAAACATTTTTATGTTAATCAAATAAAATTAGATTTTTTATCTTCCCACAGAGCTGTTTACCCCTGACAATTTATCTGCTTTGGTGAAATACATCATTCTCCTCCATTCTAAATTCAATGAGTCTAATGCCTTGTCAATTTTCTTTTCCTGTGCCTTTTAAAATGATTCTTTTCTGCCTATTTTCAAGGCTACCATCTAAGTTCAGCTGCTCGCTTCATGCCTCCTCTTGTGCTGCCTTCTAAGGCATCTTCACCATCCCCCTCAGCCTTCCTTTTTCCAAATCATTGAGAACTTTGCCTTTATTTTATCAGTTTATAATGTCATTCCCCTATTCAGAACCTTTGAAAGATGCTACCTTAATGCCTACATGATGGATTTAAAATTCACTAGTGTATTATTTAAAGTTCACCATAATCTGGCTTCAGTGCATCTTTCACCTTTGATCTCTTCTCATTCCTCTTTCTGACCACCCCACTCCAGCTAGATGGATCTGTTTCCTGTTCCCCGATTCTTTGCTTGACTTTGCAGCTGACTCTGCACACTTGTTCATGGCTTTTATTTGCCTGGTATTCTCTCTTCTCTTCTTTGTTCCAATCCTCTTCACCTTTTGGAACACTGCATATTTCTCTATTTCATAGGAATCT
The DNA here is from genome assembly GCF_000001405.40 of Homo sapiens. Lineage (NCBI taxonomy): Eukaryota > Metazoa > Chordata > Mammalia > Primates > Hominidae > Homo > Homo sapiens. The sequence continues at coordinate 120,816,422 of NC_000007.14, read as the reverse complement.
TGAATTTTTATCTCCATTTCTGTTTTTGACACCATATTCAACTTTGTGTTTTTTTTTGCCTGCGCATGCCTTATCAGAATTTTGATATTCTTTTATATATCCCAAGTGCCTTCCCCATAATAGAAACTTACTATAGAAAGTGTCAACAGTAGTTGAGATTTTGTTCTATGTTGTGCTTTTTCCAAGAATGCAAAGGAAACCCCCCAACCCCCATTGCCTAGAAGAATGAGTTAAAATCTGCTCATGGTGCAGAGCATTGAACTTGTTGACTTCACCTCGTCCACTTTGAAAGGAATTAGGTCCCCTTTCTTGGAGAACTTGATTAAAGTTTATCAAACTAGAACATGTAAATTCTTATTTATCCTAATGAAACTAGTGGCATTTATAAAAGATTTTTCTCAGGAGACGGCTAATAAATTAGGGCTCACTGAGATGAATATTAAATGTTATCTGCAGATATTTCTAAATTTGCTGATAATTTCCCCATCTGCTTCTGAGGGGCTTCATGAAAACTTGCCTCTGTTTTCTTGGTCACTAGGTAAACATAATACCAAGTCTGTCTTTGAGGAGCCTATTTTATTCTGATACTATAACAGCATACTTTTCTGTTTTTCTACAGTACTTTGGAAGTTTGCTTGTCATTTTCTGTGTAGAACTGGCTTGTGGCGTTTGGACATATGAACAGGAACTTATGGTGAGTTCAAAATAGATATAATCACAATCTAAAACAACAGTTCAGCCTTTTAAATTAGATACTTGTGTTAGTTCATTTTCACTCCGCTATGAAAGAACTGCCCAAGACTGGGTAATTTGTAAATTAACTCACAGTTCAGCATGGCTGGGGAGGCCTCAGGAAACTTACAATCATGGCAGAAGGTGAAGAGGAAGCAAGACACCTTCTTCACATGGTGGGAGGAAGGAGAAGTGTTGATCGAAGGGGGAAGAGCCCCTTATAAAACCATCAGATCTCTTGGGAACTCACCCACTATCAAAAGAACAGCGTGAGGGAAACTGCCCCATGATTCAATTACCTCCACCTAGTCTGTCCCTTGATATGTGGGGATAGGGGGATTACGACTCAAGATGAGATTTGGGTGGGGACACAAAGCCTAACCATATCAATACTTTAGAGTAATTTAGGTACATGATTATTAATTTGAATGTTTATGCTACATGATAACAGTTAATAATCCCAATACTTCTGAAAACTAGCATTTTCTTTTCTGTGTCTAAAGCACATTTCCAAACCATAATTTGTAAAATTTTATTTGGTATACTCTGTATATGTCTTTAATTCCACAGGCTGCTTAAACATGGGTATCATAGACTAAATATAGTATATGTTCTAAAATAATTTTACCAATTTTGAAGTTAATAATAGAAAAGATTCACATTCACAAATGATTGGTTTGAAAATTCTTGAACACCTACATAAAGTCTTATAAAATGCTGACTGCAATAGTGAACAGATGACTAGGAAGCCTACATCTCCTGTTTGCGACAGGCAGAATCATTTTCCACCTTAAGTAAGAGGTGTATTTGAAGAGTTGCTGTGTGTTTGGCACGATCTAGAAACACTCTCACAGTTCCACACTTGGCTACTTGAAAATAGCTATTCATCATTTTTTTATCTTTTATTTCAGCAGTTGAAATGGTTGGGACAACTTTTATAGCTAGCATAAACGAGCATAACATTTCTCAGTCTTAAGATTTTTACTAGTCATGTTTGGCTTACCACTTGCACTTCACCCTTGCACTCACTGGGTATTATTACTTATTAACATTTGCTTACTTCATTGAGGGAAATTAGTGCATTTACTGCTAGTGATGTGATGTCGAACACTTTTGCATGTCTGTGAATGCTGGTTGTTTTCATGGAGGGAGGCCAGACTTTTTCCCCACAAACTTTGTAGAGTAATTCTGTTTTAGTAAAATGGTGATTTTCCATATGTAGTTCTTGGGCCATCTGCAGTAGGAGCCACCCAGGATGATTCTTAAAAATATGCGTTATTGGGCTCCAGCCCAGATGTGCTCAATCAGAATGGAGGGGAAGGCAGGGAGGAACGGGCAAGGACTGGGCATTTGCATCTGTGACAAGTTCCCTGGTGCATCTTCAACATTTTAAAGTGTAGTAAGTCTCCAGAAGAGAGAAAGATTATATTGTCTTTGTTTCAGAGCGAAGAGAGTCATTTGGCAATTGAACAGTAAAATAGAAGTCATTTCTGGTGCTGATGTAGTCTTCAAAGATTCTTTGGTGAATCTACTATTGTGCTTCGAGACTGTTTTGAATACTAAGTAGTAACCACAGACTAGTGGCTACTCTGCACACTCCAATTTACATGTCAGTGGTGCTTTGGCACACTCACACATATGTATCTCTGTGAAGACACTCATGCTTCCAATGTACAACGGCACTAAGTAAGTAGAGAGAGTTCCTGAAAAGGTGAAAAGTTAGCTCAGATTCTAACTAGTTTAATACAAAGTTAAGAGCTTTTAACAACATGAAATCTCCCATTAATATAGGAATTTGTTTGCTGTCTTTGAAAATCATATTTTCTCCCTGTCTCTGGTAACTTTATTAGGGGAGTGATAAAGTACTTGACTCCAGGGAATCGGTTTCTGTGGTTTACTGGTCAAGAGATTGTCTCTCTTATTTTTTTCTGTTTTCAAATGATAAATGTGTCTCCTTGACATTTAAGCCATAGAGAGTACATCTTATCATTAGTTCTGGATCCTGTTACCTCAGCTTTTTATTGTCTGCTGTTTGGTAATTAAAAGGGTTTTAGCAATTTGTTTACTTTCTTGTGGATTTTAAACATGGGCATTAGAGTATATATGCCATACCAATATTTGGTAAATCTTCTAAGATACAGCAAGTTCAAAATGAATTAACTTAACATGTTTGAAATGAAATGTTTTGATTTTAAAGTAATTCTAAGAAATATGAGGAAATTGAAATGAATGTATTCTTGTTTAGACACTTTCTTCTATTCTGTTAAGAGGCCATCTGCAAATAGCTCCTGAGTCCTGCAGTGCTAAATAGGTGCCCACTGCCATTCCAGTTGAGGGCACACATCACTGTTTTGCTTTCATAAATCTTTCCCATTACATCACCAGGATGGAGCAAGGGCTGTTTAAAAGTGAAGTGTAAAAGCAGTTCTTTAAAAAAAGTTTGTCAGGTTTTTTATTGCTTTTGCACTAATAGCAGTGTGAATGAAAAGTACCATTAAAGTTTATTATCTGCCAAATTTTGCAGAACCCAGCCTTTACATAGAATGGGCTTTGTGCTTTTAGCTGTTCCATGCAAGGAACCAATCAACCTGTGTGTTACTTTATGACCAGACCTCAGTATTTGTGCCAGAACCTCAATGGTCTCCTCTGTTTTCTTCCACATTTGGTCTCAGATTGATAGTGGTCACAATAAGGAAACAACCTGTATTTATTTTAGAAGGTAAAGTTTAAAAAAATTGATATATTAACTAAATCAAGTAACTTGACATCAGATAATGTGTTTTCTCATTATTTCTGGTTTTTTTTGTACTGCTCATCTTCTATTCATTATTCCTTCTCTAGATAAAATCTGTCAGTGATAAGAGTTTCAGATTGTACATTTCTAGATAATTTATTTCACTTCCATTTATTTTATGCCCAAAAGGTTATGAGATAATATTAATTTATGGTGAGTAGCTTGAACTTTGACTAGTTCCCTGAACCTTGTTGAAGGCATATGAACACAAAGTACACCCGTTTAGCCCATTATTTGGGGGAAAAAAATGTGTGCCCAAGTGTTTGGATGTTTTATTGTGTATTTCCAAGTAATCAAAAAAAAAGTTAACAAAGAAAAAAACGAAGATTTTCTGTGGTCAGGAATTTTGAAACTGCTTCTATCGATATGACTATCTTAAAAAATAAGATTTCATAATAATCCTAATCTCTAGTTCTGTTGGAGCCTTATTTGCTCATGTCTCCCTTTTTTCCTTTTTGGTTCTCTATCTTTGTGTTATTTGTTGAATGTCAAGCTTGCTTTACTAAGCCCAGTCTATATTACTTCATAGATCAGATGGGAATGTCCATCCAGTTTCCCAGAGTTGCCTTAATACTGTGTGTGTAATGAGATTTGCATTTGTATACCTCAATTTCTCATGGCCCTGCAGTAAAATCATAGCTTGATATACTGACCAGATTTCTGGCCAGTAATGACTGTTGTATTGTATTGTATTACAACAATGACTGTGGTACTGTATACCTAAAGCTCTGTCATGATTAAATACTCTGTAATAGACATGGTGCTAGGTGATTGGAGAATAGAAGCACAAAAATGCTTTACTTTAAAAACTGTTCTTTCTTTTTAAATTATTTTTAATTTTTTTATTTCAATAGGTTTTTGGGGAACAGGTGGTAGTTGATTACATTAATAAGTTCTTTAGTGGTGATTTCTGAGATTTTCGTGCATCCATCACCTGAGCAGTGTACACTGTACCCAATGTGTAGTCTTTTATCCCTCGTCCCCCTCCCATCCTTCCTCCCGAGTCCCCAAAGTCCATTGTATTATTCTTATGGCTTTGTGTCTTATAGCTTAGCTCCCACATACGAGTGAGAAAATACGATGCTTAGTTTTCCATTCCTGAGTTACTTCACTTAGAATATTGGTCTGCAATTCCATCCAGGTTGCTGTGAATGCCATTATTTTTTCCTTTTTATGGCTGAATAGTATTCCATGGTATATATATTTTCTTTTCTTTTTTTTTTTTTTGAGACCGAGTCTCGCTCTGTCACCCAGGCTGGAGTGCAGTGGCGTGATCTCGGCTCACTGCAACCTTCGCCCTCCGGGTTCACACCATTCTCCTGCCTCAGCCTCCCAAGTAGCTGGGACTACAGGCACCCGCCACTACACCGGCTAATTTTTTTTTGTATTTTTAGTAGAGACGGGGTTTCACTGTGTTAGCCAGGATGGTCTCGATCTCCTGACCTCGTGATCCGCCCGTCTTGGCCTCCCAAAGTGCTGGGATTACAGGTGTGAGCCACCATGCCCAGCTGATATATACATTTTCTTTATCCACTCATTGATTGATGGGCTTGGGCTGGTTCCACATTTTTACAATTGCGAAATGTGCTGCTATAAACATGAGTGTGCAAGTATCTTTTTCATATAATGACTTCTTTTCCTCTGGGTAGATAACTAGTAGTGGGATTGCTGGATCAAATGGTAGATCCACTTTTAGTTCTTTAAGGAATCTCCACACTGTTTTCCATAGTGGTTGTGCTAGTTTACATTCCCACCAACAGTGTAAAAGTGGAGAACTGTTCTTTCTAAAATTCTAACATACCTCTTAATTACAACTTTTGAAAAAGTGTTGATAAAATTATCCCAGAGTGAGGCTTGAGTTGAGCCAAATTCTTTCCCTTCTTAATTCTTTCCTCTTTGTTTTAGTACTATTATCTGCAGTTGCTTCAAAGAGCAACAACTTCATAGCATTTTGAAATCAAATGAAGGACATTTCTCTGCAGAGGTTATTTGTTATGTGAAAGTCTTCAGTATGTCTGTGGGATGTACAGTTAATTACTTGTTGGTGATTTCCTTGAGCATTAAAGTGATTTCTCATTTTTTTCCTTAGTACAAAATACCTCTTCATTTATCACAAAAATCTATACATTGAGATTGTCCAATAACTACATTGAATACTCTGAGCTAAATTTAGGCCATGAGCAAATATAAATTTAAAATAGTATTTGTCAATTAGAAGACATTCCGAGTATGCGTGTGTACGTGTGTGTGTGTGTGTGTGTGTGTGTGTGTGAATCTGTGTCTGTGTGTGAGCTACAGCTGTTGATATTTTGCTTTTTATCACCAGGTTCCAGTACAATGGTCAGATATGGTCACTTTGAAAGCCAGGATGACAAATTATGGATTACCTAGATATCGGTGGCTTACTCATGCTTGGAATTTTTTTCAGAGAGAGGTAAGTGCTACAATTTCTGAGGTAGAGAGAGTGAAGTAAGTGGTGCACCTTCAAACCAGATGTTTAAAGCTTTAGCTTTGGTAATTTCCTCTGTGCTGAAAAATTAAGCCTGTGATTCAGTAACCTCTGGTGCAATTATTTCTTGAAAAATATCTTAGGTAACTTCATGGCCTGCTTTTCTTCCCATGTATACCATTTCCCCTTTATTTCACATGGTTCACATATATTTAAGAACATCTGAAAAGCCATTTTGCTAAATTATTGTGAAGTTTTCTTTTTATGAGAGTTAACTTGATAAATATCCAAGTTCCAGACAAATAGATTTTTTCATGACTTTTAGAGCTCTCAATATTTTAAACATAATTTTAGTTTTAAAAAAAATGATTGTTCTCATTTGGGACTTTGAAGTCAGTATATCATTAATGGCATGATCTGTTCAGAAAGACCTTGGTTAAAATCATAGCTGTGCTGCTTGCTATTAAGTGAGCTTCTATAATTTACATAACTCCCTTAAGTCCTGGTTTTCTCACCTTTAAAATAGTGATAATAAAAATACCTCTCTCTTCAGGTTGTTAAGAAGATTAAATGATGCGATTTCATTTAGCCTATGGTTATTAACAATAACATTACAAAGTATAGGTGCGTTTAGCATTTCTTACCTAACCGCCATGTAGCACTGCACCCAACCATCTTCTCAAGTGGGGACTGTATTCAGATGTTTAAAATTTGGTGACTTGGAGTTAACCATTGATCTTGCTTCAAACCAAGCTCTTCTTCCAAGCAGTTTCCTTGTGATTGAAGTGACATTCCCAGATGGATAAGTATTTCAGTTTCCTTTAATTTATCTTAGTGCTAGGCCGCAAAGCATTTGAGAATTAGTGTCTTACGTGATAGATAGCAAGATCTCTGCTCACTTACTTTGTCCTGGATATGGGCAGAGGTTCAAGTCCAGGACAATCTCCAAATCTGGCTGTGTACAACTGTTGAGATGGTAAAAATTATCATTGTAACACAGATTTCCTGTTTATTTAAGTGCTTCCTAACTTTGTTTATTTATTGTATATTTGTGCTAAAAACAACACAAAGAGAAAATAAGCATTAGGAAATTTATAGTAAGTTATGTCAGCTACTGTCCTGAGTAGATGCTGCCCAGAGCTCGTTATTTTCTGGAATTTGTGATGTAGACAGTGATAATCCAGGTTAAAAAACAAAGTGAGTTTTTTTCTGATGGAAGCTGCACCTAGATGGACAATGTACAAGTACTGCAAATGATAGCACACTTATTTTTAGATTTGTTACATGGTAAGTTTCCTCCTCCATTATCATAAGACTATTTTATGTAAATGGAGATGGTGAAGACTTCTGAGAACCTGAGGTTTTTAAAATCCCTTATATCCCTTATATTAGTTTGCAATGACTGCTTGCGGATGGCCATCTTCTCCCTGTGTCTTCACTATGTCTTCCATATATATATTAAATATATATATATATTTAAATACCCTCTCCTAATAAGTACATCAGTCATACTGGATTAGGGCCCACCCTAATGACCTTATTTTAACTCAACAATCTCTATAAACTCTATCTCCAAATACAGTCACATTCTAAGGTACTGGGAGGTAGAATTTCAACATATGCATTTGGGTGGGGGACCCAATTCTAGAATAACCTGTATTGCAGAAAGCAACTTTATCAGGTGCCAGTCTCCTTTGCTCCTCATTCAGTGCAATTCTATGCACATACCGCAACTTAGCGGACTCTCACTTAAGCCCCAGTGACGTTTGTTTAATACGTTTTTAGAATACTAACTTTAAAAAATGTGTTTATTTATTTATTTTAACATAGTAGTTGGAGCATAGGCTTTGGAATAGACTGTGCCACACTCTGGCCTGTAACTTTAGCAAGCTACTTGACTGTCAAAGGCCTCAGTTTACTCATATGTAAAATGGATGGTATTTTCTAGAGCTTGACACATTAGCAAGAGTAGTACTATCTCACAATATGATATTAAAGTAGACAGGAAAATGACAAGGAGATGTAGACCACAGTAATATGTTGGTATGATGTTGGGCTTACTTAAAGGAGTTTTCAGAAAAAGTTTCAGAATAAATTCATTATCTTCTGTTGAAGAAGGACAATTATATACAAATGCTTTCTAAAATAAAAGTAAGTTCAGCACTGAGCATCGTATACTTATAATGAGAAAGAACATTATATACTTATATTTGAGAAAGTCATTTATGTAGAATATCTTATTTCCTGACAAAGCCATATAAATAGGCTGTTCCTTGCTGGATGGAGCTAGAGAGTTCCAAGAACTGTTCTGTCATCAACACAGAAAGGACTCATGTCATTAGCAAAGGAGACAAATGGATTTTCTTTGAGTGCAAGAATTTAAAAAGATGGACTTGGAAAGTTAACCTTTCCTTGTTTATGATTTTTATGAAGTGAAGTCTTTATACTACATATATTATTTAAGGATATTTAATGTCTTATGTAAAATATGTGACATCAAATTATTGACTAAATTTGTGATGTTTATAGTATACTCATGACTTTGAGAGCAAGTTTAAAAAGGAAAAATATATATAAAGTATTTTTTAAGTTTCTCAAAATTTCAGTATTACCCATAGCTTTCAGTAATTCGTCATTTATAATACTCTTAAGATGATTTTTTTTTCTGTTTAAAAATCAGACATTTAGGCCAGTGTAACAACGCAAAATACTTTGTGGTATTTTCATTGTTTCCTTTTGCATGAGAAGTTCGGAATTCTTCAAAGTTAATTTTAGTTAAATTTTGAAATGGTGGGGGATTGTGATATTTTATGATGCAATGTCAAACCTGGACATAGATTGATCTGTTGGACTGCATAATTTGCATAGCCAGTCACTCTTGGCAAAGTTCTCAGTGACTGCCCATAGTCCTTGTTTCTGGCTAGAGGGGAAAGAGCAACCTCCTTCTCCACTCAAGGACAGAAAATTATTCATCATAGTTAATTGTTCTGAATCTAATCTATAGAGGTCCTTAAGCAGTGTTTCCAAACCTTGATCAGAGACAGTTTTTGCTAATCTTTGGAGAAATAAGATAAAAAAGTAAAAATGTCAGTATAGTTTTTCTTAAATCCAATTTTATTCAAGCTAAAGGCACACACACCATTTCTTCTGAGATTATGGTAATAGAATATGAACATTTATTTCAAGAATCTTACTCAGTTGAATAAACACCAGTTGGCCAGACCTATGTTTATTTCTTAAAGTTTTTGGATATTTTACTAGCTAAGGAATCGATGTCTGCTAACTTTTTGTGATGTGGGCTTTGGTCAACACATGTTTTTACAAAGATTACAGAAACTTTTAATATAATATTTGAATATGTTGGGCAATAGAAAAATTTGATTAACTGGCCTTTGGTGGTTAGAGGTTTAATGATTAAAGTGTCACCTACTTGGGTTTGTTAGTGTGTATGTTCAATCTGTTGCTATGTATAGTCACTTGTAGATGAGCTTACAGTTAGGGAGTGAGTCTCAGTCATGCCTGATTTGTTTTTATGTGTTATGGGCATTATTACTCAGAATACTTCCATTATGCAATCGTTAGCCATGGTGTTCCTTTACTACATTTCTATCATCAACATAGACTGTACATATATCATTAGGTGATGACAGATATAGCTCTGGGTACAAAAATTTTAAAAAACTGATGTTTAATCTCCTATAAGTTAAGAAAATATTTTTGTGGTTTCTGAGGCTGACTAGTGATTTTTTTTGCAGTTTAAGTGCTGTGGAGTAGTATATTTCACTGACTGGTTGGAAATGACAGAGATGGACTGGCCCCCAGATTCCTGCTGTGTTAGAGAATTCCCAGGATGTTCCAAACAGGCCCACCAGGAAGATCTCAGTGACCTTTATCAAGAGGTGAGGCCATATATGGTTAATTTATTATGGATAAATGTTTTCTTAGGAATAACTTTAAAGAATCAACAATATGCCAATGAAATTTTCCTTCTCTGTCTAAATGTAAAAGGCCTTAAAATTTTTCTCTAATATGGGGAGAAGCAGAAGAAAGCTAAAAAACAATATAAAAATCTAAACATTAATCACATTTTAATAAAGGGAAGTGGGAAAGACCAGGTTTTGTAATTAATTGGATTTTGAACTGTTTTGTTTTGAATCAAGTTCCTACTGCTTGGGGATCCTTTGAAACAGACACAGGCAGAGTATGTAGCTAACACTGGATGTGCAAGAAGCAGAGGGTTTGGAGTTCCTGGACAGAATACGTATTTTAAGAGCCTCCACATAGACCACCAACACATAGAAGGGGAAAAAAAAGAACCTCTCCAAAGAAAATGCTACCATGCTACTCTCCAGCTCCCCCTGCTGGCTAATGATTAGTGATGTCAGTTTTAGTTCACTGATTAAGTTTTATGCTCAGTGGCGGTAAAGTCAATCCTCATGTGGCCAGGAAATTTACATACTTGTGTTTTCTGGGAGAATTGATCAGAATAATCAATTACTCCATTTTAGCAGAAGTTTTCCTATTCATTCATTTTTACTGATTATTTTCAGACTTTGTTAGCAGTAAAATTCTATTTTCAGATTAAAATCTAAGACTGCACTGTCCTCTACAGCAGCCAAATAGCTACGTGTGGCCATTTGAATTAAAATTAATTAAAATTAAAATATCTGTTCCTCTGTTGCACTAGCTACATCTCAAGTGCTCAACTGCCACTTGTGACTAGTGGCCCCTGTCCTGGACAATGCAGATGTAAGACATTTCTATCATCACATAAAGTTTTGTTAGGCAGTCTTTATCTAGAATGGAAATGTAAAATGTGAATCAGATAGAAAGGAAACTGCTTAGGCTAAGGGGTTGGGATCATTCCCCACATACACCTCTTGTCAAGTACCTGGTATCACAAGGCACTGCTCACACTATTCATAATATAACTCATGTATATATAGTAGGGCTATAAAGAATGAAAATTTAAAACAAAGCAACAGGATTTATAACACCTGCATTTTGATATATTTCAAGGTGGTTATCTTAGGAGGTTATGCTTTTTATTCCTAAGAATACTACCATTCAAAACATCTTTTAGACTCTCTGCCAAAGGCAGTTGTTGAGATGGGCAGTCAATTTATATTGTAAATTAATTAATTTGGATGTTGTAATTAATTAAAAGAATGCTGTACTACCTATACAAGTGATCCATTATATTCATAGATATGAGTAACTCTGGGCTGTTACTCATATCTCAGAAGACAAGAATATGTCACCATTTAAGGATATCCAAAATAAAGTGCTTTGGGCTCTGAAGGCATGCCCCAAAGGAGAGTGCCAAGTATTTTTTAGGAGTTTAAAAATTGTTATAATTTCCTAGAGCTGCCATAACAAAGTCCCACAAACTGAGTGGCTCTGACAACGTAAATTTATTGTCACAGTGTTCTGGAGGCTAACTCCAAGATTAAGGTGTCAGCAGGGTTGATTCCTTCTGAGGGCCATGAGGAGAAATCTATTTCATGCTTCTCCCCTAGCTTCTGGTGGTGTGCTGACAATTTTCCTGGTTCCTCGTCTTTTAGAAAAATCACCCTGATCTGTTTCATCTTCACATGGTGTTTTCCTTGTCTGTGTGTCTCCAAATTTTCCCATTTTATAAGAACAACAGTCATATTGGACAAGGGGCCCACTGTCCTCCAGTCGGACCTCATCTTAGTTACATCTGCAACAATCCTATGTTCCAATAAGATCACATTCTGAGGTACTAAGCTCTTTAACATACGAATTTTGGGAGGACATAATCCAACCAATCACAAGAATTATTCAAACAGTTGAATAATTCAGGCTTTTTATTTTAAAAGATGATCAGAATACTTTTTGTCATGCTCACACTGCTGAGAAGCATTATGTTTGGATGTTATTGTTTTATACATACTTTGTTTAGAAACATTTGGCTTTGAATGAAAAGGAATATACAAAATATAGTTTATTGAACAGAAAGTTGTTGTAGGTTAGTGTCTGTAGGTTCTTCAGTGATTATGGCACTGAACCTAGTTCTTTTGTTTTGGGTGAAAGCTGAATATTGGCTAGTGTCTGTAGTAGGAATCATCAACTAATAAATGCGGCAAACTCCTGCTTATTCCATAAAACGGAAAACAGTACTAATATTTCTGAGGTAGTATTACATATAAACATATTATGGATATTCAAATATACTATAACTTACTATTAGACATTAAAAGAACAGATGGCTACAGTATAGTTAGAAGTATAGATGTGTAAATTGAAACCTACCAAATTTCCTAGTGTGAATTGTCCATTTGTTAGTTTTTACTGGTAGCGAGTCAATATGGACAATTATTGGGCCACAACATTATGGTATAATTTGTATCTGCTTTAGTGATTAATACTGATGATATGATTATAACTACTATTGATCATGAGATCAACTTACCGGATCTTCCCATAAAGTCTGAATATGGACTAATTCTCTTCAGTTTTGCTTTATTTAGCTGAAGACTGTTCCACATTAAACATTTAATATAATTTTATTGTTGTAAAACTGCAATTCATCCTCACTGCTTTTCTTAGATTGTTTTCACTAATAATACTACTTTATAAAGGGATGCTTTACTTTTAGGATATCTATAATTGCTTGCTCCATGAATTTTGAAATTGAAACAAGCCATACTATTGTGCATGTGCAAGTTGATAGCCCAGATTATTTTGAAATTTGTTCATATTTTTATCTGAAGAATTTTAATAGCAAGCTGGCATTGTCAGCCATGAGATGTTCTTTAGACACAGACTTCCAGCTAAGATGGGGGCTTATTATATCAGAGTAACCTGCTTTTGCATTTTACAACTAATAACATATGCTGATATTGGTAATTATACAGTATGCAATTATATGTATAGTTGATTTACAAAAGAGGATCATTTAGTAGTTTTATGGCATAAGTACAATTAAATCCATAATTAAAAATAAGACATAATTCTACTTTGCCCTGGAGAACATATGTTTCCTAATTACGGTGTGTCCAGAGATCATTCAGTAGGAAGATGAGGGTTCCAAAAGGAGAAATAAGTGAGGAACAGCTGGAGGTATTTGGGATGTTTATTCAGAAGTTGAGAGCACTGAAGGGAGATAGTTGAGATGTGTTCAAATATTTCAAAGTTCATAATTCAGAACAGGAACTAGACTTACACGTTGTTGCTCCAAGGGCCAGAAGTTACAGGAAGGAAATTTTGAATCAATAGAAGGAAGACCTTGCTCATCAAAATCCATCCAATTGTGAGACAGGTTATCTTGTAAAATAATGAGTGTCTCATCACTAAAAATATTGAAGTCAAGGTCAGATAACCATGTCATTGGTAGTGTAGAATGGGTTTTTAAATTAAGAATGAATCCAGACTAGATGAACCGCAAGGTCTCTCTTATCTTTCATATTCTGTAAGCTCAGAGATAAAAACTGGCTTTTTTCCTGCAATCATTCTTCAGTAGTCTGAAGTCAAGGAAATAAATCATTCTCAACCATCTGGTAGCCTGCATGGTCCCTGACCCAATAATATTTTATGACGCATTTGGAAACCTGTGAAAAATGACAGCAGAAATATAGCGACAATTGCACATTTAGAAACATTCAGGAGCCTTGTTAGGTTTGGCACACAGCTCTTCAAATATCCATAATAAGCTACAAACTTGTATTAAAGTATAGGTTTAAAAATCTATAATGAAAATACCTCTGACCCTCAGTTTGGATCTATCACATTCACTCATTCAAAATGATGATACGATAACCAATATTCATTCAGAATATTTTGTGATTGCCTACTGGGTTCCATTTGCTCTTCTAAATGCTAGGGATATAGTAGAGAGTGTTGCAGACAAAAATCTCTTCTCCTATGTAATTTATATTCTAGTTACGGATACATACGTTTAACAAGAAAAAAAAACAGCAATAGAAAATAATTTCAGGTGGTGGTAAGCACTTTGAAGACTCTGAACAGGGTAATGTGCTGGAGCTTTGTTGGTGAGGGAGTTACTTAAGATAGATTGTTAGGAATAGGCCCTCTTAGGAGGTGATATGTGAACTGAGACCAGTTGACAAAAAGTAAGCACCCATGCTGGGGAACAGTGTTTTGGGCCGAGGAAACTGCAAGTATAAAGGCCCACCCTTGGGTGGTCTGGGCCCGTGATTACTGACAGCCCACTCCCCTGTTCTTTGGAATCACCTGTGTAACCACACTCTAAATGCGAGGTGTAAGACTTGGCCTTGGCAAAATATCAGACTCAGAGTTTAAGTTGGCAAAGCACAAGCCTATGGTATCTCTTGTCTTCTCTCACCTGCTGAGTTTTTCATCATATCAGTTACTGAAGTGCAGTGTCTTGACTTGATCTGGAGAAGAGAAGCATAAATAAAAGACATAAAAGACAGCAGTTAGAAAATAAGTCTTTATAGAGCTGGGACACTCAACCTCTTGCCCATGGACCAGGGCTCTTCTTGGATGGACTTCAAGGAAAAAATGATACTGCAAAAATTGTTTTCAATATTTTATATCCATTTTTTTTCCAGGAAATAAGAGCCATAGCTTTCCTCAACTCTTCTTGGGGTTCCATATGTAAGAGAATAAGAAAACACAGTTGTAAAGAATAGTTGCAGCACTTACTGTCTCAGATAGGAAACTTAGCATAAGTAGCCCCTCAAAAAGGCTGAAATGCCATTTTACTCCTCTGTGTGCTACCTCAAGAAAAATAAATGGAAGTAAACAGGCTCACAATAGGCCCTGCTTCAAATGGACTGACTCAAAATGTAAAACAAAGAGGGACAGAACGTCAACTAAAATATACCTCCAGAGACACATTTCTTTGTCTAGTAGTTAGAAGAAAGACTACTGTTCAAATATATTGGCTGCTTCTTCAGAAAAGTAGTATTCCCACAGATTTATGTAAGGGCTGGACACAGACATGTCCTCCACACTTGTGTGCCTTTGGGACACTTTTCCTTTAGACCCTCAGACTTTCTGTGTTCCATGTGTTGGGTTACAGTTTTAAATATTCTTAATAATTTCCACTTTGACAAACCCATTTATGCCTCTTTAGAAGTTTATTTATTTCTTCTCCCAATGCTAGAAAACATTGACAAATAGAGGAAATTGGGAACAACAGGGGGTGTGATTTTGAAGGGATGTGACGTTTTTCTCCGAGTCTTGGCTTACAGGAAAAAGAACCCCATGATGACAAATGTGTATGGGTTACCAGTGCTCACAGAAGGTAAACAGACTTGTAGAGGTGCTCCTACAGGTTAAAAGTGAGGGTAGCTCATGTTGCTAAAGAAAAAAAAAATCATTTAATGACACTTGTTAAAGACAAGATAAGGAGCCGGTTACAGTGATTCACGCCTGTATTCCCAACACTTTGGGAGGCTGGGGCGGGTGGATCACTTGTGGTCAGGAGTTCTAGACCAGCCCAACATGATGAAGCCCTAACTCTACTAAAAATACAAAAATTAGCTGGACGCTGTGGTGCATGTGTGTAGTCCCAGCTACTTGGGAGGCTGAGGCAGGAGAATCACTTAAACCTGGGAGGTGAAGGAGAATCACTTAAACCTGGGAGGTGAACCTAGGCGGTGAAGGTTGCAGTGAGCCTAGATTGTGCCACTGCACTCCAGCCTGGGCAACAGAGTGAGACTCTGTCTCAAAAAAAAAAAACAAAAAAAAACGATAAGGAAAACTTTATTTCAGCAGGGATTATTGGGATAGGAATAAGGCCACTGCAGTGTGGTCTTGCAGTGGGGGAGACAGATTAGGCTCAATTCAGAATACAACACGGGCAAGTGGGAATTTATAGTCAAGGAACAGGTTGGGGGTCAGAGGATGGAAAATCATTAAGAGGAAACATAGTGGTGAGGGATGGGATTCTATCAAACCTTACCTAACAAGATTCGTACTGAAGGCAGGCCAGGGTGATCAGACGTCAGCTGGACGATGGGTGGATAAGGAAGAAGCCAGTTAGATATCAAGGATGATCAAGTATGAAGAATGGGGAATCTCACCATTCTTACCAGCTTACCAAGATTCTTGCTAAAATTGGACAATGCAGAGACAAACACCAAGTCCAAACGTCAAGGTTCGGTTGAAAAAGAACTCAGTGGAGCCTGAACAGAGTTTGGTCATGGAGAGAAACTGTATCAGTGGTAAACCATGTGGGATGGGCTGTTTGAGGGTTTTATTCTCTCCGTTGAGTGTTGTATGATGTTTGAGTTCATGAATTCACACTCTGAGCCCTCATCCTGATTAGAAATACTGCTCTCACCTGTCTCCTCTATACTCTGCTGTCCTTGGCAAATGATATTTGTTTTATAACCAATATTATTTTTTCTGGGCAATATTTTAGTTCTCAACACTTTTTGTTAACACTCCTTTCCTGCTAACATCTTTGACCAATTAGAAAGATGAGCCAATACAGTATGTCTGTTTGTTTTGACTGATAGAAATAACTTTTGCTTTGTAATTTTCATATACAACATTCTATTATAATAAATATTTAATATAATAAATATATTAAATATTTATTAATATTTAATTAATAGTAATATATCATATTAATTATTAAATTATTAAATATTAATATAATTAATATATTAAAATAAATATAATAAATATTTAATATATTTATTATATATAATTTAATTAAATTATATGTATAAATTAAATTATATATATAAATAAATGAAATATAATAAATATTTAATATAATATAATAATTATATAATTAAATTATATATATTTAATTATATATTTTTATATATTTAATTATATATAAGTATATATAATAATTATATTTAATTATATATATAATTATATATAATTATATTATTACATATAATTATATAAATAATTATATTTAATTATATATATAATTATATATAATTATATATAATTAATTATATATAATTAATTAATTAAAAATAATTATATATAATTATAAAAATAATTATGTAATTAAATTATATATAAATTAAATTATATATAAATAAATTAAATATTATAATAAATATTTAATATAATAAATATATTAAAAATAAATGTTTCCTCATCACTCCTGAGCCGTAAGTGGAGATCTGACAGAGTGTTGTGGGAATAAAAGGCCATGGTTGGGAGTGGACTTGGCCTTCTGGCAAGCTCCACCTAGTTATAAGGTCAACTATTTTTTTTCCCAGACAACCCAGCTCTCTGGTTATTAGTAGGATTCTACTTCAGACCAAGTAAATTGCCACACTTGAAACAAAAAATTAGGGGCAAGTATTAAAAGAGAAGGCTAAGGCAGGGAGTGAGAAGTCATAGCTTAGACCTCCAGCTAGGTACTGGCTAGTTACACCAACATAGAAGTTGGTCAAGTCTGCATAGAACAGATTCCCCACATCAGTGGCTAAAAGAAAAGGTAGGAATTAGAAAATATTTAAGTGGGGCACCAAAAAAAGGAGGTTGATACAGAGCAGGCAATCCTTAATTGCTATTGTCTTTATGATTGAGATAACCAATGGGAACACATAGTAGTGGTAGTAACTCTTTGGGCTTCTAATCTTAAAGAATAAGTAGCTGTAAGCCACGTGCAGAAAATATTAGGGTGGCACAGGGTCGAAAAAGGGCATTCCCAGCCAAGAAATAATGGGGCAAAGTTAGAGCTGGAAGCAAGAGAGCACAGCTGGAGCACAGGGTGTGAGAAGGGCCACATTTACAGGGATACCGAAGGCAGGGATTGGATTCTGAAGACTCCTGTATGTCCTGATAATATGTGGGCATTTTTTACTGAAGTCTGCGAATAGTTGCCAAATAAAAAGGGAAACATATTCACAAATTTGAGGCATTACTATAAAAAGACGGTTTAGGACAATGTAGTCATAGGATTCTGATTTTTTAATAATGAAACTTTGTTCTCAGATAAACATCCGTAAACCCTCCTGCTCAGATAGTCAACGGTAGGCAGTTTGCAGTTTGCAGGTTCAGTGGTTATTTAGATGGAATATCCCCAAGAATTTCCATTCTCAGGGTTCTTTTATATAAAGTCAAAGATGCTCCCTCCTGTCTCTCTACTGACTTCATTATCTCCTCTGCAAGTAGCTGCTGATGAGATCTGGTTGACTGTGACTTGCGGTGGTATCTGTTTTATCATTCAAAGCCCTGCAGGATCAATTTGGGCTTGGTAGGGGGGAAGATCCCTTTTTATCTTCAGGCTTTGCTTGATCGAATCAGGACTTGAACTATTTTGCCAGTTTTGTTTCAGGTATACAAATGCATTCTTCTTTTCTTTCACTCTGTTTCTCGACATCATTCAATTGTGAGTTTCCTGTTCTCTATTCTGTCTATTCAATCAAACAATGTTTCCTTTTGGACTCTATTAGTAGAGACTTGCAAATTTTGCCCTTAAAATTTATGGATGTGAAAGCCATGATAATATTTTGACCTGAAAAAGTACCTTACGAAATAACAATTTTAGATTTAAGCTTAAACATCATGCTATTGGCATTGTAGAGAATGAGTTGAGGTGGGGAAATTAAGCTGAAGATTGGGTCTTAAGGCAGGGAAATTAAGGTAGGAAACTAACAGATAAATCATGTGATGGTAGGGGCTGGAATTCAGGTTGTGGCATTTAATATGGAGAGGAAGGAATGAATGTGAAAGATATGTCAGAGGCAGAATGAACAGGACTGGGTTATAAATTGGCTGTGGGGAGTGAACGACAGGGAAGTTGCAAGCATTCTTGACTCTGATTTGGACTCTGACAGTGAGGAAGCCATTTACTGAAGGGAGTGGTTAGAGTTGAGTAGTTCCATTTTGGAAATACTGGATTTAAGGTTCTTGTCAGGTATTCCATGTGCAGAAACCCAGGAGGCAATATGAGCTTCGGAGGCAGAACTCAGCTAGAGATATGGATTTTGTGTGTGTACTAATTAAAGAAAGTGCTAACTCAAAATACAATGGCTTGGATAAGCTGGGAGTTTATCTCTCTTTCATAGACCAATGACCTAGTCTATGCTGCCAGGCAGCTCTGCTGCACAAGTTCATCCAGGGGCCAGAATGATGAGACAACTTTGCCTTTTAAATATCTTGTCTTCCAAAGTTGGTCCTGTTTTTCTCCAGTTCCAGTCATGGAGAGAAAGAGAATGAGAAAGAGAACTCCCAATGCATGAAGGCCTACACTTAACACCACTGTTCAGATTTTATTGGCAGGAACTCACATGGCTTTGCTTAGCTGCAAGGGAGGCTGGGAAATGTGGTCAGGCTAGGAAGCTATATTCTTTTTTTTGAGATGAAATCTGGCTCTGTCGCCCAGGCTGGAGTGCAGGGGCGCCATCTCGGCTCACTGCAAGCTCCGCCTCTCAGGTTCACGCCATTCTCCTGCCTCAGCCTCCTGAGCAGCTGGGACTACAGGCGCCTGCCACCACACCTGGCTAATTTTTTTTGTATTTTTAGTAGAGACGGGGTTTCACCATGTTAGCCAGGATGGTCTCTGTCTCCTGACCTCGTGATCCGCCTGCCTCGGCCTCCCAAAGTGCTGGGATTACAGGCGTGAGCTACCGTGCCCAGCCAGAAGCTATGTTCTTATATAAACACTAATTACTGTGGATCAAGTGGAGGACAGACTGGGTGGGTGAGTGGGTGGATGGACTAAGTTTACACGGGTGTCATCAGTGTACATGAGGCAATGAAGGTATGGAGGGAAATAAGACCACACAAGGAAATGATGCAATGTATGCAGCCAGGGACAGAACTCTGTGACCTGCCAACACTTAAGGGCAGAGATACTAAAATTTTGAGATGGTGACTACATGGTAAAGAGCAAGCTGAGTGTAGAGATTTTTTTCTTCTACATCCCAATTCCCTTATCTCTACTAAGATATTAATAGTACCCACATCACTGTAATATACAAAGATAAATTGAGATACGACATGAGAAACTGTTAGTATACCACTTACCACAGTGGTAGCCGATGACAACAATAACAACAATTTTTTAAGGTATTTACTGAAGTAAGTAGAAAATTTATTGATCTATGATTAGATTTTTGACTAACTAAATTGTCCTTAGTTTTGCTTGAAATGACAGTGAAGTGTGTATTTTCTGGTTATGTGCGTTTGTGCTGCTGAAGGTAGATTTTCAGGTCAAAGTTTTTGGGACTTGGTCCAGTTTTTCACTTTGCTTGTTTTAACACCCTCTAACTTCTTATAGATGCAAATTTAAGGTGCCCAAATGGGCCCCCAAGAGAGAAAATATTTGCAGGAGGGGTTTGTGAATAAACTCTGCTCCTTCAGGCTGCTGGAACTGGCCTCACTAGTGAGCAAGAAGCCTTCCAGGTTTTCTGACTCTAGCCTCTTTGTAAATACATTTTTTTTGGTAAAAATGAAAAATGATCAGTAAATGCAGTCTTTTACATTTCGTTATTCTACCTATGTAATAGGGATATTGCGAGGGTTAAATGAGATATGAGGACCTTTCGTATATCAAGAAATAATAAGATGACTTTTTTCTACTGCATTTTCTATGCACAGATTTAGTTATCTTTCTGTTCTCCTAAGAGAGAGCTAAAGAACAGAAAGTCTTGTAGTGAATTTTATTGCTTGCTGCTTTTTTTAAAGGAAGCATTATTTCCCTGCAGAGCTTAAGATTATCAGTGGAGAACTTTTGGTCTAACCTGTTTAAATCTTGTGAGCTCATTAACTGCTGTCATTTACTTCAATTCTAGAAGAAAGAGGGTTGAAGACTGTATATTTTCATCTGATAATCAATATAGCTATTTCAAATGAGAGTTATGTTTATTTACAAAAATATTAATATTGGCATGTATTGGCACCTAGATTTTATTTACACTTTATCTTCATAAGCACATTAAAAGGCTGCCCGACTTTTTGATGTGGCCTGTGAATATTGAGTACTGAAAAGCCATGGGTGTTCTTCCAATTTTAGAAACTCATTTTGGAGATAGATCAGAGAATAATTTCAAGTGTATAATTTCCTCAAGTGAAATGAGGCATCCTGACATGGCTTCAAATAGATTCCAGGAAATGTAGGGGATTTGTGATTTTTCTCTGATAAAGGTAGTGTTATTATTTACAGCTAATAGTTGACCAGAATTTTAATATTGTAGCAAGTAAAGTAGGTTAGCCAACATGTCTTATTCATACCTTTGCATTATCTGAAGTTATTAACATGGGGCTAACCTAGCTTTATTTAGGAAGAAAACATTTTCAAGTAAAATTAATTCAGTGTTTTATTTTGAGAAAAGCAAATAAGTACACTTCAGTTCTTTCCTATTCTGAATAAAATACTCTTTATGAAATGAAATGCAGTTTTGAATTTTATCATTTGCCTCCTCTTTTTACTCTACAGAAATGTTTGTTTATGCAGCTAGATATCTATAAATAGTATAATAAATACATATAAACACATCTATGTTTTTTATCTAGACTTAATGTCTTACTTTTCAAGACAAGTTTACACTGAAAAATGTAAACCTTATGCATAATTATTTGACTGGCTCAAAATATGCTCAGGGTTATGTTCAGGTTGAATTACTTCAATAAGAGTGATTCAGAACAGACAGAAAACCCTGGAGCTATTTCAATGAAGAATTTACAGAGTGACTGAGGAGGTCAATCATCTTATACAGACAAATCTGGAAAAATACTGTCCTCTCAAGAAGAGAGCTATTCTTTGGAAAGTTGGTTCTTAAATTTAAGTACTTGTGAAAATGATTCACTGATATTCAGCATGACACCTGTGTTAGGCAATTCTTCCATTGCTAGAAATAAATACTTGAGACTGGGTAATTTATAAGAAAATAAGTTCTGCAGGCTGTACAGGAAAGGCAAGTGATAATGGTATCTGCCCCTGGGAAGGCCTCAAGGAGCTTTGACACATGGCAAAAAGCAAAGCGGCAGCAGGCACATCACATGGCCAAAGCAGGAACCGGAGAGAGAGATGGGGGGTGGTGCTACACACTTTTAAAGAAACAGATCTTGGGAGAACTCCGTTATCACCAAGAGGATGGCCATTCATGAGGAAACTACCCCCATGATCTAAACACCTCCCACCAGGCCTTACTTCCAACACTGTGGATTACATTTCAACATGAGACTTGGGTGGGGACAAATGTACTAATTATATCAACGCCTGTCTGCTGCAAGTTTCTACATGCCTAATGAGTCAGCAAAGAAACATTTAATTGCATGTACTATAGAGAAATTTGTGCTTTTACTTATATAATTACACTCTGTATCTTTTAAAATTGAATTTATTAAAGGATATAGGGCAGCATACAACAAAAATACAGTAAATTAATAATAAAATATAAACAGAATTGGAAAGTCAAAGTTAAAGGAAAGAGTAAGCAGAGGTGCTTAACATGAAGACAGACAGTTACTGTGGTTGAGTGTCCTGTTTGCCTCTCAGCTTTCTGACAGCTCAGGTGAAAAGGAGGTACAATCATCACCATAATTCTAATGTTAGGAGAGCAAACATTCTAACCTCAAAGGGAGCAAAATTCTAAATATTTTATCAAGTGGGATTTTATATCTACTACTTTATCGAGAAAAAATATCTTCAATATCATTTTTCACAAATTTTATAGAGCAGTTTCTTATGGTGTTTTCCAATACATGTCATTAAATACACCTTGGTGGAAAATAATATGCAAGGGCATAAGTTAATATATTGCAAGTTGGCATATTTTGGTGACCTGGTTTGACGGATGGACATACAGTACTGAGATGTCAACTGATTTCATTTCTTTTAGACAACTTGTAGTTGACACCTCTTTTGGAGATACTCTTGATAGAGAAGCATAAAATATATAGTTTAATGAATTCTGATGACAAATTTGAGGACTGAAGTTCTGCCTTGTTTGAGGAGTTACCTGTATGCTTTTTAAACAAAATGAGGAAATGATCACCTGATATTTTGCTATATAAATGGAGGAGTCTAACTAGGTAGGACCTTTGCTTGGAACAAAGCATACTTGCCTACCTGAGTGTGAAGATAATCTTAAGGGACCAGTGATCTGGAAGGACACCAAGTCCCAACTATGTGATGTGTCAATACAATTGCATGTCTACATTTCTGGGCAACCGAAAAAGCTGTTTTGTCATTGGAATCCAAAGTCATTTTCAATAACCTTGATTGTCTTAATATGTCATTGCATTTTATAGTTTTTTAAAGTTACAAATCAATGTCATTTTCAAAGAAACATTGACAGAATCAACACAGTCTAGAAAAGGATCAGCAGAATGATTAAGTGTACATATTTGGAAAACTTGAAAACTAGGACTATTTAGCCTAGAGAGGAGAATAATTAAAGAGAAAGGGATAATTGATTCTTCAGCTATGACTGTCTACCTTATGGAAAAGGGAAGGGTTGAGAGCAGAGTTAGAACCAGTGCATCCTTACAAAGAAGGCAGGTTCCAACAAGGGAGTGCTTGTTAAAAATTAGTGTTGTTCCGGTGTGGACAGGGCTGTCTAGTGAGGCGAGGAGTCCCTCTCATTAGAACTGCAATTTCATTCATTGTTTTTTTATTCCCCTGTGAGTCATACTTTGTTTCTTTGCATGTCTTATAACTGTTTTTCTTTAAGAGAACAGGACATTTTAAATAATATAATGTGACAGCTCTGAAAATCAGACTTTTCCACCTCTCCAGCGTTTGCTGTGTTTATTTGTCGGTTCGATGGCATTTTCTAAACTAATTCTGTAAAGGCTGTATTCTTTGTCACATGTGGTCATTGAAGTTTCTACTCAGTTAGCTTAGTGGTCAGTTAATGAATGAACAGAGATTTCCTTAGATGCCTAGAACCAGTGAGTCTCCCGGCCTTTACCAAGGGTGCACAGAGCTTCAAGGTCAGCCAGAGGAGAGATCTCAGGATTTTGCAGGTCTTTCCTGGGACTATGCACAGCCCCTGAACCTAAGCACAGCCCTATTCATGTGTGTAACTTTCGAGATCTCCACGAATATGTCAGAGCTTGTCAAGCCCCCATGTGCACAACTGTTACCAACTGCCTCAGGCAGCCTCAGAGATCAATAGTTACCTCTAACTGTCGTTGGTAACCTCCTGGGGAGGGAGGGACCGGAGGCTGTTCCCTAGTCGAGCTTCAAGTTCAGGTCAAATAAAGACATCCTCCTGAGTGGGGTCTTCCAGGCCAGACCAGCCATACAGTAGCAATCCTCCGGGAGAGGCGCCTTGAAGGAGCTGCAACCCCATTCTGCGCCCTCTGGTGGCGGCTAGGCTGCCAGTTCTCACCAGGATTGCAGGCTCTTGGCTTTCTAGTCAGCTGAGGGGAGCAGGGATGGGAATAGGGCAAATGATAATTCCATAGCACTTGCTGTTCCTAAGAGATTCAGCAGCTTTTCGTGAATAAACGCTCCTCAGATTGCCGCAAGACTTTGGTTAATTTCCAGAATTCTAGAAAAATTGAGGTTAACAGGTTTTTTACCAGTGTTTTCATTGATTATATGAGTAGAGATTCTTTGGAGGTCCTTCCCATGCCAGTTTTGCTATGTCACTCTACAAGTGCTTTTTTGCCATGTTTTTAAAAGATAATAAGTTGAATTCATGACTTCCAAGGACCCCTCCCATTCTAGAGTGTTCAGTATTAATAGGTCTCATTCCCCAGCCATCCTAGGTGATAGAATTTACTGTACCATTTTAAAAATAAATGTGATTGTTTAAGATAAACTGAAATAGACTTTAAACAGTGCCAAGATATGAAACATGATAAACTGTACTTAATTATCAACCTCTGCCTTGTTTTATTCACAGATTTGAAAAGGAAACATTACTTTTCTGGCACAGTTTCTTAGCTTAAAATGAATTAGTCTAAAGAGGTAGGAGATCTTAAGCCAATATAGATACAATTTAAGCCCCAGAGACTATTGAAAGGGTAAAAATCAAGTAATTGACTGACAGCATTTCACAGAGTTGAATCATCGGCATATATATTTATTGAATGGCTTACTTTTTTGAATAACTAATACATTGTTATTAACTATAGTCACCACGTTGTATTGTAAACCTCTTGAACTTATTCCTCCTAACTGAAATTTTGTATCCTTGAATGGTTTACCTCTAAATCTTTTTTTTTTTTGAGACAAGGTCTCCCTCTGTTGCCCAGGCTGGAGTCCAGTGGGGCGATCTCAGCTCACTGCAACCTCTGCCTCCCGGGTTCAAGCAATTCTCATGTCTCAGCCTCCCGAGTAGCTGGGATTTCAGGCATGCACCACCATGCCCAGCTAATTTTTGTATTTTTAGTAGAGACAGTGTTTCACCATGATGGCCAGACTGGTCTCAAACTCTAAACCTCAAGTGATCTGCCCGCCTTGGCCTCCCAACGTGCTGGGATTACAGGCATGAGCCCCCACACCCAGCCAGTTTGCCTCTAATTCTGAAATCTATTATAATTATTATTACTAAAATATTAATATATTCATGCTAATTATTCACTAAAAGTCCATTTTTGTACTAAGTACCGAGCACATAGGTAAGGAATCAGCTAAACATGATCCAAGGCTGTTTTATATCAATTTCTTCAAAGATAGATGTGAGAAAATAGTGCCACATTATTTGGTAATGATGTTAAATGAAGTTGCCATGCAAATTAATTTTCCAGATGTCTGAAGCCAAACCTTTTTAACTTAACAAATTTTGAGGTGACTCTTCCCGAACTATGTAAAATATTTCTCTGCTTCATCAGGAAGCTAATGATCTAATGTCTCAGGAGCAAGTAATCATTTTGGACAGTTATCTCATTGTCCTGTAAAACAGTAGCAGCCACCTTGCTCTGTGCAGAAGTACTCACTGGTGACATAATGCTGTGCTTCTGGTGTTTTCATACTCTTTCATGAAGTGTTGTGCCTCGTACTTTTCCATTAATATCTGCTAATCATAGATTTTCCATCTATTTTTAATTTGATCTTTCTACTTTCTAATCTGTGAACTGACACATCAGACAAGAGATTGTACCTACTGGGTTCTTAACATGTATGAGGCACTATTCTAAGTGTTAAAATGTGTCTGTGCATTTAATCCTCCCAACATCTCAGACAGGTAAGCACTATTATCATCTATGTTTTTAGACAAGAAAACTGAAGCACAGAGAGATTAAGTAACTTGCCCCAAATGACATAGCAGTTCATGATCTTAACCATTATACTATACCGTTGAAGTGGCATCGTTCCTCTGGGGTAATACCCAAGGTTAGTTGTCTTAGGCCAAGGAAATCAAGGATGCGAACACACAAGGAGTGAGGTTAAGAGTGGAGGTTTAATAGGCACAAGAAAGAGAAGAACTCTCTCCTGCAGAGAGGGTTCCCGAGTGGGTTTTCCGGTCCACAGCAAAATGCAATAGGTTTTAAAGATGAGCTTGAGGAGGCGGAGTCTGATTTACACAGGGCACGAAAGATTGGTCAGATCAGGTGTACCATTCGCATAGTGCATGAAAATCTGGCCACCCCCCACCCTAATCTTTTATTGTGCAGATGGTCCTCTACTTGGCTGGCACCATATTACCTGTTTCTTTACTGTATACACAAAGACAAGGGACGATGGACCCTCCATGTTGAACATACGTGGCCCCCAGGTAGCCCTTTTCTGTTGGCACAGCTGCTGGCATTCACCTGTGCAAGCTTCCAGCTTGCTTGTCTATGTCTACAGCTCAATTTTTCAGGCAGTTCTATTAATGATTTTGGAGCTGCTTTTTGTTAAAAGGGAAATTCCACCGAGGACTCTTTTACCCTCACTATCTGCCTAAATAATTTCTATCTCCTGTATCACTGTGTCATATAAAGATGCTTATTAAAACAACACATAAACCTAAGAGTGAATGAGCTCTTATAGAATACTTGAGTGGAACTCTTTGTAAAATACTTAAATTTTGGTGAGTTGTCTTTGTGATGTCTATGTTAGTTTCCCACAGAATGTATGTCTATGTCTGTGTTTGTGCAAATTTCTTGTGTTTGTATCAAATAGGTTAAGGCGGCCAGAGAAGCGACTTTACCAAACCGGTGTTAAGTATTATTAAATCGTAAACATTGTGTGCCAGATCTGGCCTAATGCCTTTTTATGTGTTTGAAGTTTCACTGAAACCCAGCCACATTCATTCATTCACTTACCATCTATGGCTGCTTTCTTGTGACAGTGGCAGGGATGAGTAGTTGCCATAGAGACCATATGGCCCACAGAGCCCAAAATATTTACTATCTGTCTCTCTAAAAAAAGAAAACAAGTTTGTCAACCCCTGCTTTAGATGTTGGGTTTTATGTCAGTGGGCCTCAATTTCAGGTTTTGAGAAAGACAAAAGAAGGGGTTGGCTCATTGGAATCAGCTGGACAGGCTTTTCAAAAGCTACACACCTCCCTCTCTCCTTCTTCTCATCAGCTTTCCCTGAGAACCACTGTCTTAAACTTTATGATCCCAGTTAGTCTGATTTCATTAACTGATACAGATTGTTTGCTTTCATTAACTATTTTTGGCCTTCTGTAACATATCTAAAGTAATGTTGACCATGTATTTCTTTTACAGGGTTGTGGGAAGAAAATGTATTCCTTTTTGAGAGGAACCAAACAACTGCAGGTGCTGAGGTTTCTGGGAATCTCCATTGGGGTGACACAAATCCTGGCCATGATTCTCACCATTACTCTGCTCTGGGCTCTGTATTATGATAGAAGGGAGCCGGGGACAGACCAAATGATGTCCTTGAAGAATGACAACTCTCAGCACCTGTCATGTCCCTCAGTAGAACTGTTGAAACCAAGCCTGTCAAGAATCTTTGAACACACATCCATGGCAAACAGCTTTAATACACACTTTGAGATGGAGGAGTTATAAAAAGAAATGTCACAGAAGAAAACCACAAACTTGTTTTACTGGACTTGTGAATTTTTGAGTACATACTATGTGTTTCAGAAATATGTAGAAATAAAAATGTTGCCATAAAATAACACCTAAGCATATACTATTCTATGCTTTAAAATGAGGATGGAAAAGTTTCATGTCATAAGTCACCACCTGGACAATAATTGATGCCCTTAAAATGCTGAAGACAGATGTCATACCCACTGTGTAGCCTGTGTATGACTTTTACTGAACACAGTTATGTTTTGAGGCAGCATGGTTTGATTAGCATTTCCGCATCCATGCAAACGAGTCACATATGGTGGGACTGGAGCCATAGTAAAGGTTGATTTACTTCTACCAACTAGTATATAAAGTACTAATTAAATGCTAACATAGGAAGTTAGAAAATACTAATAACTTTTATTACTCAGCGATCTATTCTTCTGATGCTAAATAAATTATATATCAGAAAACTTTCAATATTGGTGACTACCTAAATGTGATTTTTGCTGGTTACTAAAATATTCTTACCACTTAAAAGAGCAAGCTAACACATTGTCTTAAGCTGATCAGGGATTTTTTGTATATAAGTCTGTGTTAAATCTGTATAATTCAGTCGATTTCAGTTCTGATAATGTTAAGAATAACCATTATGAAAAGGAAAATTTGTCCTGTATAGCATCATTATTTTTAGCCTTTCCTGTTAATAAAGCTTTACTATTCTGTCCTGGGCTTATATTACACATATAACTGTTATTTAAATACTTAACCACTAATTTTGAAAATTACCAGTGTGATACATAGGAATCATTATTCAGAATGTAGTCTGGTCTTTAGGAAGTATTAATAAGAAAATTTGCACATAACTTAGTTGATTCAGAAAGGACTTGTATGCTGTTTTTCTCCCAAATGAAGACTCTTTTTGACACTAAACACTTTTTAAAAAGCTTATCTTTGCCTTCTCCAAACAAGAAGCAATAGTCTCCAAGTCAATATAAATTCTACAGAAAATAGTGTTCTTTTTCTCCAGAAAAATGCTTGTGAGAATCATTAAAACATGTGACAATTTAGAGATTCTTTGTTTTATTTCACTGATTAATATACTGTGGCAAATTACACAGATTATTAAATTTTTTTACAAGAGTATAGTATATTTATTTGAAATGGGAAAAGTGCATTTTACTGTATTTTGTGTATTTTGTTTATTTCTCAGAATATGGAAAGAAAATTAAAATGTGTCAATAAATATTTTCTAGAGAGTAATGATTTGTCTCTGCCTACTTTTTAATACATTACAAGCACTTATGCCACTTGAGAAGATTGTCAAGGGGAGAAAAACATGAGAAAGAATGATTGCATAAAGTATTAATATTGATTTCCAAACTCCGGAATGGACCTATAAGAATATGTATTTTCACTGAGAAGAGTCAAAAAGATGCCCATTTTTCACTTTTGCTTTTTACCTAAATGTTAAATAATATACTTGTTTGAGATAATATAAAAATATGCCCATTTGTGTTCATCTTTTCAATGTTTGCATATCACAGTTTTATAACTTATTAATTTTTAAGAGACTATGAGTCTCTTAGTTAATTTCAAATTCTCTTCAAATGAGTTAAGGAATATAATCCTTGAAATTGACTGCCATGTTTAAAATCTTCCATAGATTTTAATGAAAACTGAGTACATTACTTGTTCAATCAGAGCCAAAAGCATCCCTTTTAATAACTTCCTCAATACCCCAAATCCCTGTAATTTCACCTAAAATACCCACGTAACTGAGATAGCTATGTATGAGTTTTGTTTGAATTATTTGTATAATGGTCAAATTTAGCTGCTGCTTTTTTTGATATGTCTTACAGTCACAGCAAGAGCAAGCATATAATATGTTGGGCTCAGTAAAATAAAAAGTCCTCAAATTATAAAAGTTGCTTTCTACATTTTTAGACCTCAGATATTTTGATGTATTACCTGATACACTACCCTCTAGAATGGTCAACATAAATTTAGACAATCGTTTTGTATATAATACACTTGCTTAATGGGAATGAATGACATTTATAGCAGTAGCTCACAAAGCCTCTTATGGTAGCAGTGCACCTGGAATAATAAAACTGCAAGGGAGTTAAAAAAGTATATTTAATGCAGTAGAGCTGAGGGAGTTCACTATTTGGGTACATTGCAAACAAAACTGTTAACTGTTTCTTTGGGAATTTTTAAAAGCTTTCTTTGGTTAAAAAAAAAAATCACCATTTTTTAAAAGTAGAAATTTAAGAAGATTATTTTTAGACTGGTTAAAAGTCCATTCAAAGTGCCCTGGAGACTCAGAGATGGCAACAAGAGATGATGTCTGTCCTTAAACACTGTAGAATCTGGGTTAGAGACACTTGTGCTAACCACAGGAAAAATAAATAAGGGAATATGCAGTGAGTGGGGCCCTTCTTAAGAATAAGAGATGGAGTAGAGTGGAATTAAGGCAGCTATGCCAAGGAGATGGCGTTCAAGCTGGATCAGAAGGAGCAGTGGAGTCTAGCTGGCTCATGGAAAATATTCCATGAGCCATGAGTTTGAGGTTAAAAAGTATACATTATTTTGGAGTTATGACTTATGGTTCAATGTGGTTAGATCATAGAATGATTGAAGAGATGCCATGGGACAGGAAATGAATGAAATTTGAGTTTGGGTGCTTTGTTCTGTAGGCCCAAAGTAAAGTCACCGAAGCAATTTCAGAAAGAGAAATGATGAATATTTCATT
Source organism: Homo sapiens (assembly GCF_000001405.40). Classification (NCBI taxonomy): domain Eukaryota; kingdom Metazoa; phylum Chordata; class Mammalia; order Primates; family Hominidae; genus Homo; species Homo sapiens. Next base: position 120,785,827 of record NC_000007.14, on the reverse strand, counting down.
AATTTAACTGGATTAGCCAAGTGAGAAAGAGGGGACCAGGAGACAGTTATACTTATTTTGCAACTCCTGGGTGGGTGGGCCACCATTGACCACAGCCTAGGTAAGTGGAGCACTTGAGAGTTGTACACACTGCAGGCCCTGGCAGGAGACTGAATAGATTGCTGTTGTTGTGGTCCTGGAGAGGGATAAGGATCCTCACCAGGACAATGGAAGTCAAAAAACAGAGTGCATAAAACAGATCACAACAGGGTGAATCCACAAAAATTGGCAGTAGCTAGACCTCAGGGAGTGTGGGACAAGAAGTAAAAGTACTGAAATTTCTGGATTTTGTGCCTGGCAAATTGGCAATGGCATTAACCTAGATGGAAGACTGGAGGGGAACGAGTATGAGAGGGTAATTAATTTGGTCTGAGACACAGAGTTGGAGATGCCTGCAGGACATGCAGATGGAGATGTCTACAGGCAGCTGTAAATTTCAGTCTGGAGCTCAGGAGAATTCACTGTCAAGCCTGAGAATTTTTATGCATTGCTTTCCCATCTCAGGAAGCCTGACAGAAAATGGGCTGGGAACCAAATCTTATATGAGGAGAATCTTAAATAGATTGCCACAGAAGCTTCCTTTTGTCTGAATTCCCTCTCCTGTGGATGAGTCAAGGGAGGTAAAGAAAGAAGAAATCACTATACTACTGAATCTTCTCTGGCAAAGAAGCTGCCCCTTTTTTAAAACACTGCCAACTGCTATGTTGCTTCACCCAACCCCCTTCCTATTGTCATCCTGAGATTTACAAGCAGATTCGTCTCCCCTGTGAACTGAGTTCTCATTTCCTCACATCCTAGAAACATATATAGGAGAATCTTTGGTATCATCTTGATCTTGAAAGCTTTTCTTTTTCTATTTTTATGTGTTAATTGCAATCACTCTTTACCTCATACTTTCAGGGGTGCGTACTAGGTACCAGGCACATGTAGGAGGTGCTTTACACTTATTTTCTCTGTTCTTCACAACTCATTTGCAATTTGCAGGCACCCCACTTTATTTTACAAATGAACAAGAGGGACTCCAAGAGACTGAATACATTTACTTAGCTAATATGTGGCAGAGCTATACTTCCACTTTCCCCATTTTGTGGCATGGTATCTTCACCAGCCTGTGGTGAAGCTCAGATGATTCTTTACCTAGAAAAGCCAAATTCTCCTACATGTAAATCAATATCACCAGGCCAAATCAAAATGATGCTCTTGTCTAACCTCATTCCTACTATTATTTCCCAAGAACAAGTATAAATTATCTAAAATATCTTGTACACACACATACACACACAGGCAAATTAAGTTCTGTTTTTTTTGAGACAGAGTCTCACACTGTCACCCAGGCTGAAGTCAGTGGTGCAACCTCGGCTCACTGCAACCCCTGCCTCCCAGGTTCAAGCGATTCTCCTGCCTCAGCCTCCCAAATGTCTGGGATTACAGCTGTGCATCACCACGCCTGGCTAATATTTTGTATTTTTAGTAGAGATGGGGTTTCACTATGTTGACCAGGCTGGCCTTGAACTCCTGACCTCATGATCCGCCCACCTCAGCCTCCCGAAGTGCTGGGATTACAGGCATGAGTCACCATGCCCAGCCCAAATTAAGTTCTTTAATCAACTTTATTGAGATTTTATATACATATATATATAAAAACATACTATATATATATACACACACACATACACACACACACACCCCTAATAAATATACCCCTTTCAAGTATATAGTTAATTAGTTTTGGCAACTATATATACTCATGTAACCACAACAACAATCGAGATCTAGAACATTTTCATCGTGTCAAAAAGTTTCCTCTTGCCCATCTGTGATAAATCCTGCATTCCCCTCTCCTAGCCCCAGGCAACACTGATCTGTTAACTATCACTCAGATTAATTCTTGTGAAACTTTATTCTTATCTTGCTGCTTCCTTACTCGAACACTTCCAGAGGTTCCTTGTTGTAAGAAAGGCAGAGCTTCCCAACTCATTCATGTATATGTTATTTATAAGACACGCTAGGATACGTGAAGCTCAGGGGCCACTGGCCACCCTAGGCCTTGCCTGGCTACCATGAGGACTACAAGGAAGCAATAGCTCAATTCAAAATTTTGGCTGCTATATTAGAGATTTCAAAATACCGTGGCTTAAACAAAATAGAAGTGAAATTTTAGCTCATAAAATGCATATGTGAGTAACCCGAACTATGGCTGCCTGAAGGTGTCTGGGACTCGGGATCCTTCTCTCTGGCTACTCTACAACGCTGAGGTGTTTGCTTTGCTCACATGGACCCAAGCAGCAGCCTACTTCCACATTTCACACAATAGGCCAGACAATGGGAAAGTTAAAGGGAAGGAAGCATACCTCTTCCCTTTAAGGACCTACTCAGAAGCACACACCACTTTCATTGACACCACACAGCTACAAGGAAGGGTCGTAAATGCTTTTTGTTCCGAACACTCATGCATCAGGTTAAACCAGGAATTTCAATAACCACACAGAAAGAATGGGTAATGAGTACTGCTGTCAACTAGCAAATCTCTGCCACACTCCTCAGTACCTGCAGAATAAAGTCTTCCACTACCTGATTATTTTTCCAAATCTATCTCCCTTAATACTTTCCCAAATATCACTAGAAACCAGCCAGCGGGACCAATCCTAGTCCACTCATTGCCTCTAACATCCCATATATCCTGTATCTCTTTGATTTTGCTCTCACCATGGTTCTTCGCTGGCATAACCTCATCTCCACAATTTCAGCTTGTACTCAACTTTGAAGTCCCAGCTCAGCAGCCACCTATTACATAAAGTTTCTCCTGACTACTCTAGTCCACAACAATTCATTCTTCTTGGAGCTCAGCATTAGTTACCATAACATCTAGTTTGATGTTTGTATTTTCAATTTATATATATATAGTCAGGCCTCTGAGCCTAAGCTAAGCCATCATATCCCCTGTGACCTGCATGTACACATCCAGATGGCCGGTTCCTGCCTTAACTGATGACATTCCACCACAAAAGAAGTGAAAATGGCCTGTTCCTGCCTTAACTGATGACATTATCTTGTGAAATTCCTTCTCCTGGCTCATCCTGGCTCAAAAGCTCCCCTGCTGAGCACCTTGTGACCCCCATTCCTGCCCGCCAGAGAAAAACCCCCTTTTTCCTTTACCTACCCAAATCCTATAAAACGGCCCCACCCCTATCTCCCTTAGCTGACTCTCTTTTCGGACTCAGCTCGCCTGTACCCAGGTGAAATAAACAGCCTTGTTGCTCACACAAAGCCTATTTGGTGGTCTCTTCACACAGACGCGCATGAAATTTGGTGCCGTGAATCGGGTCAGGGGACCTCCCTTGGGAGATCAATTCCCTGTCCTCCTGCTCTTTGCTCCATGAAAAAGATCCACCTACGACCTCGGGTCCTCAGACCCACCAACCCAAGGAACATCTCACCAATTGTAAATCGGGTAAGCAGCCTCTTCTTACTCTCTTCTCCAACTTCTGTCACTATCCCTCAACCACTTTCTCCTTTCAATCTTGGCTCCACCCTTCAATCTCTCCCTTCTCTTCATTTCAGTTCCTTTCCTTTTCTGATAGAGACAGGAGACGCATTTTATCCGTGGACCCAAAACTCCGGCGCCAGTCATGGACTCAGGAAGACAGTCTTACCTTGGTGTTTAATCACGGGGGGACGCCTGCCTGATTATTCACCCACATTTCAGAGGTGTCTGACCATGCGGGGACGCCTGCCTTGGTCCTTCACCCTTAGTGGCAAGTACCGCTTTTCTGTGGGGCAAGAATCCCCCAACCTCTTCTCTCCGTGTCTGTACCCCTTCTCCACTTTTCTAGGGGGCAAGAACCCCCCAACCCCTTCTCCTTCACCCTTAGCGGCAAGTACTGCTTTTCTAGGGGGCAAGCACCCCCCAACTCCTTCTCTCCGTGTCTCTACCCCTTCTCTGCTTTTCTGGGGGCAAGAACCCCCCAATCCTTTATTTCCAAGTCCTGACCTCTTATCTCTGTGCCCTGATTCCTTATTTCCATGCCCCGACCTCTTATCTCTGCACCCCAACCCCTTATTTCCATGCCCCAACCCCTTTCCCACTTTTCTAGGGGGCAAGAACCACCCCCCCGACCCCTTCTTTCCATGTCTCTACTCTCTCTTTTCTCTAGGCTTGCCTCCTTCACTAGGGGCAAGATTCCGCCCTCCATTCTCCCTTCTTCTCCCTTAGCCTGTGTTCTTAAAAACCTAAAACCTCCTCAACTCACACCTGACCTAAAGCCTAAATGCCTTATTTTCTCCTGCAATGCTGCTTGACCCCAATACAAACTCGACAGTGGTTCCAAATAGCCAGAAAACAGCACTTTCAATTTTTCCATCCTACAAGATCTAAATAATTCTTGTCGTAAAATGGGCAAATGGTCTGAGGTGCCTGACGTCCAGGCATTCTTTTACACATTGGTCCCTCGCTAGTCTCTGTTCCCAATGCAACTCATCCCAGATCTTCCATCTTTCCCTCCTGCCTGTCCCCTCAGTCCCAACCCTAAGTGTTGCTGAGTTTTTCTAATCTTCCTTTTCTACAGACCCACCTGACCTCTCCCCTCCTTGCCAGGCTGAGCTAAGTCCCGAATCTTCCTCAGCCTCTGCTCTTCCACCCTATAATCCTTTTATCACCTCCCCTCCTCACACTCCGTCCGGCTTACAGTTTCGTTCCTCGACTAGCCCTCCCCCACCTGCCCAGCAATTTCCTCTTAAAAAGGTGGCTGGGGCTAAAGGCATAGTGAAGGTTAATGCCCCTTTTTCTTTATCGGACCTCTCCCAAATCAGTTAGTGTTTAGACTCTTTTTCATCAAATATGAAAAACCCAGCCCAGTTCATGGCTCGTTTGGCAGCAACTGAGACGCTTTACGGCCCTAGACCCTAAAAGGTCAAAAGGCCGTCTTATTCTCAATATACATTTTATTACCCAATCCGCTCCTGACTTTAAATAAAGCTCCAAAAATTAAATTCCAGCCCTCAAACCCCACAATAGGACTTAATTAACCTCACCTTCAAGGTGTACAATAATAGAAAATGTTGCAATTCCTTGCCTCCACTATGAGACAAACCCCAGCCACATCTCCCACACACAAGAACTTCCAAACGCCTGAACCGCAGCAGCCAGGCATTCCTCCAGAACCTCCTCTCCCAGGAGCTTGCTACAAGTGTGGGAAATCTGGCCACCGGGCCAAGGAATGCCCAGAGCCCGGGATTCCTCCTAAGCCGCCTCCCATCTGTGTAGGACCCCACTGAAAATCGGACTGTTCAACTCACCTGGCAGCCACTCCCAGAGCCCCTGGAACTCTGGCCCAAGGCTCTCTGACTGACTCCTTCCCAGATCTTCTCGGTTTAGCAGCTGAAGACTGACACTGCCCGATCGCCTCGGAAGCCCCCTAGACCATCATGGACACCGAGATTCAGGTAACTCTCACAGTAGAAGGTAAGTCCGTCCCCTTCTTAATCAATATGGAAGCTACCCACTCCACATTACCTTCTTTTCAAGGGCCTGTTTCCCTTGCCTCCATAACTGTTGTAGGTACTGACAGCCAGGCTTCTAAACCTCTTAAAACTCCCCAACTCTGGTGCCAACTCAGACAATACTCTTTTAAGCACTCCTTTTTAGTTATCCCCACCTGCCCAGTTCCCTTGTTAGGCCAAGACACTTTAACTAAATTATCTGCTTCCCTGACTATTCCAGGGCTACAGCCACACCTCATTGCCGCCTTTTCCCCCAGTTCAAAACCTCCTTAACATTCTCCCCTTGTATCTCCCCACCTTAACCTACCAGGATAAGACACCTCTACTCCCTCCTTAGCGACCGATCATGCACCCCTTACCATCCCATCAAAACCTAATCACCCTAACCTCGCTCAATGCCAATATCCCATCCCACAGCACACTTTAAAAGGATTAAAGTCTGTTATCACTCACCTGTTACAGCATGGCCTTTTAAAGCCTATAAACTCTCCTTACAATTCCCCCATTTTACCTGTCCTAAAACTAGATAAGACTTACAGGTTAGTTCAGGATCTGCGCCTTATCAACCAAATTGTGTTGCCTATCCACCCCATGGTGCCAAACCCATATACTTTCCTATCCTCAATACCTCCCTCCACAATCCATTCTTCTGTTCTGGATCTCAAACATGCTTTCTTTATTATTCCTTTACACCCTTCATCCCAGCCTCTCTTCGCTTTCACTTGGACTGACCCTGACACCCATCAGGCTCAGCAAATTACCTGGGCTGTACTGCCACAAGGCTTCACAGACAGCCCCCATTACTTCAGTCAAGCCCAGATTTCTTCCTCATCTGTTACCTATCTTGGCATAATTCTCGTAAAAACACATGTGCTCTCCCTGCTGATCGTGTCCGACTAATCTCCCAAACCTCAATCCCTTCTACAAAAAAACAACTCCTTTCCTTCCTAGGCATAGTTAGTGTGGTTGGAATTCTTACACAAGAGCTGGGACCGCACCCTGTAGCGTTTCTGTCCAAACAACTTGACCTTACTGTTTTAGCCTAGTCCTCATGTCTGCGTGCAGCGGCTGCTGCTGCTTTAATACTTTCAGAGGCTCTAAAAATCACAAACTATGCTCAACTCACTCTCTACAGTTCTCATAACTTCCAAAATCTATTTTCTTCCTCATACCTGACGCATATACTTTCTGCTTCTCAGCTCCTTCAGCTATACTCACTCTTTGTTGAGCCTCCCACAATTGCCATTGTTCCTGGCACAGACGTCAGTCCGGCCTCCCACATTATTCCGGATACCACACCTAACCCTCATGACTGTATCCCTCTGATCCACCTGACATTCACTCCATTTCCCCATATTTCCTTCTTTCCTGTTCCTCACCCTGATCACATTTAGTTTATTGATGGCAGTTCCACCAGGCCTAATCGCCACTAACCAGCAAAGGCAGGCTATGCTATAGTATCTTCCACATCTGTCATTGAGGCTACTGCTCTGCCCCGCTCCACTACCTCTCAGCAAGCCGAATTAGTTGCCTTAACTCAAGCCCTCACTCTTGCAAAAGCACTACGCGTCAATATTTATACTGACTCTAAATAGGCCTTTCATATTCTGCACCACCATGCTGTTATATAAGCTGACAGAGGTTTCCTCACTAATGATGAAGTCCTCCATCATTAATGCCTCTTTAATAAAAACTCTGCTCAAGGCCGCTTTACTTCCAAAGGAAGCTGGAGTCATTCACTGCAAAGACCATCAAAAGGTGTCAGATCCCATTGCTCTAGGCAACGCTTATGCTGATAAGGTGGCTAGACAAGCAGCTAGCTTTCCAATTTCTGTCCCTCAAGGCCAGTTTTTCTCCTTCACATCAGTCCCTCCCACCTACTCCCCCGCTGAAACTTCCACCTATCAATCTCTTCCCATACAAGGCAAATGGTTCTTAGACCAAGGAAAATATCTCCTTCCAGCCTCACAGGCCCATTCTATTCTGTCGTCTTTTCCTAACCTCTTCCACGTAAGTTATAAGCCGCTAGCCCGTCTCTTAGAACCTCTCATTTCCTTTCCATCCTGGAAATCTGTCCTCAAAGAAATCACTTCTCAGTGTTCCATCTGCTATTCTACTACTCCTCAGGGATTATTCAGGCCCCCTCCCTTTCCTACACAATCAAGCTCGAGGATTTGCCCCTGCCCAGGACTGGCAAATTGACTTTACTCAACATGCCCTGAGTCAGAAAACTAAAATACCTCTTAGTCTAGGTAGACACTTTCACTGGATGGGTAGAGGCCTTTCCTACAGGGTCTGAGAAGGCCACCGTGGTTATTTCTTCCCTTCTGTTAGACATAATTGCTTGGTTTGGCCTTCCCACCTCTATACAGTCCGATAGCAGACCGGCCTTTATTAGTCAAATCAGCCAAACATTTTTTCAGGCTCTTGGTATTCAGTGAAACCTTTATATCCCTTATGGTCCTCAGTCTTCAGAAAAGGTAGAATGGACTAATGGTCTTTTAAAAACACACCTCACCAAGCTCAGCCACCAACTTAAAAAGGACTAGACAATACTTTTACCACTTTCCCTTCTCAGAATTCAGGCCTGTCCTCAGAATGCTACAATGTACAGCCCATTTGAGCTCCTGTATGGACGCTCCTTTTTATTAAGCCCCAGTCTCACCAGACCAACTTGGACTGTGCCCCCAAAAACTTGTCATCCCTACTATCTTCTGTCTAGTCATACTCCTATTCACTGTTCTCAACTACTCATACATGCCCTGCTCCTGTTTACACTGCCGGTTTACACTGTTTCTCCAAGCCATCACAGCTGATATCTCCTGGTGCTATCCCCAAACTGCCACTCTAAACTCTTAAAGTAAATAAATAATCTTTGCTGGCAGGACTATGCTGAATCTCCTTAGGCACTCTCTAATTAGATGTCCTGGGTCCTCCCAATTCTTAGACCTTTAATACCTGTTTTTCTCTTTCTCTTATTCCGTTTAGTTTTTCAATTCATACAGAACCGTATCCAGGCCATCACCAATAATTCTAAATGACAAATGTTTCTTCTAACAACCCCACAATATCACCTCTTACCACAAAATCTTCCTTCAGCTTAATCTCTCTCACTCTAAATTCCCATGCCACCCCTAATCCCGCTCAAAGCAGCCCTGAGAAACATCGCCCATTATCTCTCCATACCACCCCCAAAAATTTTCGCCATCCCAACACTTTACCACTATTTCATTTTATTTTTCTTATTAATATAAGAAGACAGGAATGTCAGGCCTCTGAGCCTAAGCTAAGCCATCATATCCCCTGTGACCTGCATGTACACATCCAGATGGCCAGTTCCTGCCTTAACTGATGACATTCCACCACGAAAGAAGTGAAAATGGCCTGTTCCTGCCTTAACTGATGACATTGTCTTGTGAAATTCCTTCTCCTGGCTCATCCTGGCTCAAAAGCTCCCCTGCTGAGCACCTTGTGACCCCCATTCCTGCCCACCAGAGAACAACCCCCCTTTTTCCTTTACCTACCCAAATCCTATAAAACAGCCCCACCCTTATCTCTGTTCACTGACTCTCTTTTCGGACTCAGCCCGCCTGCACCCAGGTGAAATAAACAGCCTTGTTGCTCACACAAAGCCTGTTTGGTGGTCTCTTCACATGGACACACATGAAATATATATATATATGTGTGTGTGTGTGTGTGTGTATATATATATATATATATATATATATATTTTTTTTTTTTTTTTTTCTGAGACAGAGTCTCACTCTGTCACCCAGGCTGGAGTGCACTGGCATTATCTTGGCTCACTGCAGCCTCTGCCCACCACCCCCGGGCTCGAGCAATCATCCCACCTCAGCCTTCTGAGTAGCTGGGACCTTAGGCGCGTGCCACCACATCAGCAAATTTTTTATATTATTGGTAGAGACAGGGTTTCACCATGTTGCCCAGGCTGGTCTCAAACTCTTGAGCCCAAGCAATCCTCCTGCCCCAGCTTTCCAAAGTGCTGGGATTACAGGCATGAGCCACCATGCCAGGCTACACAGGGGCTCACCGTGTTGCCCAGGCTGGTCTTGAACTCCTGAGCTCCAGCAATCCACCCACTTCCTTCTCCCAAAGTACTTGAGTACAGGCGTGAGCCACTGGGGCCCAGCCTTTTTTTTTTTTTTTTCTTTGCTTGTCTGTCTGGTCTTTCTTGGGAACAAACATCATGCTATTTTTTTCCCACTCAGCATTTTGCATAGGCCTAGGCAATACATCTTATGTATCAGTTGCATATCTATTCATTGTGTATATAAATTAATATATGCATGAATTATGAGACAGTTAAATGAAGTAAAAGCCATTGCCTAAAATGATTCCAACAAGGAGAAACAGCTGTAAAGGAGGCCATCTGTTCTTCTTGACTGGGACAGAGGACACTGGGTTAGCATGGGCTAAGTACTCATTTAGCTGTAAATGGTTGTAGATTGCATCTGCAGAATGCATTTAAAGCTTAGTCAAATCTTATAAATGTCTGAGTGAACTATCAGATTGTACTTTTAGTCTAACAGTATAATAGTGTCCTAGATTTATAAAATGCTTTCACACCTAACCCTAAATCCTTTAGCTTTTAAATATACAAATTTCTTTGACTGGTAGTGTACAAAGTAAAAGCTGAGTGCACATCTCTGAAAAAAAGTCCCTGGAGAGTGAGAAATTGGAGCAGATCACCACTAACTTTGCAATTTCTACACAATTCTAGAAAGTAACTTAAAAAAAAGTGGCATTCCAAAACTTCTGTTCAAGTGTACCAAACAGTGCTTTATTTACTCTTCTTATAATCTTAATGAGGTGAGTTTTTTAGCCAAGATAAAGTGCCCATGAAAAGAGATGAGAAACATGCCCCAAATTACATAGCAAGTAAGTGATATTGTTGGGATTTGAACAAGTTTTGTTAAAATTCCAAGTCTGTACTCAAATATTTTATAAGAGAGCTACAATATTAACTGATGTCCAAAATAATTCTTAATTTTATGGTTATGACGTATTGTTATTTTAATATATTTCTGCCTTTTGCTAACTAGTATTTATGAATTTTTGTGTGTATATTCAACAGTTATATTCATTTGTTTTGTGTCTGAACACATTTATTTTTGAAAAATATTATATCAAGGACAATCTAGAATTGTCATATGTTTATTTTTTATCTTATTTTATTCTAAGAATTTGGCAAGTATATATATCTCATCTTTAATTCTCTAAGATAAAAAATATCTTAAATCTATTTATCTCCATCAACATTAAGAGAAGCAAAATAGGACTTCTACTTCCAACCAAGATAAAATAACAAGGAACAGATTTACCCTCCTGCTTGAAATAAACAAACAAACAAAGAACAAACATTAACATACTTGAAACAATAATTTTTAAAATATCGGCCGTCAGGGAATAAAGGACAGTGACTTTTAATTAATTAACTAGTAACAAATGAGGTGAGTCTTATTGCTTCCCCAGCTTGTTGCTTTGAGAGAGTTTCCAGGATGTGGTGAAGGGAGGGAGAACCTAGGTACAGCCCAGGTGCATAAATAAAGAACAGCATGCATAAATAAAGAACTCCACAGATGTGGAGTTTCCTCTTTGAGTATTCGCAGGGTACTGATTAGCACATCCAAGAGGATTAGAGAAAGAACTACTGGTACCACAGAGGGCTGGGAATAGTGCCTGTTGTCACTAGCCAGACTGGAAAATGTCATAATTCACAAGGCACTGGATGGAGTACTCAGAAAAGTCCCATCTCAGTAATGGGAAATAATTAACCTTAGAATAAATGTTACTGACATCTAACAAATTATGAAAACGAGACCTTAGATTTTGTTTCCACATAATTTAACTGTATTCAGAAAAAAGCTCAAGAATATTTATAGAAATACATATATATTCAGCACCCAACAAAGAAAAAATTCACGTTTGACATCCCATCAAAGATTATCAGACCTTCCAAAAATTAGGAAAATGTGATCCATAATGAGAAGAAAATAATCAATCGAAATAGACCCATAACTGGCACAAATGTTAAAATTTGCAGACAAGAACATTAAGAAGAGTAATTATAGAGGTTTTCTATGTATTCAAAACATTAAGTAGAAATGGGAAAGATAATTTTTAAAATACTCAGACTTTTAAAAATGAAAACTACAATGTGTGACATTAAAATATGCTGGATAGAATTAAAAGCAGATTAGCCACTGCAGAAGGAAAGGTTAAGAAACTTCACTGACATAGCAACATAAATTATACAAAAGAAAAGACACAGAGAGAAAAAGGAAAACAATAAAAAGAGAATCATTGAGCTATGACAACCTCAAGTGGTCTAATATAGAAGTAATTGGAGTCTTCAAGGGAGAGGAGCATAGCAAAGATTAAAGAAAGAATGCTAGAAAACATTTCAAAATTGATATAAAAGATCCAAGAATATAAAAAGACACAAGTACACCAAGGCAAAATATAATCAATTTGCTCAAAACCAGTGATACATAGAAAGTCTTTAAAGCCTTCAGAGAAAAAAATCATGTGATATGCAGAGGAACAAACGTGGGATGACAGCCAATTTCTTGACAAAAACAGTATGCAGGATAACATCTTACACTGAAAGAAAAAAAGGTCAACCTAGAATTCTCTACTGTGTGAAAATATATTTTAAATAAAAATAATTAAAAAAACTTTTTCAGACACACAAAAACTAAAAAAAAATCACCTGCAGATCATACTACAAGAAATATTAATAGAAATCTATGGAAAATGATGGCAGTTGGAAATATGGATTTACTAAGTGGGATGAAGAGAAGTGGAAATGGTAACTAGATGTGTAAAGATATAGGACAATTTTCTTATTACATAAGGCAAGAAAAGGAAATTAAGGCCATCCAAACTGTCTGTTTTTGCAGACAGCATGATCCCCTATGTAGAAAACCCAAAGGAAACTGCAAAAGCACTACTAGAACTAATAAGTGATTTTTGGCAAGGTACAAAAATGCAAAGCCAATAAGCCGAAATAAGCTTTTATACATTATCAATAAACAACCATAAATTGAAATTATATAAAATGATACCGTTTAGACTAATATCAAAAATATAAAATAAAATGAGGTATTTCTGGGTTAAAAAAAAGACATGCAGGATCCTGCACTTGGAAAGCTATAAAACACTGTTGACAGAAATTAAGGAAGACCTAAGTAAATGGAGATATACAGCATGTCCATGAACCAAAACACTTAATATTGTTAAGATGATAATTTGCCCCAAATTGATCTTTAGGTTCAATGTAATTCCAATCAAAATCTCTGCATGTGTTTTTGTAGAAATTGACAAGCTAATTCCAAAATTCATATGAAAATGTCAAAGATCTAACATAGTAAAATAAAGAAGTGGAAAATTAAAAAAAATAAAGAAGTGGAAAATTAAAAAAAATAAAGGGATAATACTAATGAATTTCCAAACTTGTGATGCTATCAAGAATGTGATACCGGTACTGGTGTCAAGATAGATAAATGAAACAGTATAGGGGGTACAAAAATAAACTCTTACATACATGAACAACTGATTTCTGACAACTATACAAACACAATTCTTTGGTTAAACAATAATCTTTTCAACAAATAGTGCCAGAACTATTAGAAATCCACAAATAAAAAATGTTTTTTTAAAAACGACTGTAATCTACACATTACAACATGAACAAAAGTAATTGAAACAAATCACATACACAAATGTAGAACTAAAACAATAATTATTTTAGAAGAAAATGTATTAGAAAATCTTTTTGACCTCAGCTTAGGCAAACGTTTCTTAAACATGATACTAAAGCACAATCCATAAAATAAGAAATTGGTAAATAGTTTATCAAAATTTTAAAAACAGTGCTCATTAGAAGGTTCCATGAAGAAAATCTTAAAAGTCATTGACTAGAGGAAAATATTTATAAGACACATATCTGAAAAAGATCTGATTACAGATCATATCCAGAATATATGAAGAACTCTCCAACTTCAATAATACCAAAACAAATTCCAATTAAAATAGGTAAAATATTTGAAGAGACACTTCACATTGAAGATACACGAATGGAAAATAGACCTATAAAAATGCTCAGCGTCATTATTTATTAGGTAAATATAAGTTAAAACCACAATATACCACTATACACTTACTAGAAAGGCTAAAATTTAAAAGTCTGACAATACCAAGTGTTAGTGAAGTTGTGAAGAAACTGAATTCTCATATACTATTGCTATGGACATAAAATAGCCAAGCCACTTTAAAAACAGTTTGACAATTTCTTAAATTGTTTTTAATATATGCCTAAAATATTACTCAGCTAACTTATGCCTAAGTATTTACCGAAGAGAAAACAAGGTGTATTTCCATAGATGGCTTATACATAGTGTTTATGACAATTTTATTAGCAATAGCCAAAAAAATTGGCAACAACCTAAATTCCATGAACAAATGAATGGATAAAGAAATTGTGTCATATTTATATAATAGACTATTACTCAATACTAAAAGGGAGTAGACTATTGATATACGCAACAACATGGATAAATTTCGAAGTAGTTATGCTGATTGAAAAAAGTTTGGCAACAAAAAGGAATGACCCATTGTGGGAAAAATAAAAAAGAATTATACTGAGTGAAAGTAGCTAACCAATAAATAGTACATACTGCATGATTCTATTTATGTAAAACTCTAGAAAATTCAAATTAATCTATAGTAACTAAAACAGATCACTGGTTGGCTCCGGGAGGATTTGGGGGTTGATGTTTATATTCACTATTTTGATTGTAGTAGTGGTTTCGTGGGTGTATACATATGTCACAATTTATCAAATTATAGACATTAAATTTGTGCATTTTGTACGTCAATAAAGCTTTAAAAAATGGGAGACCTTATTATTATTAAAAGAAGATTTAACAAAGTAGGCCAATACGTAATGATATTTGATTAATCTACTAGGAAAGATAGAAAGCATTTATTACTTACGGACAAGAGAAAGTTCTCTCTGTTTTGTAATTCATTGTTCACAAGCTTGTCAAAGGGCAGGGTTCTTTAGGTAGAACAGTTAAAGGAAAAATAATAGATGCATTTTTCAGAATTCAGAATTAAGCTTTGGGCTATTACCTTTTATATATTATGAACTAAGTGTGGGAGAATTTAACTGCCCTGTGTTGTTAAGTTCTCCTCACAAGCATTACTTAAAAATCTCTTTCTTTCTGGAAAGTTATGTTCTGGCAAAATTTGAAGAAAATTACTGTGGTGAAGGCTGTGCTATTATTCTGCTTGAGGTTTAATATGAACCAATCTGACAATGAGATGTCTAATGATGATTCCTAATTCCATTCTATTTTCCCCTTTTAATTCAATAAATTCATCTTCTTATTTTCTCTTGCCAAATTTGAGACCAATTTAATACAATTCAGTAAGATCTGTTGAACATCTTGTATGTAGAATAAGTTGGGCTGGACAACATACAGATCAGAAGAAACATGTAAAATATAATCCTGGCCTCAAGGAAGTCACAGTTTAGTTGGAGAGACCAAGCAAATGAACGTGGAGTATTTAAGTAGTGCCCAGTACAGTTTCTGGCACAGTGATGATAATCATTAATGAATGAATTAAATTAAACAACACTGAAAAATAGTATAAGGGTAAATGCAAAAGTATGTGTTGACAGATTCGGGATTTCAGAGAAAGCAAAGCATCAAAGCAGGCTGAAGTTCTGGCAGATCACGGGAAGATCACACTTGAGATGGGGCAGATTTTGATGAGAAAAGATGATAAGGGCATTGTAGTTCATGGTAATTATAAATAAATCAAAGAGATGGACATTAGTACAGTGTGTTCACTGCAGGGAGAAGCCCATTATGACTGTCAGAGATAACAGCACATGCGTAATTTGGAGCAGAACAGAGGGCCTTATGGGAATTTTGGACTTTATTCTGAGGACATGGAGAACTACACAAGGGTTTTTTATCAGCAGAGCCATATTTTTGAATCTAGACTTGCATAGCATGCAAAAAGGCTGACAAATATACTGCAAAGCCATGGAGATCTGAATATAGAAATATAGGAAATGGGTAATTATAACTTGAAGTATTATGCTTGCAGCATGGTTGAGAAGAAAAAAATCAACTATGGAAAGTAGAAAACAATGAGATTCACAGATTATGAAAAAGAAGAAATAAAATTTGACCTCCTGATTTAAAAGTCGAAGACTCTGGAGGATACAATCCCAATGTCAGAAGAGAAAAGTGGGAGACAGACTATTGTAAAGATTTTGGTTTGGATTCAAGTTTGAGATTATCTTGGCAAAATCAGAATGATACAGGTTTTTTTTTTTTAATTTTATTTTAATTTAAGGCTCAGATTAGGGATGAGTGTTTCTAGGGTGGTGGGTTTACATCCTTGAAAACAACTGGGTTGTCTTTTGTCAACTCAGCAGTGCTCCTGTCTGTTCCCTCCTTCTCCTTTGTCTCATAGGAAAGAAGCCTGGAACGAATTCCTCAGAATTTCTTTCTTGCATAGTTTCAGGGTAGATTATTTCAAGGTGAGGCAGTTTCATGATGTTCAGAGGGTGCAGTCCTTACATCCCTTGGCAACTGTTGTCTGACTTCTCATTGGTGGCCTTACCACACCCCTGTGGGCTCTCACTGTTAGATTTCCAGCCACTTTCTGGAATAATTTGGGCTTCCTCCAGCCTTATAAATGTGTACCTTTTTTTTCTTTTCTTTTCTTTTTTTTTTGAGATGGAATCTCACTCTGTTGCCCAGGCTGGAGTGCAATGGTGCGATCTTGGCTCACTGCAACTTCCATCTCCTGGGTTCAAGCGATTCTCCTGCCTCAGCCTCCTAAGTAGCTAGGACTACAGGTATGCGCCACCATGCCCAGATAATTTTTGTATTTTTAGTAGAGACAGGGTTTCACTATGTTGGCCAGGCTGATCTAGAACTCCTGACCTCATGATCCGCCTGCCTCAAGCTCCCAAAGTGCTGGGATTACAGGTATGAGCCACCGTGCCCGGCCTAATGCGTACATTTCTAACTTCCTGTATTAAATCTCTTTCTCCTCAAAATTCCTAGACTGGAGTCCACTTTCCTCATAAATTCTAGACAAAAATATGTATCATGTAAAGAGAATATGAGCAATGGCTGACATTGGCGATGTGTGTCGGTGGGAGGGGCAATGGAGAAGAAACAGAGCCAGTAAAAGTCACAGAAAAAAAAGATCAGAAAATTAAGAAAGAAAAATGAGCACATCCTTTAAGAGAAGCCAAATGAGGTAAAACTGTGAGGCAAGAGAGGGATTTTTCAGGTAAAGGGACAAAACAGAGAAAGGGAAACTGCACACTGAGAAGGTGTAATATTTGTTAAGGTGAATGATGATTTGTACAAATTCAGCTTTAGTGTAATGGTCTTTCTTTCTTTCTTTCTTTCTTTCTTTCTTTCTTTCTTTCTTTCTTTCTTTCTTTCTTTCTTTCTTTTCTTTTTGAGACAGAGTCTTACTCTGTCAGTCAGGCTGGAGTGCAGTGGCACGATCTTGGCTCACTGCAACCTCTGCCTTCCGGGCTCAGGCAATTCTCCTGAGTAGCCTCCCAAGTAGCTGGGATTACAGGTGTGTGCCACCATGCGTGGCTAATTTTTTTTTTTTTTCATTTTTAGTAGAGGCGGGGGTTTCACCTTGTTGGCGAACCTGGTCTTGAACTCCTGACCCGAGGTAATCCCACCCTCCTCGGCCTCCCAAAGTGCTGGGATTACAGGTGTGAGCCACCACACCTGGCTTGTATTTCTACACATTTAATTCCAAGTGCAATTAGAAGGATGTTACCAAAATCCTGGACAAACATAATGTTCAGTGGGATAAGGCGATCCAGATCTTTGGAACTTGGTTATGACAAAGAGCCAGAGAGTTGCCAAAGCTCCTGCGTTAATATAGGGAATCCACAGTACTGTTTCTGCCACATGAAGCAAATTGCTTCTATGGTCTCAAGTAATAGTCTAGAGGAAAAGCATTTGCCAGATTTAATAATGGCATACTAGGTTTCCAGTAAGAAATCACATCTTGAGCAACCATGCAAGTAGCAACACTACCTGATTACATTTATGATATTGCACATAATTCTGTAAAAGCCATCTGTTTTTTTCCATAGGCCACATAGGTGATTTAAACAAGGAGGTGGCAGAAATCTTTACCCCTTAGTCTTTCAAATTTGATTGTGGCAGTAATCTCTGGAATATTGTTTGTGACTTTCTATTTTCAAAAAAGGGACTATTCCAGCCACTTTCATCTGATCTTCCTACCTTATAGCCCTTACTTCATAAAACAAGGAGCTGAAGTAGGTATACTTCCTATTGTTGAATGTACAGTTTGCATTCAGAAACTGAATAGTTAGCTAAGCACGAGGGGGTTCACAGAGCCACTCATTCAACTGTGAGATGGATTCTGATTGTTGTATTCCTTCTTCTGCATTGCAACAAAGAATTTCTGCCTTCTCAACTTTATTTAATGTAGGTCATTGGCCTCCGTAAGCCCCCACCCTGACTACTGGACCACACTGACATATAGGATCTGTGGGAATTTGTAAGCTCTGAACAAGTGCAATAATCTCTGAAGAATCTGAGTATTTCTCTTTCTCCAGTGTACAGTCACACTACTGTTACCAAACTGAACTGGGTTTCACTCACTCAGCACTTGCATAAGGCCAAACATACACATTGAAGTTTGTAACAGGTGAAAGGAGGGTGTTTATTTGCAGGGCACCAAGCAAGGGCAATCTAGCAGCTCCTGCTTAATACCTGACCTCACCGATGGCTTGCAAGCACAGGTTTTTAAAGGCAGGGGTCAATTTCAGGAAAGCTAAAGTTACAGGCAAAATTCAAAATCAATACATGTAAGTTATACAGTGGTTGGGACTAAAAAGGTGGGATATCTTGAAGCAGGTGCTTCCAGGTCATAGATAGATTGAAAGATTTTCTGATTTGCAACTAGTTAAGGAAGAAAAGCTTTGTTTAAAAATTTGGGATCAGCAGAAAGATACGTTAGGTATGGCTCATGGGTGTGACTACCTCCAAGCCCCTTAGGAAGAAACTTAGAAAGAACAGCAGTTGGAGTTCAGTCGGCAATTCCTTCTTATCTGAGGTCTACGTACCAATGGATCCATTTAGTGTGGGCCCAGGTTTCTGAAACACAACTCGGGACATATGTGAACATGTTATTCTTAGTTTCTTCAGGGAACCAAACATCTTGTGACTCTAACTTCCTTGGCTATTGTTTACAGCTACTATCACCTTTTTATTTATCAAGTTGCTCGTTTACTTCTCAGAGCTCGCTAGGTGCCTAAAATTTCTCTCAAAGCAACTCAAGATTTTCCTTTATTTCCGTGCTTGGGAGAGGCCTGGAAGGCACCTAAGTGGGGTCCTTGCTCTGTGCCTTAGAGGGAACTCAAGAGAGAAATTTTATACAAACTTCTTGTGTTAGTGTAACAGTGGGAAGTCTTGATGGTATCTGGTCCTCCTTTTATTGAAGGGACTTATGTTTGTGAAATGACTCAAGTCTGGGAACTTAGTGAGAAGTTGTGATTCTCCATTGTCTTGCTTGGAGTTAAGACTCTGTTAACAAAAATGAAAGTTCTAATTTTTTTCATATGTTATAGATGGTACAGATATCTATATTTGTTCTAGGAATACCAAAATCAATTAGCTGCTCTCAGTGGTATCTGTGGATAAAATGGTTTTGGCTGGTGCTCTAGTCTTGTTGCCCATTTTGGTAATTACCAACTGTCCCTTAAGATTGGGAATCAGAGAGGCCGTGTCAAGGGGATTATTTTCAAACACCTTCACTGATTTGAAGACACTGAACTTTTCCAGGATGTTGGTTCTTTATTTACCAATATATTTCTTAATGCATTGGTAGAGGTAGTATTCCCTGGGGATTCTTTTGGAACAGAGTTAGTGGGTGGGTGAGTGGTTAACCATAATAAGAAATATATAAATTGGTTTCTGTCTTGGATCCTGAGACAGAGTTCCTATAAGCTTTGTAAACGGGGCAGTAGGAGAATATTTTGTTCTAATATTTGGTCTTTGATCATGGCTCCTGGCACACAGCTAGTAAAACCCTTGGGATTTTGGGATTTCCAAAGATTGGAGTGATAGCTGGGAGCTCCTGGATAGCTTTAGGGTGGGGCCTGGTTGCCAGGGGAACCAACCCTGTGATCAGAGAGTTCGAATTTTCAGTCTCATCTACTCCCAACCTCCAGGCAGGGGAGCAGGGATGAAGGTTGAGATAATCACCAATGGCCAATGATTTAATCAATCCTGTCTACATTAAAGCCTTTATTTGTTCCAAGAGCTTCTGGATTGGTAACATGTTGAGGTCCCTGGAGAGTGTTCCCCAGAGAGGGCATGGAAACTCTGTGTCCCTTCCCCATACCTTGCTTAATGCGTCTTCCACCTGGCCGTTCATCTGTATCCTTTGTAATAGCCTTAATAATGAATAGATAAGTGTAAATAAAGTGTTTCACCCTGAGTTCTGTGTGCCATTCTAGCAAATTAATTAAACCCAGGGAGGCAGTTTTGGGAACACCCAATTTGTAGCCAACTATAGGTGGGCAGAAGCACAAATCATACCCTGTGGTTTCTGATTGGCATCTGAAGTGGGGATAGTCTTGTGGGACTGAGACTTTAATCTGTGGGATCTGATGCTAACTCCAGGTAGACAGCATCAGAATTTAAATGGTAGAACGCCCAGTTGGTGTCCACTACAGAACTGCTTTGTTGTGTGTGGGGAGAAGTTTCCATAAAATATGGGAACCAGAGGTGAAGTGTTCTGCAGTGTGTGAGAGTAGGAAAACAATTTGCTTTTTTTCATCACTTACATGATAAATTTACTCTAGACACATGATAAATTCACTCTAAACATATGATAAATTCACCCCAAATTCTTGTTTCTCTAAACCTTAAAATTCCTTCATCCACAATGTACCAAAGATGTACTGGCATCTCAACTTTATTTAATTTGCATACATATATGTATAGAACAAATATTAGAACACAAATGTAACAGTGTAACATACAAATTTCAGGATAATGTTTGTGTATAGAGAGGAAGAAGGGAACTAGAATCAGGGAAGCTTTGTTTGTATTTGTAATTCTTCATTTTTTAAGAAAAATTGAAATATCCAAAACATGGCAAAATATTACCATTTGTTGGATCTTAGTGGTGTGAACACAAATGTTTATTTATTCTTTTTACTTTTCAGTATTTTCAAAATATTTAATATTATAATGTTTAAAAACTGAAACAATTGAGATGAAGCTAACAGTTGTAACTAAATATGTTTGATCACATTACAAAAAAATGCTGAATATAGAAAAGGTGATTTTTACAATGAGGGCCCTTACATTAATAACCAGAATATTATAAGGAGCTCAAACTGCTCACTAGGAAAAAATGATCTAATTTAAAAATTGGCAAAAGATATAGACATTTCTCAAAAACATAGAAGTAACCAACAGATATGTGAAAACATGCTCAACATCACTAGTCATGAGAGAAATGCAAATTAAAACTACAATGAGATATCATCTCACCTCAGATAAAATGGCTTTTATCCAAAAGACAGGCAATTCAGATTCCACAGCTACCCCCTGAGATTTTCTGTGACTTTAAGATTAAAAAACAAAACTTGGCTGGGCTCAGTGGCTCACACCTATAATCCCAGCACTTTGGGAGGCCGAGGTGGGTGGATTACCTGAGGTCAGGAGTTCAAGACCAGTCTGTCCAACATGGTGAAACCCCATCTCTACTGAAAATACAAACATTAGCTGGGTGTGGTGGTGGGCACCTGTAATCCCAGCTACTCGGGAGGCTGAGGCAGGAGAATTGCTTAAACCTGGGAGACAGAGGTTGCAGTGAGCCGAGATCATGCCACTGCACTCCAGCCTGGCGACAGAGTGAGACTCCATTTCAAAACAAAACAAAACAAAACACCCCACAAAAAACAACTCATGCCAACAATTATTAAAAAGGAGAAAGAATAGCTCTTAATATTCACTTAGAAAAGTAAAATACAAGAATGGATGGGAGAGGAGGCAGAGCAAGATGGCCAAATAGAAACCTTCAGTGATTGTCCTCCCAATAAGAACAACAAATTGAACAACTACTCACACAACAAAACACCTCCATAGGAACGAAAAATCAGGTGCGCAATCACAGTGCCTGGTTTTAACCTTATAATAAAGAAAGAGGCAGTGAAGAGGTAGGAAAAACAGTCTTGAATCGCATACACCAGCCTTTCCCCATTCCCTGGCAGTGGCCGTGTGGCACACAGAGAGAATCTGTGTATTTAGGGGAGGGGTAACTCAGTGATTGTCAGATTTTGTGTTGGAACTCAGAGCTGCCCTATCACAGCAAAAAGCACACACAGGGCTGAACTCAGCTGGCACCCATGGACGGAACAGGGAGACCAGCTTTAGTGATAGGAAAATCATCCATCCCAGTTGTCTGAAGCTGAGTTCCAGCAAGGTTCATCACCACAGGCTAAAATACTCTGGGGTTCTATGTAAACTTGAAAGGTAATCTAGACCACAAGGATTGTAATTCCTGGGCAAGTCCTGGTGCTATGCTGGGCTTGAAGCTAGTGGACTTAATGTACACACAACCTACTGAGACATCAGCTGAGGTGTCCAAGAGTGCTTGCATCACTCTTCCCCCAACCCCAGGAAATGCAGCTTGCAGCTCCAGGACTGACTCCTTCTCTCTTCTTGAGGACAGGAGAAGGGAGAGTGAAGAGGACTTTGTCTTGCATCTTGAATACCAGCTCAGCCACAGTAGAGTAGGGCACTGGACAGAGTCTTGAGGCCTCCATTCCAGGCCCTACCTTCTGGAAAATATTCCCAGACACATCATGAGCCAGAAGGGAACCTGCAGTCTTAAAGGGAAGGACCTGTCCTGGCAGGATTCATCACTTGCTGACTAAAGACCCCTTGGGCCCTGAATAGTGGGCAGTGGTCACCAGGCAGTATTGACCTTGGGCCTTGGTTGTGAGTCAGAGCCAAGCTGGCTTCAGGTGTGACCCAGCACATTCCCAGCTGTGGTGGCTATGGGAAGCGACTCCTTCTGCCTGAGGAAAGGAGAGGGAAGGGTAAAGGGGACTTTGCCTTGCAGCTTGGGTACTGGCTTGGCCACAGTGGGGTAGAGCACCAAGTGGGCTCTTGGGGTCCCCTATTCCAGGCCTTGGCTCTGGAAGGCATTTCCAGACTTTCCCTGGGCCAGAAGGAAGCCCACTGCCCTGAAGGGAGAGACTCAAGACTAGCAGCATTCACCACAGCTGACTGAAGAGCCTTGGGCCTTGAGTGAACATTGGTCCAGGATCTTAGCTCCTTTCCACATGGGCCACCTCACCATGGAAGCCACATTCTTTTTATAATCTAATCCTGAAGTGCCATCCCACTACCACTGCCAGATTCAATTAGAATTGAGTCATTCAATGTAACCTGCACACAAGCAAAGGGAAATTAAACTCCATTTCTTAGAAGAAGGATTTTCAAATAATTTGTGGACATATCTTTAAAACTTTGCTTGCCCAAATTCTCAGTTTTTGCAAGAGAAACCACATAAAATAATTTTTTTTCAGCTCGTTTACATCCTGGTAAAACTGACGAAAATGGATAAAAGCTTTCCTTCTGCTTCTCATCCTTTACTGATAGTTCTTCCTATTTTCTTTGCTGCCCCCTCCTCCTCTGCATGCCTTACAATGTTGGAGGTTTCTAGCTGCTCAGGGACTCTTCTTTATGGACACTCTCACCTTACAACTTCATCCAATAGCATGCTTTGTATACCATCTCTGTTCTCATAATTCTTGTATTTCTATCTTCAGTCCTGACCTATCCTTGCAATTCCAGTTTTATATATCCAGCCTCTCTTTAACATTGTCACATAGATCACGTGAATTTAAAATGAGCCACAGCTATAACAGAACTCTAGATTCTCCCTGCTTCTCTCCCAGCTTTCTCTAAGTAAATCTACCCACTTGTTTATGTTTTGTTGTAGTTTTGTTTTGTTTTTTGAGACAGAGTCTCTCTCTGTTGCCCAGGCTGGAGTGCAGTGGTGTGGTCTTGGCTCACTGCAATCTCTGCCTCCCGTGTTCAAGCGATTCTTCAGCCTCAGCCTTCCGAGTACCTGGGACTACAGGCATGTGTCACCACGCCCAGCTAATTTTTGTATTTTTAGTAGAGATGGGGTTTCGCCATTTTGGCCAGGCTAGTCTCAAACTCCTGACCTCAGGTGATCCGCCCGCCTCGGCCTCCTAGAGTGCTGGGATTACAGGCATGAGTCACCGCGCCCGGGCTACCCACTTGTTTAAACTGTTCCTTATCTTGTTTCTAATCCCTGGACAAGTCCTGTCAACATGTCTTTCTACCAAAGAATCTACCTGAATCTACCAAACTTTCTTCTCCATGGCTGCCAGTCCAGTTCAACCTTCCTCTATTTCCCACCTAGATCACTGTAATAGCCTCCTAATAGGTTTGCTTTGTAAGTCTTCTCTGGCCCCTGTAAGTATTCTCCATTACAGCCATGGGAGCATTTTGAAAACGAAATCAGTTCAGGTCACTTCTCCACTTAAAACTCCTTATTGCTTTTTATTTCATTTAGAATAATACATCTAAACTATTTGCTCTGACTTAGAATTTTTTACATATTCTTGTTCCTGCCCATTTGTCAGCCACACTGATCTTCACCATACGTGGTACTTAGTTAAGGTAGCACAAACTTTGTGTGCATGTGTATCTACGTTTGTGTGTACCTGTGTGTTTATGTGCATGCCATGTGGATAGATGTGTTAGTATGTGTCTGGGAATGTGTCTTGAGTATATATATTTGTGTGCACGTGTGCCTGGATGTGTGTATCTGGTGTGTTCCCATGTAGACAGGGCCATCCTGATTGATAGGCAGATCAGACAGAATGGGCAGAATAGACAGCTCCCTTGCAAGTACTCATGGACCACAGATCATCTTCTCTCTTTATATTTCTCTAGAGATTCATTAAGTTTAAGTGGTCTCTTGTCGATTGCAAATATCCTGGGAGTTGCATCGTCATCTGTATCTTCCTGTGAGTATTATAATTACATTGTCTTCCTCTAGTACTTACAACAAACCAGAGATAAGAAAGAGTGAAAAGCTCTCAGAACAGGAAATTGGGAGATACTTGGGTTCTCAGAGGGTGGCTTACTGGCTGAGGTGACATCTCCTGGATTATCTTCCTGGATCACAGGAATTTCCCCTTCTCTATGGGACTGGGCAACGGTGTGGAATGAAAAAGATAGTTGTTCCTAAATTTTGCTGAATGCCTGACATGCCTGGTACAGTTCTGTGCTTCAGAGGTTTCCTGATGCTCTTTAGATTTGAGGTCATTGATCCTTTTATTTAGAACAGTGAAAAGGCAAACTTGTTTCCAGTAGACACAGTCACTCCTCGGTGAGCACAAGCAGAGGACAGCAAGGGAGCATATTCAGTGACTATTTCATGCACTGTCACACATAGCCAGCCATGGGACCCTCCAGAGAGGTGCCTGCCTGCATGTGCCTTGGAAGAAGTGGCCCACCTCCCGTCAGGGCCCCTTCCTTCTCCACCCCTCTGACTCTGCCCTCTATTTTTCAGGTTTCATTCCTTATATTTCTCTTCTCTTTCCTGCAACTTCAGCAGTTCCTTTTCTAGCTATTAGATCTTTCTTACCAACATGTGAACATACCAATTTATATCTCATAAGTTGAGAAAATAAAAAAAAAATCTACCTCTTTCACCCCAGATTTCCCTTTAGAAATCTCCCCATCTCTGAGTTGCATTTCAGAGCCTGGCAGCTCAAGAATGTTTTCTACACTTGGTGTCTCTAATCTAGTTTAGGTTTCGTGCTCAACACATCACATCAGGTGCTTTTGCTTGGTTGAATGATGACCAATTTGGTGCCAAACCTTCAAACACTATTAGTTCATATCTTACGTGTCAAATCCTCAAACACTTAGCTCAGATCTTATGAGACATTTCCTCAGCATGCAATAAATTGGCCCTTCCCTTCTTGAAATCCCTCAACAATCTCTTGGCTTCCTCCCACCTCTCTGGCCATTCTTTTTCAGACTTATTTGTGGCTCTTCCCAGATCATTCCAGGGATCCTTCTCTTATTCTACACTTTATTCCATTCCCTTGGATTTAAATTCCTCCTCTGTGCTGCTGATTCCCAAATGAATAGCTCTGGAATCCTGTTCTGTGCAGTGTTCTCTTATATCTAGCTGCTTATTTAAAGATGAAAGGGAGAAATCCCTGGAGTGGTTAAGCTTTCAGGCTTTGGAGTCAGAGTCAGAAACATAGAGTTCAATACCAATTTTGTAACGTATTTGCTGTGTGACCCTACATAAGTTATGTGACCTTTCAGTGCCTCTGTTTCTTTATTTCTAAATTGGCATATCCTTTATAGGGCTTTTCTGATAATAAATGAATTAATATATTTAAAGCACTTAAAAACTATGCTTGCCATACAGTGAACATTTAATAAGTATTTACTAATTCTTTTTTAAAAATTATTATCATTTATACCCTCTTCTTAGATGATTCATAGACATATATTCAAATCAGAACTTCTGATTATCTCAGCAAATGACACTTTCTTCTCAGCTGCTTAAATCAGAAATTGACAGCTTCCCTAGATACTTCTCACACTGATACCAATCATTATCAAGTCTTTTTTACTTTAACTCCTATTATCTCATAGACCACCCTAAATCAGCCATACCTTGACTCTCCCTTAGGTTACTGTAATGGTTTCCAAATCAGTCTTCCTTCTCCCTCTTGTGCCCTTTTCCAAACTCATTCTTCAATACATAGCAACTAGAGTGACCTTTTTAAAGCATACATTGGATCATGTTACTCCTCTGCTCAAAATTCTTCATGGTTTCCCATTGGACAGAGAACAAATTCTCATATCGTTGAGTGGAAGAGTCTGTGAGTTCATGCACGGCCTCGTCCCTGCCCACCTTCCAACCTGTAGTCAGTCCTCCCCTCACTCACAGTGGTTCAAGGCTTTCAAATGTTGCAAGACCTTTTCTACCTTGTGGATTATAATTTTGCCTCTAGAATATGCCTGGAATGTTTTCATCCCCTTTTTGGATAATTTTCACCCCTTCTTGGGGTTTTCAATAAATGACATTCCTCTAAGACAATTTTTCTGAACCTTAAATTTTAACCGAGGAATGCTCTGTTATCCCTTTTGTAATACCTCATTATTTACCATTATGGCACTTACCAAAATTTGCAATCCATGTGTTTATTTGCTTAATGATAGTCTTCCTGACTAGAAGCAAACACTGTAATGACAGGGATCATATTTGTCTTGTTAATTGTTTCATCCCAAGTGTCTGGCAGAGCATCTGGCACACAGAAGATGCTTAATCAATATTTGTTGAATTAATAAAGTGAATAAATCAGCTGGGACCAATATAAAATAGTTAATAGTCATTTCAATGATTAAATATAATTAGTCCTGTAATTAAGACATATATAAGTCACGAGATGTTTCTAAACTTTTTGTGTTTAAGTGATGAAATCTAGAATTGTGTGTTGTAGACAACTTCAATACTATTAAATTGTATTGTTAACACAATGGAAGACTATGTTAGAGGGGAAAGTACATGGACTTGCAGTCAGATCTGAATTTGAATCCTTATCTACCAGTGGTATGGCCTAGGGCAAGTTGCTTAACTTTCCTGAGCTTCTGTCCCTTTCTTAGAAAATGGTCATCCTAGCACCAGTTTATATGGTTGTTGCAGTGAATTAAAATAAAGTAAATGGCTCATGTTGGTTGCTTAATGAATAAATGTTAGCTGTCATTTGCACTGAATAAAACCTCTCTTTTGGCACTTAACTATGAAAAGAAAAGACATAGGAATCAAGAATAATTGATAAACTTTTGATCTATTTATCACATCCAATTTTTTTTTTTTTTTTTTTTTTTTTTTTTAAGATGGAGTTTCACTCTTGTTGTTGCCCAGGCTGGAGTGCAATGGTGCGATCTTGGCTCACTGCAACCTCTGCCTCCTGGATTCAAGCAATTCTCCTGCCTCAGACTCCCAAGTAGGTGGGATTACAGGTGTGCACCAGCACGCTTGGCTAATTTTTGTATTTTTAGTAGAGACGGGTTTTCATCATGTTGGCCAGGCTGGTCTTGAACTCCTGACCTCAGGTGATCCACCCACCTCAGCCTCCCAAAGTGCTGGGATTACAGGCATGAGCCACCATGCCCAGCCCATATTCAAAACTTTTATGGCCCCCAAATCATATAAAGGCCTGAAATAATAGGCAAGAGAGTAGAAAAATTTAAAACCCATGGATTT
This sequence comes from Homo sapiens, assembly GCF_000001405.40. Classification (NCBI taxonomy): domain Eukaryota; kingdom Metazoa; phylum Chordata; class Mammalia; order Primates; family Hominidae; genus Homo; species Homo sapiens. Next base: position 120,757,876 of record NC_000007.14, on the reverse strand, counting down.
TATTAAAATCAAACAGATTGGTTCTTTTATAATTTTATTTTTAAATTTCTGATATAATCCATAAGTTCACAATCAAATAGATTGGTTCTTAACATTACGAAAGCAAATGTACATGTGCTTCCCAGATCTGGACTGTTATTTACTTGGCTGACTGTTCCCTTTTCAGTTCTCACATCTTTTCCTAGAGGCTTTTCCTTCACCACCATGTTAAGCATCCCTATACCACCATTTTGTTGCTGATCTGAGCACCCTACATGTTTTTCCCTTGAATACATCTTGCTCTGAACTTAGGTTGTTTAATTATAATTTTACCTATTTGGGGTCCAAGTCAACAAATAGACTACAAATAACACCATGGGCAGGATCTTGTTTATGTTCCATTCCCAGCACCGAGCATAGTACCTAGAGTGTACAATGTGCTCACAAAGAACATGAATAAATAGAATAGCTACATTGCCTGAGTGTCATTAAGCCCCTTTGGCATATTGTTTTAGCCATAGCTGAAGCAAAACACAAGGGTCATTCCTTTGTTTTTAGAAAATATCTTGAAATTTATGTAATTTTCAGCTGCAGGCATTATGCTGTCCATCAAGGGAACTTATAATACCTTTCTTAAGTTGTATCTCATACTGTTTAATATGTAGGATACACTTAGCATTCCCATTGTGTGAAGGGATTTTTGTCTGCTTCCTTTTGGCGTGTCCCCTGTTCTCTACATAGTATCGTATACAATGATTAACATGAACCAGAGGATATGGGCATGTGTATACACCTGCGATCTTTATAAATTATAAAACCCAAAGAAAAGGGCTTAGCCACTTGAAAAGTAGGAAGGATAATAGGGTAGAAGCTCACAGATACATTTTTGTAAAGAAGAATTTGAATTTCTTGGTGTGCTTTTTAATTTCATGAGGATACAATTGAAGAATGGTTTGCTTTTAATAAACCCACTGCCAGCTATATTTACCTTAAAGTTTAAAACAAATTTACCGAAAAAATTGATTAAATGTTATGAAAATTTATTAAGGATCTGAAAGAGCACAGATGCTTAATAAATTTTCAAATTAACAAACAAGGAGTTTTTCTTTTTTATGTGTGCATCAAAATCACTGCTATTTCTTTCTTGTAGTAGCTAATGCAGGTTCAGGCATTCTAAACCATTTAAGTTTAGGAAAAAGATAATGCCTTTAGTAATCATAAGAATGCTACTTATGATACCTCTGGAAATAATCATTTGAAAGCCTAAACACTGCTATGTTATTATTTTCTACAATTGACAAAGGAAAAAAATCAGGAGGGATAATGATTATGGCAAGAAAAAGTCTTCTTTCAGATTTCACTAAAATTCTAGTTTCCTCAGGCAGCAAAATAAATAAAACTCCACATTGCACCTGCCTTGATTTGTGTGCAGTGTGTGTGTGTGTGTGTGTGTGTGTTCATGTGTTCACCCTTTCCTTCAATGGTTTTTTTCCTGATTTTTATCTGAAACATGAAAGAGATTTGATAATAAAACATGTATGTAAACTACATGGTAATCTATGATTAAGAATATAAATGTATGTACAAGAAATTTATTATATTACTTTATGTATTTCTATTATGAGGAATGCACTGGAAGCCTCAGTTAGCTGATTTATTTGGCTTTCTATTATATTGTTTAAAAACCTTAGTTGAGATGGTGCTTTTATGATAAACTTTGAGCATTGAATATATTTTTCTCTTAGTTATGAGAAGAAATGGAGAAGTGCATCTAATGATAAATAAGCCACAGTCATTCATTAGTTCATTTGTATTTAAATCTAGACAGCAGTCAGCAATAATTACAGAAAAAACATTTCATTAGAATCAGTGATACTCAGATACAGACACTTAGGCATTTATGTCTCACCCTGTCACCCAGGCTGCAATGGCGTGATCTCGGCTCACTGAAACCTCTGCCTCCCGGGTTCAAACGATTCTCCTGCCTCAGCCTCCCAAATAGCTGGGATTACAAGTGCCCGCCACCACGGCCAGCTAATTTTTGTATTTTTAGTAGAGACGGGGTTTCACCATGTTGGCCAGGCTGGTCTCGATCTCCTGAGCTCAAATGACCTGCTCGCCTCGGCCTCCTAAAGTGCTGGGATTACAGGCGTGAGCCACCACGCCTGGCCCCTAATCTTAGTCTCTTAAGGTAAATTTATTATAATCATTTTGATATTCAGCCTAAGTTTAGGTTGAAACACCTATTATAATATAAGGATATAGATGATGAGAGAAATGTCTTGAATTAATTAATAAGATAGCCAAAGAAACTGGCATGACATTGAATTCTTCTGGTTTTCCAAACTTTGTTTCTTCCAAATGATATATGGTTTCAAGTTCTTCTAGTCACTCATAAATCCATTTCTCTCACTAATCTCTCATTAGTCGGCTCCTGCACATTTGTATGAATAAATTCATTTCATTTTAGATATTAGTAGAGCTGTCTGATACACACACACACTCACTCACACACATACACACACAAAACAGGGATGGGTTCTGAGAAACACGTCATTAGGCAATTTTGTCCTTGTGAGAACATCACAGAGTGTACATACACAAACCTGGATGGTATAGCCTACTACACACCTAGGCTTTATGGTAAAGCCTATTGCTCCTAGGCTACAAACCTGAACAGCATGTTACTGTACTGAATACTGTAGGCAATTGTAACCCAATGGTGAGTATTTGTGAATCTAAGCATAGAAAAGGTACAGTAAAAATCCAGTATTATAATCTGTTGGGACCACCCTCATATATGCAGTACATCATTGACTGAAATATTGCTATGTGGCCCATGACTGTATGTATTTGTGTTCGTATGTATGTATGCCTTGTTTTCATAGTGTAGTGTGATTTTGTATTAGGGTCTATCTGCTGTGTATTAGCAGTTTGGAAAAAACCAAAAATTATATTTTTATCCTTCTGTATGACAAATTGGGGAACTTTTATTATTTTATAATAAAATTTGTATAATTTTAGAAAATTATAATTTATCTTATAAAATCTGTTATATTAAATTTATACAATTTATCATCAGAATTTGACAATACTAAGCTATATATGACATTAATTTCCCATACATGTCTTTTAAATCATGATTGCCTCTTAATTTCTCATGTTAAGAAAGTTTTGGATACAATATTAATATTTACAATGAATAACACATTTACCATTTGAGAAGTAGAAAGGGAAAGATTGAAGTGGAAAGTAAAGAGATATTATTAATAGGCCAGTGTTATTTTGGAACATAAAACAAGCAAACGATGAAGCCCAAATAAGAAGTTTTATGGGAAGTACTTATATCCCAAGTACCATTTTAAAAGGTACATTAAATTTTCTACAGTTCTGAATAAATCAAATGTCTATGTTTACACCTTTATTGGAGGTTTTATTTTATTAGGAACAAATAAAAATTTTCAATGACCTTCAGAAAAATTTTAGAAATGTTTCTGAGGATGGATTGCAACAACAGGATTGAAAAAAATCCAATCGTATTTTTAATTATATTATATTAACTTGGAATACTGAATTATGCACTTATTTTGCCTATCTGAATCTCTCTGCACTTTATTTTGTATGTGGTATTAAATGCCAATAGGCACTTTGCTCCTATCCTCCGAAATTTTTGCCAGCAAGAATTTAGGAAGATACAAAAGATAAAGGATGAGAATTGTGGTTATTGATATTAATTCCAAAATATTTCTGTTTTATGATCAGCCTCCAGGACTTGGACTGTGCACCAACTAGATGCTGAAGGCTATAACTGCAGCCCTAATAAACAACTTTGAAAATTGTGGCAGACCTTATTAAAAAAGGGGAGCAGGAGCCACGGTAGCTCAGGCTGGTTGCCCTGGCACTCAGGGAGGTGAGGCTACACGTTAGAGGCCAACCTGGTCACCATTGGTTAAAAAAAGGGGAGCAAGTGAGATATAATAGATGCTCTAACACATAATTATCTCTGTTACTAGAAAATTAACTAAATGTGTATGCTTTACTGATATGGAGTTGTTGGAAAAATATTTGTCAATTAGGACACTAATATATTTCCTAGCCAGGTCCCATTTTATTTTAATTTACCAATAGTCAATTAGGAAGCAGTTATTATCAGAACACAACAAGATGATAAAATGGGTTGGACCAAAGAAAATGGGAAGAAAAAATGATCATCCTTGATAATGACCACAATCACCAGAGCACAGGTATGCCCAGGCCTCCCTCTGTGTCCCACCCCCATTTCTTTTAATTTATCTGTTAGCCTAGAAGAAGAAATAACATCAATAATTCTATGCAATAGAACTCTGTCATAGAAATACATAACTTAATTTAAAATTTTATATTATCTAAATTAGGAAAACCCACACTCATAATTTTTCAGTGTTAAAGTTTTCTCATCAGGAAATGTGGCTAATAATTACTGAATGGATTGATACATGTGAAGTCATTAGCACAGTGCTTGGCCTATATTTAATATCCAGTAAAGTTAACAGTCATTATTGTTATCTTTCCATGGTGGTTGTAATCATCATTATTTAGTACTCACTGTTAATCTATTGAAGAAAGTGTAAAATGAAAAGAGTGCATTAGGATTTTACTTCTGTGGGTTTACATTTTTTTTTTTTACCAGATTGATTGGCGATAAATTAATGCATGTCCAGAATGATTGCTGTGTAAAATTATGATGCACATGACATTTTTACTTTCAAAATTGTTATATCCTCTGTAATGAAATCTTCTGCCTCTCCAAGAAGGTGTCTCTGATTGGGAAATTTAACAAACCCCTCTACCCAATTCAGTGTCCACTCAGCCTTGGCTCTTTCAACTCCCTTTCACATGTCTTGGAGAAATAGCTTATTCTGTTAATTTTAGGGTTCTGTTCTTCATCTTGCAGGCATTGTAGGAGATGTCTGAGCAGTATTGGTATATGACTATTAAAAACTGGTAACAGGTTAAGAGAATTTTTGGTGCTGAAATTTGTAGCTCTAACCAAGGAATTAATTTGATCTAAATTGAACTTTAAAATTCTGGTTTTTCTTTTTTCTTTTTTTAAGACGGAGTCTCCCCCTGTCACCCAGGCTGGAATGCAGTGGCACAATCTCAGCTCATTGCAACCTCCACCTCCCGAGTTCAAGCAATTCTCCTGCCTCAGACTCCTGAGTAGCTGAGATTACAGGCATGCACCAGGACACCTGGCTATTTTTTTTTTTTCTTTTTTTAGTAGAGATGGGGTTTCACCAGTTGATGAGGCTGGTCTTGGACTCCTGACCTCAAGTGATCCACCCCCCTCAGCCTCCCAAAGTGCTAGGATTACAGGCATGAGTCACTGCGTCAGGCCAAAATTCTGTATTTTCAATTAGAGTCAAAGCCCAAGGATGTCTCTACCATCTTGTAGCCCTTGCCAATAGCCTACTCTTGTCTTCCAGGGTTCCTCCAAATCTCTCTCCAAATATTTGTTATCTACTCATTCAATACCCTTCTTCAACCATCCTCTTGCTTTGGAATTGACATGAACCAACTAGGCCCGCCTTATTGGTGAGTGCCCCTGATTACAGACTTACCTTTCTGTTGTCCCAATTACTCAGATATTTCAATAGGATTCATCAGATAATAGAATTTGAGGTGTGGTGTTCAGATTCACAGACGCATTGTGTATCAGTCCTCCTGCAAAACTATTTTAATAGCTTTCTTCACATTCTCTGAAATTATAGTTGAAAAGGTAGAGTGGATACTTGAGAAAGTTTATTTCCTTTTAACTTTAATGTAATGCATAAACATGAAGCTCTTCTTCCTTTGGGTTTTGTTTTACCTTTATTGTTTCCTGTTCTTTCTCTGGGCAGGTAGGAATTCATTTGCCCTGCCTGCCAGCCCCCATAGAGACAGAACCATTGCCTAGTGAAAGAAGATTTTAATGACGTGATGAAAATATTTTAGAAAGCACCTTGAAGATTAGTATTTTTATGTAACTTCTGTTGGAGAGATGTCTTCAGGAGACTGAAGTAGAAGAGCGACTGTCAAAATGGAAAGGTGAAGATTTGAAGTGTAAGATAATGAATAGTAGTGTAAAGAAGAGAGTTGAGATATTTTCCACTAGATAATTCCTTAAAAAGGATTTGATCTGGTTTCTTAATCTGTATTTCTCTATCACCATGTCTGGCCCATCATCTGTATTTAATAAACTGGATTATATGTAGAATGAATATTAGTTATGTAACCTAAAGGATTTCCATAGAAAAGCTAGAGAAAAAAGTAATTAGGGAAAGGCAAAGATCTGCTACAATAATAATTAATGCTTGAAGATAAAGGAGAAAAAAGGCAGGGCAGGCAGTAAAGAGAAAGATTAAAGGTATGCTATGTATTTAATATTATTTTCAACTAAAAATATTTTGTAAAATTATATTTTATAATTATCTTAAGCAAACTTGCTGTTCAAAGCTAGTAATTCCTTAGAAGTAAAAAATCAAACTCTGTAAAGAATATTTTAGTATCCTAATACAACCAGCTGAAGTAGATAAGACTTAAACCTTCGTAGGTACAATTTAAACCTTCATTAAAAAAATACTGTGTGCCTACACAATTGTGTTGAAAATTCAGATGTTTACACAGTGCAGAGTAATAACCATTCTTGTACCAGTGAGTTAATAAAACAAACACCTTAATGACACTGTAGGGAAGAGAAGATGCCTTTCTTATGAAACTCTAAGGAGTTATCAATTTACTTTCAAGAACCCTTTTTTATTCTTTTGAGCAATGTTACTGGCAGACACATTATAGCTCCCAAGAGGCTATTTCTAAGCCAACATTGTGACTAAGTTGAAGGAATAGGGAGGCATATTGAACTTTTTAATGCAAGATTGATACCTAATAAATCAAAGGCTATAAATGAAAATAATTAACAAGAAAAGATAGAGACTATCCACCAAGAGGACCATATATATCACCAGTTAAAATCAGTCTTTCTACTAAATAATTTCCTTTGTGTCTTTTTCCTTCTTCTATAAACTCTTAACATTTTCTTGCTTTTTAGCCCTTTCAAGATATTAAGAGAAACCATTAGTGGTTGCATATTAAAAATGAATGAAAATCTATGTATATGTGTATGAACAAATTTATATCTACATATACACATACATGCACACAAATGGCTAGGCAAATAAATCACCCCGCTTTCCTAGGTAGAATAAAGCCTTTGATTAAGAATTTATTTAAGTTCTGACCAAAACCATTACCCCTGAGCTTCTCTGCTTAATGCAAGTAGTGGTGTTTAAGAAGTATATAAGGTTCAGGGACTGGCTTTCCTTAATTGATACTATCTTTTCTGTTAAAGTCCCTGCCTTAATTCCCATTACTAGCAAAAGCTACTGTCTCCACCCATTCAGATGAGATTTAAGCATTACTTTCAATTGCTGTGTCCTTTGAGTTGTATGTCTCACAAGGTCCTCCAACATGTGTATTATGAGTGTGGCATATCCTAATTTTGGGAAAGGAATGAAATCTAAGAAAATAGGGCAACAGTCAACATTTTGTCCTGTTCAAGCATGCACATGTTTTATTTAAGTATTCTCCAAAGGTCTATTTTTTTCCAGCATAATGCAGATATTATGCTATCCTTTGAAATAAGATATATGAATTTCAAACAAAATTGTCAAAAACAATGACCTTAGTTACTCCATATGGTACACAGAAATAATTACATTTCACTTACAATACAGATGCACTTAACACAGTCATCAATAGTCATTCACCACCAACACGGTATATTTTTAAATCACCTAAAACATCAAAAAGTTTTTTTTCTTTTCCAAAAGCCTAATAAAATTAATAATTTTGGGTAAGTGATAAATCAAAAGAGGAGGCAGAATTGTCAATTGAAATAACCTAACTGCATTTTCTTGTATGTAATATTAAGAACATGAAAATAGAACTTCTCATTGGGAATCAAAAGACATAGTAATTCTGATTATGGTTTCCTTAGTCTACTTTTTAGAAGGTTTTCAATAAATGCCATCAGATAAGTTTCACTAGACATTGCTCTAGAAGCATAAACTGACATGAGGCAGGTGTTAATATAATTGTTAATATTTGTACTGCTGGAAAATTAGTAACTTTTTAAAAGATGTACTAGGAATGAAGCCAGTTCTTCCCAAGAGATAGTTGAGTTTATCTTACTTTCACTCAGCAAATGTTTATTAAGATCTAATATGTGCATAGCACTGTTCTAGAAACTATTCTAGAAATGGGAAGCAAGAATTTCTGGCTTTACTAGAAAATGGTTGGATTAATCCCTTTTTATGATTAAATATCATAAGCATTTAAAAATCTCATCTCTGACAGAGGGATAATTATTAGCTCTTTCCATGTACAGAAGCTAAGCTTTATTCCTTACAGTGGTGGCTTGGAATGAATAAAAACTTTGCATTTGACATTAAACTTTTTTACACTGTCATGTGCAGACATGTCTGCTGAAATATTTTAAGGGTGAAAAGTTATAAAGACTTTTCACTTAAATGTACAGAGATCAACTTTGCATCATCAAACTCCTGTTCTCCTGATTTATTGGAGAAAATTGTACCTTGCAATACACAGGAACCTTTCTGAGATAAATTTGTGCTGCCTTCCTGAATGGCGTAGAAAGCATGCTTTCATCAAATATTGCTAAATAAAGCACTCCAGTGTATCTCTACATTTCAATCCACATTAGTTATTCTCAAAATGTATTCAAGATCTAAAGCAAAATAAATAATGCATCAAGTAAGATTCTGAGATGATTGATCCTGTGATATTAGTCCCAGTCAATTCTGTTCATAAAATACATAGTGATATATCCAGTATCTGGGCTTTTCCATAAACAACAAAGACGTTAGAGATAATTTATATGGGTCAACTCCTTTTTTTCTAGTTTTCGACAAGGGGATTGATGACAAGCTACTTACAAGATAATTTTTTTTGGAAATACAAAAGTAGGAAAGTCACTTGAACTACAGTAAACAGTAGTCTTGTTGATGATGATAAACCCAATAGAGAGGTGCTATAGAAATACAAGAACAGATAATGCACTGTGTCACAGGAATACAGTGGACCAAAAAATATTACTGAAAAACATTTATGGCACAATAGTTTTGGATTAAAAAGTTACCTAAAACCTGGCCACACCAGAAGTTTTTCTACGAATGTGGCTCTTACCGTATCTATAAGGATCTGGAAAGTACAACAACAAAAAAATCCTGATTCCTGATACAACAGTTGTACAACAAATTATTGCAGTTGTAACAGTATCTAGGTGCAAAGTTAAACGATAATGAATACTGAACTATCTGAACACTTTAGATTTACTAATGAGCATCCCCATGAGAAATACTGCAGGTCTAAAAGGAGTTTATTTGCACAGCCCACCATGGAACATGAACACTCAGCTTGTTGTAAGTGCACAGAAATTACCCCTTTCTACAATTATAGTTTATCATGCCTATTCTGAAGACAACATAAGGAAACTGAGATCACTGCTTCAAAGAATTCTAGCATGCATTATGATGGTTTCCTTCAGTCAATACAAATATGTTGTGTGAGTTTTTTTTTCATATGTAATAATCTTCATCATAGCCAATGTTCATGGTTTTAACAGGAAAAAATTTTATCAAAATGTTTTCCATATTTTTTTTGTTTTGCATTCAACTGGAACATTATGTTCAACGATTTATGTTATTTATTTTATTAAAAAAGAGTTCTGATCATAAGAAGCATCAGTAGGCGGCATTTCATTGTGCTCATTCACAAAGTCAAAGGGCCACAGAATATTACTCTGTATAACAGGTCAAACTGTCTAGAAATGCCATTTGGTGGTTTTATTCACATCCTTAAGATTGGAAGCTTTGTGTTTCACTACCAACCTTCTTTCTTTGCTGCATTAATCTGCAGAATATTTATTGTTTCTTCTTTCTTCTATGTTGAGATTCTTTTCACAGCCAGGGCTCGAATTCTCTTAGACCTTATTCCAATTGTCTTACAAAGCAGAAACTCTGACAATATTTCCTCCTGAGTACTCAGGGGATTCTGGCCTATCGTCTCCTTCTGGTGTGGTTACTGGAGGTGTTGGGATGCTTATTATTGCTGTAGTCACATAAGGTTGTTCACAGTTTAGTTTAACACACTCTTCCATTTTGGCATTTAAACTGGATCGGCTGATAGAAAAAAAAATATTTAGGAAAGTAAGTTGTTTACTTAAAATGTTTTTCATACAACTGAAGAATATGTGTTGTAATGCTTATAAAAATATTTTAATTGTCTAAGGAAAGTTATTATAATTAAAAATATGAAACACCAAATCTTAATCTATGTTAAAGATGAACATAGTAATTAACATTAAATAAATTTCTAAAAGACAGTTTGACTTGGTTCCATCAAGTATTTATCAAACTAAATGTATTATAAAAAAATGTAAGAAAGAAAGAGCTTCAAGTAAGATTTGGACAGCCTGGGCTGAGCAAAGAAGTTTTATTTAAGACAGACCTCTGAGAGGTTTGAGAAACCACTATGAAAGAGCCATATCACATTGATTTCTTAATTCCTTTGACCACAGAATATTTTTATTTTCATGTCTTTTTGGGATATATAATGCCCTCAAACCTCTGAACTTAATGATGATCACATATTACAGAAATAAAAAAATTATCTATTACTATCTAACACTTCAAGCTCCCAAATGGTATTATTGGATGAATTGTATACTCTATGTGGGGAAGGGGATAAAAGGGAAATGAGAGAGAAGGATATACACAGAAGCTTGAAACTGATTATTTTATTTTCATGGAAAACATAATTAAGATGTTTATGTCCTAAGATTTTCTTGCTAGATAATTTTCCATTGTCGACTTCACTTTATAAAGGATATAAAACTGCAAAGCTAAAATATCTTGAAGATAGAAGTCTTATGGCTCCTAATTTTAATTTTCTAGTCCCAGAGACATCCAATTTATGTAAATCAACATCACCTGAATTCAGAATCTCATCCAGATTTCAACAAAGACTTCTGAATGCCAACAAAGAAGAGGACTGAATTTACAGACTCTCACTCTAACAATATATGCTGTTCAATTTGAAAACAGAATAAAATTATTTTGGCAGAAACTGATTTTTAATGACATATATTGTTTAAATGTACAACTTTTTATTTTTACACATTTGTGGTAAAAACAGTGAATAAGGAAAAGCAAAGGAAATATATCAATATGGAAGTTTTACTTAATTTGTTCATAAACTAACCAGAGGCAAACAATTTTAGTACTTCACTTATTTTTTGTATTATGTTGATTTTGTGTTTGATATGGCCAAAAATACCTTTCTGATCAAAATTATATATTGATAGAAATGACTTATGTAGGCAAAGTTTTCATTTTTACTGTTACAGACAGTGTGTTTGTATATTTTTACATGCTGTTCAATAATTTTTAGCCATGTTGATCTCAATTTCATTTGACTCTTTTAGTAGTGTCCACCATCATTTCAGACTATTGAATATATAAGAGACTCCTGAGTATAAAAGTCCTTGCCCAAATAAGAAAAGGTTGTGGAACAGAAGAGAGAAAAACACATTTGTGTGCACTCAATCATCTCTTCTTCTTTCGACTCTTTTAATACTGATATAACCACTATTTTTAACCCTTAATGGATATGCAAGCAGAACCATTTTCCTACTTGTTACGCTACCATTTTTGTCTCTTCCTGAACCATAGGAGCTAGGGATTTAGATGCCATGTAAGTGACAACATGAGTGCAGAAGACACACCCTGGGAACCAGCACAGGTGTGTAGACAACACAGATTAATCTCAGGTACCTGTTAGACAGAGGTGTTCTCTCCACACATCTGATCTGAATCGTGCTGAGTTCTTGTATACTACCTTGATGGCTTCCTGATACATTGGCATTTGGGATGCGAAAAGTTTTTTTGTGTCGTCGTGAACAGCAGGTGCTGGTGACTCCTTGTTGTGAAGACAGTGAAGGACTGTGACTTGAAGGACGATTAACAGTTGCAACTTCCATGCAGCTTTCTTCAAAGACTTGTTCGTCCACAAACTCGTGATTCTGTTCCACAGTTGTAAGTAAATGAAGAAACAGAGAAGCACATTTTTAAAAACGAAATACATAGCTTTATTTTTAAAGCTCAAATCTGCCCAAGTATAGTTAGACTTGATACAATGGTTAAATAAAACCATTTTCATAAAGATTGACATCAAAACCACTTCTTTTTGGCATTTATGTGGAACTATCTCTGTAGTTAAACCTAGAGATTGACATCTGTAGGCTGATTTAGTGTCCCTTTATAGACTAACTTTATCTTGAAATATCATTTATTTATTTAAACATAAAATCTGGAAGGTATATGATAAGGAAAAAAAAAACCTAAAAAATGCATATAGATAAAACCCACAGGGAAATTAGAAATTCCCACTGACTTTATTTTTTAAAAAGGTTGAAGTTATGGAAAATAGATTATTTTAATAGGATGCCCCAAGTTAGATTGTCTGTTATATATTAGCAAATCTTTTCACATGGGAGTGAAAACATTTCTAAATTAGAAAATGAGACCCCTAAGACACTATCCATTTCTTTATATGTTCCTCTAAAAATGCCCAGTACAGAAAAATATGACTTATTCGTTACATAAGTAAAATATAATTGTCTGCCGAATGTGTCACTCTGTGTTCGACCCAGAAGGGATTAGCATTGAACTTTTGTGGCCTTTTTTGTAATCTTCGTAATACATCACTGGCATCACTGGCTGTACTCATGATCTCTGTATGCATTTGGGGTTTTTCCGTCACTATTTCCTAACTTCCAGCCCAGTAGCAAATAGCAATAGGCATCATTTCGCATATCGTATTTTATAGAAACATGGTATCAATTTTGCTTTTAAAATGTTTGACAAAAAACCTCCTGAAATGCCTATGGAAGAATTTCACCTCAGAAATATAAAGGAAAACATTTTTGGTCTGAACTACTAGAGAATGACCTCAATTACTATTTTGTTTTTCTTTGCATGGGTGGGGATAGTCTTATAATGGAAGGCTTTGCACATACCAAATTCCACTTAACCATCTCTCATCCTAAAATATGAGTAAAACAATTGAAGCAAGACACTGGCTAATAAGAAATAGATTATGTTTTAGCTACTCGTTTTGTCATTTCTTTGCTGAGACAAGCATTTTGAAATAAATGAAATTTAACATTCTACTCTTTAAAGTCTAGAGAATAATATAATCAGACAAGACAGAATTTCAAAGAAATATTTGAAATTAATATTTCAAATATTAAATTTCAAAGAAAAAATGGTGCACAAAAGATTCACAATCTGTTTCCTTCTCTTACAATGCATGGTTTCACATACCTAAGTTATAATGCATGAGATTCTAATTTGTCTCATCAGTGATTGAAAGTGCAGGAGTCATTCTGTTATTAGTTACTACATACTTTTGTAGGTAGCATAATTTATATTAGTTGGTGTTAGTGATTTTTGATTTTAAAAAAAGCCCTCAAAAAAGGAAAATACAGGGAACAGAAAAGATAGGAATAAAAATATTTTATTTATTTATTTATTTATTGAGACAGAGTCTAGCTCTTTTTGCCCAGGCTGGAGTGCAGTGACACTATCTTAGCTCACTGCAACCTCTGCCTCCTGGGTTCAAGCAATTCTCCTGCCTCAGCCTCCCGAGTAGCTGGGAATACAGGCTCCCGCCACCATGTCTGGCTAATTTTTTTGTATTTTTAGTAGAGACGAGGTTTCACCATGTTGGTCAGGCTGGACTTGAACTCCTGACCTCAGTTGACCCGCCCACCTTGGCCTTCCAAAGTGCTGGGATTACAGACGTGAGCCACTGCGCCTGGCCAACATTTTATTATTAATGTATCATTTAACTTTCAAATTTATCCTACTAGGTTACAGACCTGTCCATATCTTTATTTAAAAATGCAAGTATAATCATGTTACTACCTTGTTTAAAACATTTAAATGATTTCCATGAACTAAAGATCAAAATTGTCCACATGGCTGCAAAGCCTAACATTATCTGGACACTGCCTTTCCCTTCAGCTCCTCTTTTGCCATGCTACACTCTCTTCTTCTGACCACTCTTAAATTATTTCACTTCCTCCTAGGCTGAGTTCTTTCCTTCTTCAGGTACTTGTATCACCTGTTAGCCCCTTCATTGCTCTGCCTAGCTAACTCCTAGTCACCCTGCAGGTCTCCACTCAAGTTCCTCCAGGAAGCCTTGCCTGACCTGTCCCCTCATGGCTCTGCCCTCTTTACTCTCTTGACTGTGGCACCGTTGTTGCTTTCCATGTTCGCTGCTCTTTTCCAGTAACAGCCCTGTCTGGGATTTTGTTTTATAAACAGAGGCTAAATGGTAGCAGAGGCCACACCTCATTTCATGGCGTTTCTTGGGTCTGGCTCACTCTTGGGCACATAATAGGCAAGTAGTAAATATTTGCTGAATGACTCTATTGGTAAATAAGTACATGAACAGGCAATACTTTGGAACTGAGAATACAAATCATGTGTCACCCGAGAGTGAGTGAGCTGACATGATCCAAATATGGTGAAGATTTTGTTCTGCTCTGTGATTATCATAGATTATGACTCCTATTTACAAACTGGTTAAGAAATTGGTAGATTTGCCAATGAGGAGGTCCAAACAAGAGCTTGTAAGTGGAGAAATACAGACTCACTCCTTAGCACCCAAGGGCATACCAGTGATTACATGAGTCATTTTTCTAATGAGAATAGTTTCTATTATCTATCTCTATTCATTATGGTTGTGAATGAAACAAATGCTTATATTCCATTGTTCTCTGTTTTTTGTTATTGCTATTGCTATTCTCTTGATCTAGATGCTAGGGACCCTCGAGCACCATTAATTTTTTTCTGTCTAATTCGCATTTTAAGAATCACAGAAAATGATATTGTGTAGGATTTACTATTGGAAGACCACTCTTCATCTGCATTAACTGACTTCTTAGACTAGAGTTAAGACAGCAGCTAAGAATAAAACATTTTAAATAAGTTTCTAAAATACTTTCCAAATTGAAATGTCATTACATCTTTCAAAGTAATTTCAAATATTGTGGGGTTTTGGTTTGTTTGTTTTTTAGCATGTTTTCCAGTAATGCAGACAGTGAAATCACACTCGGAAGCATTAAGTATGCACAAAAGCAAATGGAATTACTGTCAGAGAGCAAGGGAAGGCAGTCATGCTGTCTCCTTACCGTGGTTTTTTCCAGGCAGTGAAGCAGGTGGTGGTGCTGGGTTTCAAAGCTGGAGCCGGATTTGCTAACAAAAGCCTGCTCATCCTCTGAGGACTGTTAACAAAGAGAAGACAGAAGAGCTTTCTATTTTATTTGCAAACAACTCGAACCTCGGCTACATATTTCCACAGAGAGATCTGCTCTATTAACTGGCAACATTTTATTTTTTTCTAACTAGAAAGGAACAAATGTGCAGTTCCTGTTAAGTTGGATGATCGGCATTTACAATTTCATCAAATGAATGGTCTGGTCTTTTAGACATGCCTCCTTGAATTGAAATTTGAAATCTCTTTTACTCATTCAACTAGCAACTATGTTTGTAAGATGGGAATCTGTTATGTTTTGATGATCAAATTTAGCATAGTGCTTAGAAAATTTTGAAACCACGATCATGTGCACGTAAATAAAAGCTATTTTGTAAGTAAAGATTGGAGTCCTAAATATTAAAGGAAAATTCTGGAGTAAAAATAAATTTTCTCAAATTGTAGTTTATGCCATATGATCTTCCTAACACTGAATAGTATTCCCTCTTCGTTATGAAGTAAAACAAGACATCATGTTAGCCACCCACCCCAACCCCTGACCCAAATGAACGTTAAGGAAGATAAATTTGAAATGAAAAAGAATTAGGCATTTGAATTATTAAGCATTTTTTTTTACCTTTACCATGTTAATAAGAGACAGTGTAGAAATATTGCCCAATGATGAATAGGCATCATGATTCACTGGCAGTATTTCATAGTGAAGTTTCTAACCTTCTACAGCCAACAAGGATGTACAGGGTGAAGTTATTAAAAAAACACAAACAAACACACTTTTGTTGTTTGGATAGCCATTGTCATAATTAGCCATAATAAAATTATAGGAAAGTAGAACTAAATCAATATTAAACCAAGAAATTGAACATTAAAAAAAGAGATGTAATTGATTGTACCTGCAGCTGATTACTGAGTAAACCATTCCGTTTGCTCTGCATGTAAGCATTTGCGCTTCCGCTTTTGGCTGCCCGGATCCTGGCCAGTCTAGCTTTCTATAGGAGAAAAAATAAACATCCCATTAACATTTATAAATCGTTTCCTTAAAACAGTGAATGAACCCTTGTATAATCCTATTGTCAGCCTACATATTTTTAAAAGTAAGCCAGCTTTTCAAATGCAACTATTGAAAATTACCTCTCTACCTTTTTAAGTGCTTTATTTCAGTTAATATTTATCAGTAAAATCAATGAACTACCTTGGAGCTGGCTTATGCCTTTAAGAATTATAATTAAGTCTTTACAATAAGATCAAGTTATTTCATTATTGTTTCTTTCAATTCTGTCAAAATAAAAATAGCAGTATTACTTTACTTATATTTTCATTTATCCCGATCTGAGTAACTTAATGAAATGAAGACCGGTAGCTCAGGAAACCAGCTGCCAACTCCTTTTCGTTTAAACTAATGTCCTTAAAAAAATTAGTAACTAAGTACCAAGAACTGATTGCCTTCCTTCCTTCCTTTCTTTTTTTTTTTTTTTAAGAATCATTATTCATCTATATCTGCATCCTCCAATATAAAATTATATTTTTGCAATTATCCTTTAAATTAGCCTAGGTAGATCCCATGCCAAACAACATGGACTCTCTCTCTAAACAAACAAACAAACAAACAAACAAATAAACAAAAACAACTGTGAATTTATCTACTTTGTCTACCGGCACGGGTCCGCACGACTGTATGTGCATCTGATTTGTATTTCACTCTTGAACTGGCTGAAATGAAGAACATAGTAAGCCTATCCAGAGAGATTTAAACATTGTTTTTCATTTTTAAAGCATTTTGTGTGTGTGTGTCTGTAGAGAATATCCTTCAATGTAGAGGGTTTAGGTGGCCAGTTCAATTGTTCCTTTAAGTTACAGTTAGATCCCTAAAGTGAAAGTACTAAGGATCTGGCTGTGTAGCCAGATTTCTGATATTCCATTCTACTTTCTAACTGCTGTTGTTGACGTGCATTTAGACCGTCATGGAAACAGTCTCGTTTTCCCTTCCTGGACAGCACTATTTTGGTGACCATTCTATTTGTATTACATGTAGCTAGCAAGTGTATGTAAAACAGAGACTGGGATGGCTTAGATAAGTTTCCTGTAGGCTTATCTCACAAAACTTCTTCTTTTTCCCTTCTAAACAACCTAGAAAAATACTATCTTTAGTCTCAAGTCCTGGAATGCTCTTTTTAATAAAAATTTTAAAATTATCTAGATTTTTTAAATGAAAAATAAATATAAACATATGACACAATTTTTAATACTACAGAAGTGCATGCAAACAATTGTCTCTGACCCTGGAGCCATCCCACTCCTAGGCTTCAGAAACAATCACTGGTAATATTTCTAGAGAATCCTGTGAGAAATTTTCTGAGCATAAAAGAGCAAGTAGATATATTCACATGTATATACACATACATTTTTACTCCAGAGAATACTCTGCACACTCTTCTGCATTTAGTTGTGTTTTTTAATTACATCTCAGAACTCTTTCCGTATATGCATATAAAGATCCACCTCATTTTTAATGAATGTATAATATACCACGGTATAAACAAATAATTATTTATTTACCAGGCCAACTGCCAATTAATTTTTAAAGCATCTTTGGCAACTATAAGCAAGGCTGCCTGCTTTGAATATGATGATGAGCTTATCTACAAGACATATTTCTGAAAGCAAAATTATTCCTGGACCAAAGGGAGTGCGTGTGTGTGTGTGTGTGTGTGTGTGTGTGTGTGTTTCTTTTGTTAAGTCTTACCAAATTTCCCTCCAAAGTTATTGTACCAAGATGCCTTTCACACATATCATTTGAGAGTAGCACTGAGATGTGTGAAGCTCTCAAAATCGCATTAAGATATCATGTCTTTAACTCCACCCCTCTTCCCTTCCTTCCTAAATTTATTCTTCCTGTGTGCTGATTCCAGGTTAAAATAATATACTTTGTACAAAGACCATATTTATAAATGATGAGAAAATTAGACAAATTTCATTCTTTGTTGGAAACATAATGTTTAGATCACTCAAAATACTGACACAATAGTAGAGAATGAAATTGGAAGGTAGAAAAATTTTAACTTCAAAAGCTGGGCTGCAGTTTCAGGATTTCAGACCAGACTCAGTGAAACAGTAGCAAGTGAAAAGGACATTTGGAAACAACTCAGAATTAGCTTAATAATTCAGAAATAAGCAATTTATATATTGGTTTCCAAAAAGGGATTATTGTTGAAATTTCAGTCTTCAAGTCTCTTTAGTCTCCTGGAACATTCATTGCCTTTCTACTCCTGACTCCCAACTCCTCCCTCCCTCCCTTCATTCTCTAAGCATTCAGCAGCAGCATTGGGTAAAACTGTTTTCTTTTATTAAGAAAACATATACATTAACCAAAAATACAGTCCAGCAAAATAAAATGACATATATTTCTCATCATATAATGGAAAGCCTACATATGGTGGCAAACACTACTGCAGAAGTAGTTCTAAGCTTAGGGAAAAAGAAGTTGCTTTAGAGACAGACTATCCATTTTTGCTAAGTCATGCAGCGTGTTAGAAAAAGAACTTCCCATCTAAATTTCAATCATGGCTTTTCTTTGACCCGACTACAATTCCATAGGAGTTAATTGGTTTAATTGGTCTTGCGGAGCACCACAACAAATGCCTGTTGAATGCTAGCCTTCATGACTTGTGATTACAGCAGGTAATTGAGGGAAATTATTTTACAAAGATATTTTAGGAAATCATCTTACTTCTGAGCCACTCAGTATGACAATCTTGGCAGCACCAATTATGTAATTGGGAGGTTAAAAGAAAGCCATCTGCTGGTAAAAAGAAATGTATTCCTTTCAGTCTCTTACCCCCGACCCTTTTAGGACATACAACTTCTGGCATGGCAAAGTACCAGCAAATAATATGGAAGTTGGAGAAAAGTTTCAGTAAGTACTTTATTTTAGCTGTATGAAAAGTAGGAGACTTCTTAAATTTTAATTAAAGCAAGGTTTACATTTTCAGTGTAAAAAAAGCTTCATAGTTATTTTCAAATAATTTATTTGCCTTAAATGGTGATGGTATTTGGAAAAAAGTTGTCTGTCTCATAAACATATTCTTCCTATGCATCCCAATTCTTCATAGCTGCAGCTTTTGTCCAATCATCTAATCTTAGCAGGATTTCTCAAAGTTGGTTCCAAGGAATTCGTAAGTGTGGTAAGTAAAATCTAAATCAAACAGATGAAGCAAATGACTGGTTCTGTGGTCAAGAAAAGGCTGGGAAATGCTGAGGTGTTAAACAGGTTCCTTTGCTCCCGGGTTCCTCACACCATATGACATTGTGGATGATCACTGTGAGAAGAACAGGGATATATAATCTGCAAATTTCCTCAAACTAATTTGACATAGAAATCTTGTATTGTGAAGTACTCACAGGCTAGAATGCAGTGGAACACAATGGGTTTTATCAAGTAGATTGTTTTTTAATTACGCCAAGTGACATAAACTTTATAGTTTATGTTGTGGAACAGAGGGTGGAAGTCAATCTGAGAAGGATCTATAAGCCAAACACCACTGAGACATTGATTTCTTTAAATGGTCAGTCATTTCTAGATGAGGTATGAGGTAGATTAAAGGAAGTTATTGGGCCATCTTGTTACCAAATCACAAAATCTTTTGAAAAATAAAGGTATCCTAGGTAGCCTTAAAAGTGAGGTAATGAAGGTGTTTCTCTTTGGTAATTCCTTATTCCTCAAATGCCTGCCTCCACACTCCCTGTAACATGCATTCTGGAAATTTTGCTTACAGTTGTTTCTTTCATTTAAGGGTTAGTAAAATGCCTCAGTTTGAGGTAACATAGTAAACTTTATCACCTTTTAGAAGTTTAAGGCATTTATTGGAATCTTTTCACTTGCTAAGAAAAATAGCTGTGCTAGAAATGAGACAAGTTAGTACCAAACTACAATAAAAAGAGAAGAAAGAAGTCAGTGGCAGACAGTGCAACATTCCTAGGTCCAGAACTTGGTTAATCCTGGAGATGGCAGGGCTAAGCAGAAAAAGGGCTGGGATTTGGGTTAGTGGAAGAGGCTAAGCAATGAGAGGTCTACAAGAGGATTCCATGGTGGAAGCGGTGAGAACTGAAAGAGGATATAGGAGAGCATCCAAGACCAAATTCTTAGGTGGAATTAGGAGCTGGGTAATTTTGTTTTTAACAGTAGATAACCTAAGAGATCATTCTCAGGTTCTAGCAAGTAGTTATTTCTTGCTTTTTCATTATTCTACTTAAATAAAAATCTTTGATTTTGACATTGCTGAATGTACTAGGCAGTGGTTCTCAAAATGTGGTCTTCCAAACAGCAATATCAGCATCACCTGGGAATTTATTAGCAAAATTTCAGGTTCTAACCCAAAACTACAGAGTCTGATGATTTGGGAGTAGGGCTCAACAATCTGTTTTTTGTTTTGTTTTTTTTTTTTTTGTTTGTGTGTGTGTGTGTGTGTGTGTGTGTGTGTGTGTGTGTGTAAGCTTTCCAGATGATTCTAATGAATCTAAAGTTTGAAAACCACCCTAGCAGGGTGTGATAAATGGCAGACTACATATGGGTAGTGTCTTTCTAAGTCAATGTGAAATTTAAAAATATTACACTATACATTGGCTCATTGATTCTAAACTTCTCACTGCATTTAGAATTATCTATAGGAATATCCTAAAATATTCATAGTTCAAATAATACTAGAATTTTTTTGCCTTGGACTTTAATCACTAGGTTTGTGAGCATGAGCAAGTTATCTGTAAAATGGAAATAGTATACTTCCTTTGCAAGTTGATTGTGAATATTACAAAAAAAACAGATATAAAACACCTGGGACATTCTAGAAACTAGTGAGGGTTTTTGTTGTTGCAATTAGTATTATTAAATTATAACTATAATTACTACTATGATTATTATATGATAATTACTCACAGGTTAGCCTGTGAGTATGCAGATGATTAGGTGATGTGATCCATATATTAAAAGAGCTGCTTCAAAATGTCAACCTGCCACTTGTCATTGCATTAATCTAGCTTTATTTTGGCTAATACATTCTACTCAGTAAATACTTATAGTATAACTACGAGAATCAATAAATCTATTAAAATATAATTACCAATGGTGGGAGTAGAGGAGAGGTGTCACAGTTTAGGCCTATACCCACCAGCATGTCAGTATTTAGTTAAGACTTTATCAATGATTGATAGAAATGGGGTAAACCATGTATTCCCTGTATATGGCAGGAGTGGACAGCAAAAGTAGGAAGAGTACTTGCAAATGGAAGAAACTAGAAGAAGGAAAGTATTTCTGATAGTGATGATAGGAATTTTCTAAAATTAATATTGTGTCTATTTCATGCTTTTGCTTGGTCTTAGTGTGGCAATTGAATTAAACACCAAAAATATGGTCTAACAAACCATTTTGTAATATTACTTTTATTAGTCAGTTGGACTGACGTTTTTACTGAATTGAATGCTTGCTTGACTGAATTAGCTGGTCATTTTTGCATAACTTTAATATTTGGCACATAGCCCAGTCCCAGATAAATAAACTGTCTTAGCCTAATGGGCGTTTGTTCTGCTTTTTTTTCCCCCTAATCTCTTGGGAAGGAAAATAGAAAATATCCCCTGGTAACTTATTTAGTTCATATCCACTGTTCTTTCTTAGAAGATTATGTTCAGTTTATTGGTCACAGTCTACATACTGGACATATTATACTTGGTTATTATATTTTACTTTATTAATCCAATTTTTTCAGTAGTAAAACTCTGTAAAATTCATTGCATTATGGCAGAAACCAAAAATATAGCAAATATTTAAAGATACCAAAAAGCATTCACAAAATATACTTTTCAATTAGTGTACTTTTAGAATGTCACATTATTTACTTTTGATTTCTAAATGTATTTTAGTATTTAATATTTAGTAGACCAAAAGGCTTCTAAAATATTCTAAGGTTTTCTTTATTGATTTCTTTGTTGCAGATGACAAACTCTGAAGAAATACAAGTGTTTGGGAAATTGGTTTATCGGAAATTTAGATTTGTGCTTTCTATAGTTTTCATACAGTTGGCTCTTATACTAAAGGAGAAATGTCTAGAATGGAGATAGATGGGTGGTTGAAAGTTAAACTTTTGGTAGGATCCTGTTATTTTAGACAATGTGTGTTTGTACTCAGTAGAGGGACTGTACTGTATGGGCAGCGTCATGAGTGTGATGTTTGAAGGTCCCTGGTGGTGGGGTCAGTTGTGGCTGAAATCCCTTTACCTCTGCTTGCCAAGGGTATGTATTCCCTACATAAGACTACAACTGTCCAGAGGGTGCCTTTTTCTACTCCTCCCTATTCGTTAGATGATCAGTTCTCTATATCCATGTTGACTGGACTATTTCTAACTCTTCTCTGTAATAATTAAAGGCTAGGCATTTGTCCAAAAATGAAGGGTTCCATAAAGCAAGTAACTACAGAGCTTGAAAAAGTGATTCTTTGCTAAAGGAAGAAGATCTTTGACAGTGGGCATAAATTAGTTCTCTGGACAAATATGCTGTGTGGCCACAGTGATTAACTAGAACTTTCCAAAGACTTACTTTATGAGATTGTATACTTTACTTAAGAGGCTGACATTGTTCATATGCGTGCTTAAGATCCCGTTCTGGAATTACCTACAAAGCCAGTGAATAACTATATCAAAGTCTCTCATGATATTTTGTAGTTATAACACATCACCTAGGTTGTGCATCTACTTTAGTCATGATTATGAATGGTTTTGGATATTTTTTAAAAAATGAAACTATCCTTAAAGGACAAAGATATAATGACCATGAAGAACACTGGAAATACAGTGCCATAAGTCCAAAGGAAACTACAAAAGAGATTTCCAAGATTATTTCTAAGCAACAAGGGCCCTGCCTCTCAAGGTGACTATTTTGACAAAGATTGGGGAAGGGAAGTATGCTAACATTTACATAGCTTTTCTGAGAGGCACTTTATCATAGTGTTTGTGTATATGAACCTGGGAGCCAGAATGGCTTGGATGGAATGGTGGATCTCCAACTTAACAGGTATGTGACTTTACAATTGCTTAATTTGGGGGTACTTGAGGATTACCATCTATAAAAATGAGGATAATAATGGTAACTAACGCCAGAGTTTTTGTGAAGGTTGTATGTGTTGACTCAAGTTTAGCCTAAAGTTGCCTCCTTACATATTTTAAGTTTAGCCTAAAGGTTTCTCTATGCATAGTGAACTGTAACTTACATGGAGGAGTAAACAGACTGTAACCCACTCTTGTGCCAACCGCTGAGTTTTGGCCAATCAAAGGGGGCCAACTGTTCAAACTGTGTTCAAATAAGGCAAACGCTGAGCTATAATCAGTACAATTGTTTCTGTACCTCACTTTTGTTTTCTGTATGTCACTTTCCTTTTACTGCCTGTAAATCTTTTTCTACCATGCGGCTGTGCTGGAGTTTCTGAGCTTACTCTGGCTTCAAAGGCTGCCCAATTCATGAGTTGTTCTTTGCTCAATTAAACTTTTCAATTTAATTTGGCTAAGGTTTGTCTTTTAACATATGAATTCTTTTGTGAAAAACATTAGGCTAATGTCTGACACATATAAACCATCAGTAAACATTAAATATTGATAATATGATGTGTTTATATAAATTTACATATACTTGTATATAATCTTAATCTTATTATTTATTATTTTCCCCATTTTACAGTTGAGTGTACGCTATGCTTATTCTTAGAGGGATTAATTACCTGGCATGAAGTTCAAACAAACGGTAAGCTGCTGGGACGAGAATAAAATTCAGCTACAGATGATCAGATTACTTCTTGTGTCAACTATGTAAAATATCTGAGACACATCTTGGTGACCTTTAATAACCCTCGTCTACTGGAACCAGTTTGACCCTTGATAGATAGAGACTCAATGAATCAGATCTAGAAATCTGATTTTAATAAAATTTGCCAAGAATCTGTTTCTGATTTTGCTACTGTCATTAGTGCTGTTCGTCAAATATTTCTTATTTTCTGCTTCTGGCCCCACAGTAGAATTGTATTTTCCTGCCCACTTTGAAATTAGACATTGCTGTGTGATTTGCTTTGGTTAATGCAATAGACAAGAAAGTGACTCAAACCACTTCCAGGAGGGACATTAGGAAGCAGTGTGTGATTCATCATGCCCTTTACTCCTGCTGGAGTGACTGCAGAAGTACACTGTCAAGATGGACTCTCTATTCTCTGGACAAGTAATGGACTTGTAGCATGATTCAGAAATATTGCTTATTGTTTTAAGCCACTGAGATGTTACGTTTCTTTTTAGTGTAGAATAACCTACTCGGTCCTGATTGATGCAACTACTGACCAATCCAGAGCACTGAATAACCATTAAGAAATTTTAAAGCTCATTATAAAAAGTGGGAAGTGCTAAACCATGGTTGCACGGAGTTGAATACGCACCTTTTGTGCCCTTCGTTTGTCTGCTCGTTGATTCTGGTGGTAGATGCGACTGAAGTTGGATACAATCACCGGAACAGGTAGAGCAATGACCAAGACCCCACTCAGCGAACAGATA
This sequence comes from Homo sapiens, assembly GCF_000001405.40. NCBI lineage: Eukaryota > Metazoa > Chordata > Mammalia > Primates > Hominidae > Homo > Homo sapiens. Next base: position 120,732,950 of record NC_000007.14, on the reverse strand, counting down.
GAACCAAAAATCTTCCCTGCTATGGTTTTTGGCACCATGTCACCATACCTGAGTTAAAGAAAAAATATATATATATTGTTTTAAGTCACAGAAAGACATTTCTACCTGAAACTAAGAATTTTTTCCTTTAAGTCAAATGATTTTTTGGACATATCTATTTCTACTTTGTGACTATAATATATATGGCTTCAGACTTTAATGTCAGAAATTATAAATATCTGAATATAAAAATTACCTTTCAACCTTATAGAAAGTGATTCTAACATTAAGTAATCTTTTTGATTGGAAAATATTTTAAGTCAGATGATGTAATGATAGCTCTTCAATTTTTCCTTTATATGCCATGACACAGTTCTTTACATTTATTTAATACTCAATAATTCTATGCTGAAATTTAGAGTCTGGATAACACAATTTTCCACTTAGTTTTTTCAACATTCAATTGGTTATGAAATTTAAGTAGAAAAAGTAGCACATCACATTCCTTTCACCAGATGTCATCATTTAAAAAATAAACTTTTCAAGGTCCCCATTAACCTTCACTTGTGAAATCTAATGGCCATTTCTCCATAAAAATCTAACTCAATCTCTCATTTGTAGCTTATTAGTTGACTATTCTCTCCTTGAAAGACTCCTTTTATTCTTGGCTTTAGTATTAGAAAATATTCTTATTTTCCCTCCTATCTCATTGGCTACCACTTCTCCATCTTTTTTTCTGCCTCCTTTCCCCTTATCTGATTTCTAAACCTTAGAGTACTTTAGGTCTCAGTCTTCCGTCCTCTTATCTTCTCCATATAAACCCACTTCCTATGTGACTTTGTCCAATCTCATAGCTTAAAACTATCTCTATGCAGCTGATGCTCTTGATTTATATTGACAGCCATGATGTCTCTCCTGAAAATCAGATTCATATCTTGAGTGGTCTGGTCTGATTATTTCTACCCCTGGATGCCTAAGAGCCCATTAAAATTTAAATTAACCAAAATGGAACTCTCATTTCCCTAGCTTCCTCTTCCTCTCTCAAATATTTTCCCCCCACAATTCTGCCACTTATAATTAAACATAATCACCACCATGCAGTTGTTCATACCAAAATTGGAAGAGCCATCGCCTTAATTGCCAGTATCAACGTTTCATCTCTTAGCTGGTCTTGTTGTCTCTGTGCAAACCAAATTGTATCCCATTCAAGTCTCTTTATGACAATAAACCAAACCGTGGTCATTTCTTGCCAGAGCCATAGATATAGCTTCTTACCTGACTCTCCTTTCTACATTTAGCACTTTACAATTCATGCCAACATAGCAGCCAGAACTTTGGTTTTAAAAATGGAGATTGGACTACTGCTATGTTGCTTAAACCCTGACATGGACTTGAAACTGAAATAAATCCAAACTCCTCAGTTTTGCCTCCAAGGGCCTACCTCATTTAGTTCCTGCCTGTATTTTACACCACCTTTCACCAAGCTCACTGGCCTCTGGCCACACTGGCCATCTGGCCTTCTGTTTTGTGTGCAGCCCCCAGATGGTGATTATTCAGGGTGCCATTTAAATGTCTCCATCCAAGTGATTTTCTGGCCACCTAATTCACAGTAGTCTTATTCTCTTTCCTATTCATTCTCTGTAACATTTCCTCATTTGACTGTCTTCAGAGTACTTATTAACAAGTAACATTTTCTTATTTATTGATTTATTTTTTCACTCCTCATCCACCCTACTGACATTAGAATGTAAAATTGCTAAAGCAGGAGCAGTTCTACTTTGTGTTTCGTGAGCATAAGGCCAGCTCCTACTACATATTAGTTGAATGAGTACACTTTCTCTTCTTTACTGATGGAGACTTTGTCTAGAGTGCACTCCTGGGGCGGGGGACAAGGAGGAGTTCTTTCCATCTTACTATTGCCGAAGTTACCCAGCTGTGTCTGAGCTCCAACTACTCCATGCTTACTCTGGGGCTTTGGAGAGCTCAATGCTCAGAGAGTGTAGTCCTGAGAGACAGGGATCAAAGGAACTCACATACTAGAATCCATGCTCAAGGGAGTTTAGGAGGACTTGGGGTTATATTGTATCTTGAGAGGTAGCCTAGGCAATAGTCACTCTAACATTGTTTTGTGGGAAAACATATGTGTGTCAATATGGAGATGGAGAGGAATTGGCTGAAGAAAAACTGTTGAGAGAGACAGAAGGTGATACTATCTAGTGCCACATTTAGTGACCCTATTCTGAGCTCTGGTCCTTTGATTTGAAGATCCAGGTACTCATTCCTGTTGGTGTTTGTGGGTGATCAGTAGTTGAGCTAATTTAACATAGCTGAAGTTCCCACAAGGCTTTGGCACCAGAATAACAGTATTAATTTATAGTACAAAAATAATAACCTAAGAACCAGAATGCTGTGTTCATATAAAACACGATCTCCTTCTATCTGGGAAGCTAAATTATAATCTAAAGGTTATGTTAGTGAAGAAACAGTGAAAGCTAAAGGAATTTAGAAGATGATTTTCAAAAGTCTTGGGGATATTCTTACTGTAGAGGTATGTCAGTGGGATTGGAAGGTCAACTCCTTTTTATACAATGCTGTGTACATATGAGCCAAATTATGTATCTGTCACAGTTCACATTGAATGTCCAGTCATATTTTATACACAATGTTTTTCCCCTTCACACTGATTATGCAGTAAGCCCCAGAGAAGGTACATACACAGACACACACACGCACGCGCGCACACACACACACGGCTTTTAAAAAAGGGATTTGATTTTTAATAAAAACTCAATTATTTATTATGGCTAAAGAATACAAGGACTGAGTCCATGTAATTAAAATAAGCCTTTTAAAATATAAATATATAAACTAGCTAAGTGAATCCATCATATAGTTTCTCTTGCCCTTGAAAGATTTTTAAAAATCATTATTTACTGTTTACTTTTTGTATTCTAGGATCACTATGTCATAGGATAGGCAAGCTCAGCATACTTGCAATTATTAGAGAAAATTACGAAAAGTAAGGAGATACACCAGTTTATTGAAAGGCAGCAAATTCACAGTCTAGAAGGATTCATAAGGTAAAAGAGGTTGCAGATACATAAGCTTCGTGTCATAAAGCTAGGCTAATCTACACCAAATAAAATATTTATTTTTTAGCTCTACCATCTCTTTGTTTTATAATCCAACATTCCTTCACAACTGAGAAAACACAGGTGAGTATTTGCAAGGACTGGGCAGGACTGCAATGATTATGGTGAGAAGAGGAAGGGGGCACAAAGTGTTCATCAGTGGGAACATCTTCTCTCACGTTTATGCTCTTGGGTAGAGACACAGAGTTTCCCCATGTTATAGCCAGTTAGGATGGTCTCCAAGGCTCTGCTGTTGTGAGAGAAAGCAGAGGAGATGGTAAGAGAATACAAGGAAGTAGAACAGGCAGGGGTGCTAAGACAGTCCAGGCTGTCCTGCAATTTCTCATGTAAGGACAGCCTGAGCCCTTGGCTGGTTCCCATGGAACACCAGCTGCCTTCTTCCTCATACTCCTTGGTACAATTTACATTACTCTTTCTATCCTTCTCCCTGCTCCCTTTATCAGTTTAAAGTTGACTGCTGTTGATATTTGTAATATTTTAAGCATATCTCACTATTCGAATATGTTGGAGAAGAGCAAAAAATATAGTATGATTCATGTCTGTTTTTACATTACTCATTTTGTCTCTCTTCTCATTTAGTAGTGACCTGGAGAAATGGAAATGGGTAATTTTTATCTGCAACTTGTAATTGAGCACAGAATCTGCTAGGGATGGGATATATCTCACTGGCAAAACCAGCTGCTTTTCTTTGTTTAACAAAAGATCTTCTAACTAGTATTCAAACTCACAGCAAGAAGCAAAACAGCATTATACACCTCAGGAATCACATCTCTCTGAAATTCCGTGGAGGAAAGGCTTAGAATAGAAAGCTTATATTGAGAAGTGACACCGTGGTGAAATGATCATTGAAAGTTTAAGTGTTTCTAAAATACTGCCACCTTTTAATGATTATTTATATCCTAGGCAACTTGGTTTCCTGTTGGTACTTTATTATTTATATTCAATATAAAAAAATATATCTCATTTTTCCTGACTCCTTATTTGTAAATTTATGCTAAGCCCAGTAGGATTATTTATTTCATTCTTTCTGTTTTTCTTTAGAATTTTATATTATGTACTCAGTCGTTGAAAAATCATTTCCCAAAAAAAGTTACACCAAAACATGACATAATGTGGGGTTTATATTCATATATATATTTTTTCTGTATTTAATAAGATTGATTAAAAGACTACAAGAAGCCCCTAAAGCCTAAGAAAATAAAGAATGAATTCGCAAAAACATAAGAAGGAGGCTGGGTGTAATGGTTCACGGCTGTAATCCCAGCACTTTGGGAAGCAGAGGCTGGTGGATCATCTGAGTCAGGAGTTCAAGACCAGCCTGACCAACATGGAGAAACCCCATCTCTACTACAGATACAATGTTAGCCGGGTGTGGTGGCACATGCCTGCAGTCTCAGCTACTTGGGAGGCTGAGGCAGGAGAATCTCTTGAACCCAGGAGGCAGAGGTTGCAGTGAGCCGAGATGGCGCCATTGCACTCCAGCCTGGGCAACAAGAGCGAGACTCCATCTCAAAATTTTTAAAAAAAAAAAAAAAAAGAAGAAGAACGAAACAAGAGAATATATCATGAGAGAATAACTATCAAATATTTTAGATAACACAGCAACTTGAACATCGTTAATTGAAAGGAAACTTTTCCCTATACTCTTTTCTTTTCTTTTTTCTTTCTTTCTTTTTTTTTTTTTTTTGAGACGGAATCTCCCTCTGTTGCCAGGCTGGAGTGCAGTGGTGCCATCTCGGCTCACTGCAACCTCTGCCTCCTGGGTTCAAGCGATTCTCGTGCCTCAGCCTTCTGAGTAGCTGGGATTACAGGCACATGCCACCACACCCAGCTAATTTTTGTATTTTTAGTAGAGAAGGGGTTTCACCATGTTGGCCAGGATGGTCTTGATCTCCTGACTTTGTGATCCACCGTCCTCAGCCTCCCAAAGTGCTGGGATTACAAGCGTGAGCCACCGTGCCCGGCCCCCCATACTCTTTCTACTCTCCCCTGCTTCTAAGTTTTCCTTCTTTCTCCTATATTTACTATGTCAGTAGAGCCACCAGTTTCCTTCTGCTCCTTTTTCACCCTGGACATCTGCCAGACCTCATGTTTATGGCTCCCTTTCTTCCTCATATCGGTTAAAAAGGTACAACATGGAAGTGCCTTTTGCATAAAAATGTTAATTCTAAATTTGCGTACTTCCCAAAAATACTGGCTAAAATTTTATATTTTGCCAAATATTGAAGATTATTTTGGGTGGAAGACCAATTCCTCAGAAGAGATTTAAGTTTTGGCTATTAAAGATTTGTCTCAAATATTATCAAAAATTTTCATGCAAAGTTCTTGAATTCTGGCATGCACTCTACTTAATACTAAATCTCATGAAATCTGATTAATTCAGGCAGACAATGCATCCATTCATCCATCTATCCATCTTCCTATTTATCAAGTAATATTGATAGGTTGAAAATATGCATAATTTTAAAACATAATTCATTGTAAACCAAATGTTATTGACACCTTACTAAATATTTCCCTGTTTAGTATTTCTTCAGAAGTTGCATGACTAGTTCAGAAGTTGCATGATGTGGCTGTCTTTATATCTCAAATGGAGAAATATTTCCTTGAATTTTCTTACACCATCTTCAAACAATACTGTTAGCTTCCTAGTCCTATTCATATAGTTTCTATTTTTTCTCTTTTTATTTGATGGGTATAAATGTATGTTCATTTGATAGAGTACAAATGTTATATGAGGCAAATCTCCCTAGCTAATGCGTGACTTTCCATCTCTGAAAGTATGTCCCACACACACTAAAAGATAAAACAAAAGTCATGTAATTGATAAATAATCATGAAGATAGAAGAGATCCTTGTACAACAGGAAGAAAATTCTGATTTTAAAATAAACCTTGATGCTTACTGTAACTCAATCTCTCACATTATCTTTTTCATTTTTTACAAGGAAAAATTGTGAATTACTAGGTATAAGGAATAGAATGAATGAACAGATCCTGTGCAGGTGCACAGAAGTTCAGGAGCATTCTGTACATTGTATAGGGCAGTTGCTGGTTCAAAAAAATGCTGCATTTCAACTACTACAATAATTAAAAGAAACTCACATGGGACATGAATCAGTATTTGGAGTGTAAGTATTTGAAAAGCAGGTATCCTTTAAAAAGTTAGATGAAAGTAAGTAATGTGTATAATGCCCCGGTGAAAGCCGTTAGTTGATTATGTGTGTACGTCTATGTGCGTTTAAATTATTGACCTATCCACTGAATTTTTCTCTTTGACCAGAGTGTTAGTCTGAGAGGTCTAAGAAACAATTTCTTCTGACCTGGAAGCTGGATCACTTTGTAACTAGTAATTCTACCCCTTAGGGTCTGAGTATCTATGTTATTCATGGATTTTCTGCCATCAGCTTGGTATTCTAGAAGGATCACAGTTTGATGGATGATTTTTACAGTAGCTGTAATGTTTGCAAATAGCAAATGACCTTTTTTTTGAGTGTTGTTACATAACACCTGCTTGTGGTATTGAACTTGTTTGCCAGAGGGGCCCTGGTATTACTTCACAATAGGCAGATTTCTCTTTGACATTTTAAAATCGATATTTGCCTAAAAAGTTGCCTTGATTTTGTCTCCACCTCTCTTGCCTGGAGGATCAATTACTATACGATCAAAGCCCAAGAACATTTTTTTTTGGATCAGCTAATGTATGTAGTTGTTTAAAGTATTCTGCGTTATTTCTTGTTTCAGCCAAATTATGAGCTACTGTTAACTTTTAACAGTGTATTTTAAAAAAACTGTTTCCACTATTCACAGCATTAATAATCTTAATTAGCGCCCACTAAATGAAAGCGGAAGCTAGAGGATTCCACACCCTAATTAGAGATTTTTACCTCGGAGTCTATGAACTTTCAAGGAGTGCGTGGATAAATTCAAGGGAGTCAGGGAACTCCATGATACTATATGTTTTCATATGCATTTTCATGAAAAGTGTTTTCACAGGTGTTATTAAATTATCCAAAGTGTTATAGCCCAAATAATGTTTAAAACTTCTCATTTGAATACTTAAGATACTTAAGGGAGTATCGATGTTAAATATTGTCAACATAAAGAGTCTGAACTCACAATGCACGAAGGAATTGCTGAAAAATATCAGCATTATTTTACAATTGCAGAAATACCAAATACCCGCTAGGGGGCATAAAAACCTAAATGAAAGTTTGGAAACAAACCAGGTCTTTGCTGGTTTTCACAAGCTGAGAGCGAGAAAAGTATTTCCAGTAAATTGCCTGTACCGATTCCTTATCTTTTGCCTGCACACATGTAATATTTAGGCTGTATTTTGGGCATCTTATTCCTCTGGAAATAGTTGACCCCTACCCCACAAATTTCATAAATTATCTATTTTCAAGGTGTTTCCAAAAAGATGCAAAAATAATTCCGACAGCATTTTGTGTTTCTTTTACAAAGATAAGTAATTTTCTCTAATGCTAGGTATCGCTAAGGCACAATTTTAAATAAGAAACCCTTAATTAGGACCCTTAGTGTGAAAATTACATGAAATTAAAGGATTAAGATTTGTGTATAGAAAAGAAAAAATCAAGGAAAGAACTAAGATGATTTTAGCACATCTACTCAACATTCTCAACATTTATACAGTAAACCCTCAATGTGGGATTTCAGCAGGGCTTACTGACTGCGTTCTTTAGCTTGTGCTTTTTTAAAAAAACCAAATTCTTTCCTGTTTCCTATTTTTTTCCTCTTGCTTTTAGCCTATTATATGATTATGGCAAGGCTTTAAAGGTTATAAATGGAACATATGATTTTGACCTAACATTCTAATGAAGTGTTTTTTACCTAAATGAATGTCATCAGTAAAAGACTATATAGTCTCCTTTACAGAATATTTTATGTTCAAAATATGCCTTTCAGAGCCATGTTTTTAACACTTTATTCCCTCATTTTATAAAATTATGATTTTTAAAGAAGTTATGAAAATAGATGTACAACTGATTACTGAGAGGTACACATTAAAAACAAACAAAAAAACCCACTAGGGACTGGCTTTCCCAGCTGTGGAGCCACCGGAAATATTTTCCTGTGCTTTGAGTTCCTAGTCTTTGTTGCCTGGAGCTATCCTTTCACTCTCACATATCTGTGAGTCTGGTCATGTCATTCTCCTGCATAAAAGCCTTCAGTGTCTCTCCATCACCTGCAGGAAAGAGCCAAGCTCTTTAGCATGATAACCACAGCTCTTCATGACTTGGCCACCTCATCCTCCACTGTTCACCCACATACACCCCATAGTCTCACTGGAACAAATAACTTTCTATTACTGGAATGTACTACGTCTTTCCATTTCTGTATGTCTTGTAATACTGTTCTTTCCAGAATATTCCTCTTGGCACTCCTACTGCATAAATCCTTTGGGTAATTTCCAATTTCCATTGATGAAGCTCAAATGTCAATTCTTATTTAAAAACTTCCTGACAATTTTATCTCTATCCAATAAAAGTATCCACTCTCCCTTTGCTATGCCTTCAATGCTACTTGCAACTGAGAGAGTAGAATTAGATTTTTACAGGCCTATCTTCTCTTACCAGATCATGAGTTCAGTGAGGTCAAAGATCATGTCATTGTTATAAACCCAGGTCTAGCACAGACCTTGTCCAGTGCTGAGCAAATAATTGGAACCAATAAATATTTATTGCTTAAATAAATCCTTCAGGGAAAGGTCTGATGGTAAACAATACATATGGCAGGGAGTGAGGGGAGATAAAGGTCTCTTCCTCTTTTTTTCCTGAACCAGATTTCTTATTTTTCTCCAGGCCCAAAACCATGTCACCACCTCAGTTTTTCTAAATTCCTCTCCAATACTTAGACAAAATGCCCAGCATAACCTGGTTCTACACTGTTTATGCTTCCTCTTTTTATACTCAGAGAAATCCATTTTTAACCTAGATGATTTGAAATGAAAATAGAAGTGGCGAGACCTGCCACTTTTCCAGTTTCTACCTGTTTTCCATGGTCACATACTTAACAAACATGAATCTATAAATCTGGCCAGAATTTGTTGATTTTAATTTTAATTTTTTTAAGAGACAAGGTCTCACTATGTTGCCCAGACTGGAGTGCAGTGGCTGTTGACAGGTATAGTCATAGTGTACTACAGTCTAGAAATCCTGGACTCAAGGGAACCTTCAGCCTCAGCCTCCAGAGTAGCTGGGACAATAGGCATGCACCACCATGCTCAGCTTGGCCATCATTTTAAAATACAAATAACTCCAACTTGGCAGATTTTGTCCTTTTAAATATCCAACAATTCAAATAAATATAGACTCTGTTCTCTAAATCTCACCATCATCCTGTGAAGTAGCTGAGTTGTTCAATAACCATCTATTCTTCTCTTGGATGCTACTAATCTTAGATAGTGAGCACTGGCAATTATCTGAAAATTCCATCGTGTGGTAGTTATTTTTCTTAACAAGATCCTCTCTGGTTAAACCTTGTGAGTATATTGAGGGAGACATGTTTGTCTTCCAACAGAAAAAGAAAAATTAGTCCATCAAGTAAATCAAAGTCCCAGTGAATGCCTGATCACTTTGGCTTTGGGCTGATGGCACCAGCTTCCCTAAGATGCATGTTTTGGTTTTCCGTCCCAAGAGGTTTCATCTTCAACACTGTCAGGGCTACTTTCACTCTGGGGGCTTTCTTTAGTTACCTGCGGCCATTGCTTCCATCTCTTCCTGGCCTTTGAAAGGTAACTCTGTTGGATGAAACTCCCCACGGTGCATGGTTCTAGTCACCGCTGCTGCCCTGCAGGCTGTCACCCAAGGAGCCAAATCCCTTGCCACTTTGACAGTGCTGTTGATAAGCCTGTTTTCTTATAACCAGCCACCACTCTCACTTGCTGACACCCCTGGAACTGTTCATTGCTTATAATCTATTCAAAGACTCCCAAGTGCCTTTGCCAGGGGAAGACAGAGAAGCTGGTCCCCAGGTGTATGCCTGCAGTGCCAGCCTTAGGGGAGAATGTCAGTTAGGCAGCCTTAAAACAAGAAGTGCAGCTATTTAATTTGAAATTTTTTTCCCCCATCTGAGTTTACACAGCCTAAAATCCATTAGCTATTAGAGGTCTCATGGCATTTTTAAGTTGTATTTACCTATTTTATTTTTGACTGTACTTTTAAAATTACCTATGGATTATCCAGTAATGACCTAATACATATTTTATTTCTAATTCTGCCAAAGAAGGCCTGATAATTTTGCCACCTATTTATCTACTCCTTAAGTGTCACAGAAAAGAATGCACAAAATTCTAAGTGCCTGGGAGCTAAGACTTGGCTCTTTATTGTGGCAGAGAATTAGGCTCCTTTTTGGCAGCAGTAGTGTCTGACTGAGATGATGGTATTGTGAGTACAAGTTGTATCCCTCCTGGCGGGTCTGGCCATGCCCATATTACTCCTGTTCCCAAATACTTGACATGATCTGATGGCAGTTCTATGAAAGGCCTGGTGTTCTCACTCAGAAAGGCCTGGTGTTCTCACTCAACTGACCACTCCAGGTAGGGCCTGGGTTCCTCCTGTCCTGTGTTGGAAGCACAGGGCCAGCTTGGAGTTTACCATGAGAGGGTCATTTCTTACCACTCATACAGCCAGGTCATGGGCTTGCCTTGTATATTAGTCTGTTTTTATGCTGCTACTAAAGACATACCTGAGACTGGACAATTTATAAAGGAAGGAGATTTAATCGACTCACAGTTCCACCTGGCTGGAGAAGACTCACAATCATGGAGGAAGATGAAGCAAGAGCAAAGGGACATCTTACATGGCAGCTGGCAAAGGGAGAGTGACGGCCAAGTGAAAGGGGAAACCCCTTATAAAATCATCAGCTCTCTTGAGACTTATTCACTACTATGAGAACAGTATGGAGGAAACTGACCCCATAATTCAATTATCTCCTACCGGGTCCCTCCCACAACATGTGGGAATTATGGGAGCTACAATTCAAGATGAGATTTGGGTGGGGACACAGCCAAACCATATCACCTTGTTTCTCCTTATGTGTGCACCTCTCTGCTTAGTCACTAACCAGGGACTTCTTCCCTGCTAACGATTCCAAAGTTCTTTAAGTATAAATAATTTAATGTGATGATGCTTCATGTAAATAGTCACAGCTGTTTAAATATAAAAGGAGATGAGATTAGAGAAAATGTGATTTAACCTCCCAAAGACAGCCAGAGGCTTCCTCTAAAATTCTAGTGTTCAATTTAACCTAGAAAGTTTCTATATCCTTAAACAAACTTTGTTTTTGATGAGAATCCGGGAGCTTATGTTTACATTAGTTATGTTTTAGAAGAAAGATTCTATTCCAATCAAAGTGAGACAAAGTTATCTCCTAAAATTAAATGAGTATACTTTATGGATTTGTGTTTGGATTATTTTGCCTCTTCTTAGGAGATTAAAGCACCGATTGAATGGTCATTCTTTTTATTAACTATACAAACTAAGGTATATCCAGAAAAAATATATACATGAAGAGGATCTTAAAAAATTCATGACTCTACCTCTATAGTTCTACTTGGTCAGAATTCTGTATGAATATGCCCTGTGGTTGTATTCTTACTCTATGTAGTTAAGAAAAATCAACAACACACGACAAAAACAAAGATGACCCAAAAAGTACACCTGCTTAAACATAAACCAACTGAAAAGAAACTTCCATAAAAATTATTTCCATCAGGTTTCATTTTAAGGAGAAAGAGGAAACAAATCATGTGAAAATATGTTGATACTAGAAAACTATTTTTTTTAAATGCAGCATATATCCCACATTCTAAGTACATTAAATGCATACTTTCTTACTTCTCTTCGTATGCTCCTCTCTACACTTAATTTTCTGGAAGTGAGGTTGGATTGTGAGCAGAGTACCTTACTTTTAAAACAGTATTGATCGTATTCAAGGTCTAAGTAGGCAAATAAAAATCACATCAAGTGTTTACAACAGAATGGACTAAGTGAAGAAAGTTCTCATCCCATAAGATAACCCAGGAATTAGCAACAGCAGGAAGCTGCCACCAGCACGAGGCTGCAGGGTAAAGGGAGGAGGAAGTTTTTCAGTTTTAGGGCAGAGTGTCATGGAGGCTGGAACTTCAACAGTCTTTCAACGCAGAAAATTCTAGAGCCATAAAGGAGTGTGAGCAACTGCCTTACAAGATGCAAAGAAACAGCAGAAATACACTGGCTCCTTCCCCAGCCCCTCTCCAATCTCCTGCCAGTGCTTTCCACTGGCACAACTGGCAGGAAACCAGATGACAAGCCAGCTTGGGAGATGCAGTCTGCTGGCATCTGGATCACTAGTAAGAGGCATAACCAAACAGGAACCCAGGGCTTTTTCACCCAAAGCCGTGCTCTGCTTACCTTACCACAGCTCACTACAAAGATCCACCCTGGTTCCAAAACATTATGAAGCAGATGCAGAGCTGTTGTATTGCTGTTTGTCTCCAGCCCTCCCCTTAAAAGCAGAAAATTGCATTTTATCCAGATTGGAAACCCAGTAGTGAGACTGATGGGACCTTTCTGGGTAGCAGTTTCCTGTGTCATGTCACTCTGTGTTTTGAATGATCATGAGCAAATCAGACTTATTATGTTAAAAACTAAGGGTAAGATGGACCTTCTTCTAGGGTACACTCGAAGCTTTTTAGTTTCTGTGAAAACTGCATTTCAATCCACTGTAAATTGAGAACAAACTAAAGAACCAAAGTATCAGTTTTGACAGAGTGAGAAAAAAAGTGTTAGATGAGGGAACATTATAAAGATGTAAATTAGATCTGATGATTGAAAAATGTTCTACTTGTATGAAATGGGCACAAAGTGTAATGAAAGCTGGTCCCTGGGGCTTCCAAGCCTCATGGTGACTAAGTATTGGCAAGAGGCTCTTAATTAGAATAAACCATTTCAGAGTTAAATCCTTCAGCAGATCACTGAAAATGCCATCAGTAATAAATTAAAGCCATATTTTAAGGGCAGGTGAATAAATGTAAAACCAAGTTGCCTTTAAAAATGAATACTATTCCGGGTTCAACTGCTTATGAGTCTTTTTTGTTGCAGGAGCTTTTGTTTTGCTTGTTGTTTTATTTTGGCGTTTTTTTAATCATGCTAATGAAAGTCTATAGCTAAACATGTTGGAGCCTGGCTGTTAGTTATAAATTTAAATAAAGAAAAATATTCTTGTGTTTAAAGGAGATTATAAGATTGCAGATGAAGGTTTTGGCAATAAAATGGAAATGTACAATGTGTGCTTTAAATTAAAAACAAGAAAGAACATAGTGATTCCATTATAGGTGTCATTAATGTGAATAGCTAGACTACTCTTACAGAATTTGTTTGACAACTTGATGTTTCTACCACTAATAAGGGGTTATGATAATGGTTTATTTATAGTTGTAAAAGCCTATTAGCGTTTTCACTACTTCACTAATCTCTAAGAGCAGTCACTACATGATCAATGGTGGTTGAATTTCATTATGAGAAAACAAAGCTAAAACTTGAAACAGCAGAAGTACATTCCTTGAAACATTTGGTAGTGGTTTTATAAATACAAATAAAATTGTCTGGTTAGATAAAAGCACTTAAATTAGTGAACTTCCACATATAAAAGTGAAAAATAAGTTAAAGTAAATGGTAAAAGCTAAAAGCAAATAATCCTCTCAAATATATTTTTCTTTCTTCTTTCTCCCTCCCTTCTTTCCTTCCTCAAAAACGTATCTAGTTTCTATAGGGAGTTGGAAACTTTGATGCTGATCACAAATTGAACACTTGGTTCAATTTATTGAACCACCCCAAAAGGATCTTCCAGTGAAGGAAAGAAGTTAGAGCAATAAACAAATAACTGCACTCTCATTATCTCAGCTTTCTAAATATTTTGATGTATTTTGTTCTACTTTCCAGACAACCAAGGTTATTGTTTACATTCCCTGCTCTATGGGATCTAACTCCTCCTGAAAACAACTGTTAATTATCTCATTTATGTCTCTGCTATTCACCCTAAAGAGGAATGCCCCAATGGCTTACTCTCTTCAAGCCTAAGTGAATCTCTTTCTCCTCTCAATTGTTTCTAAATTATTTTTTTAAGTGCTGTAAATAATGTCTTTAGAGTGCCTGTGCTGTTCCTAATATGCCCATTTAGAGCACTCTTTTGGTAAAAGGCAAGCAAACTGGCAAACATTTTAGGCTTTGCAGAACGGCACTGCCTCTGTCACAGCTACTCGACTTTACTTTTGTCATGCAAAAACAAGCCTAGATAATCCATAAATGAACAAGAGTCAGTGTAATCCAATAAAACCTTATGGAGGGACACTGAAATTTGATTTTTATACTAATTTTGCATGTCAAGAAACATGATTTTTTTCCTAACCATTTAAATATTTAAAAGCTCTTCTAAGCCTGTAAGCAGTAGAAAAGCAGGAGATGGGCCACATTTGACCTGTGGGCCGTATGTAGTTGGCCAAAGTCTGACTTTGAAGGAACAATCATTGTGTAATCAACTCACTTTGGAAAGGTTAAGCGTTGTGCTGTTCCTTCTAGAAGAGTTTGAAACCACTCAACAAAACATTGGTACTGTAAAATGTATTTCTTCAAACATTTCATGCTTCTCGATTTTAGTAAATACATCTTTGGGGTAAGTGAAAAGAGGCATCTCTGACTATTAGCTCATCTGCCTCCTTCCTATCACTGCCTCTCTCCACCATTACTGGATGCCTGCCTTCAACAGGTGGACAGAAGATGAAAGGGAGAATGAGCTGACTGCCCTGGTTGCTGCCTACCACTTATGTAATATTGGTGCAGGGGGGAGAAGGAGAAGGTATTATGCTCCAAACACTGTGCTAAGTGTGGAAAGGCACAAATTAACAGCAGCAGTTCTTGCTGTTAGTGACCTCTAGGAGAGAGAGACAAACAGAAAATAACATTTGAGAGTAATAACTGCAATAATAGAAATGATGGTAGGATTCCTTGGGAATTGAGTGTACTTGGGAAGTACTTCCATAAGGAGGCAAGATTTGAACTGAATCTAGAGGAATAAAAAGAAGTTAGCCAAGCAGTAAATAGAAGAGATGTGGTTTTTAAGAGGCGTCCAGGCACCTCCTAGCTGCAGGATAATCTTACAAGTAGGTGGAGTAAGTTGCTGTCTATGATGATACTGAAATGGTTTGCTTTCAACTCCATGTCTCAAATGCCTACATGTATTACATAAATTCCACAGAGACTAATTCTGCCTAAGAAGTCTTTTCTTTGTCAAAGTTACAGTATCCTCTCTTATCTACTGTTTTGCTTTCCATAGTTCCAGCTACTCAATGTCAACTGTGGTTCAAAAACATTGAATGGAAAATTCCAAAAGTAAACAATTCATAAGTTTTAAGGAACGTGCACTTCTAAATAGAATGATGAAATGTCACCCTGCCCCACTTGTCCTGCCTGAGTCATGAATTAACCTTCTGTCCTGCGTATCCACACTGTATATGCTACCTGCCCAGTAGTCATTGACATTGTCTGCTCCTGACATCAAACCATTGACATCGTCATGGTTTCATGATCCAGGATCACTCGAAGCATTTGATCCTCCTTCTGATGATTGCTAGAAGGTCAATAGTAGCCTAATGCTAAGTCACAATGCCTACGTTAGTCACCTCATTTCATCTCATGATGTAGGTATTTTATCATCTCACATCATTGCTTGAGGAAGAAGAGTAGAGTATAATGAGATATTACGAGGGAGAAAAACCATGTTTGCTACAACATATAGTTATAATTTTTCTATTTCATTATTAATTACTGTCATTAATATTTTACTGTGCTCAACTTATAAATTAAACTTTATCATAGATATATATGTATAGAAAAAAAATATTGAGTTCAGTACCATCCTTGGTTTGAGGCATCCACCGGGGATCTTGGAGCATATCTCCCTCAGATAATGGGGGACTGCTGTATTCCTGAGAATTGTAGCATATTAAGACTTTGAATTCATACAGGCATCTCTTTGGGATTAAATATGTATATCAAATTATTTCTTGAAGACAGGTTTTAATTGGGAGAGACTGAAGAGCAGTCACATTTAAAGAAGGGAAAAGGGCCTAGAAATGAAGACTGGGGCACTGAAATCCAAACTTGAGGCTATTGAAAAGTTTTAGCCAGGGCTGGTTATGCCTAGAAAAAGCTTTTATTTTTCTTCTTCGTGAACTGACTTTTTTAAAAGGGGTATTTGTTTGTCTAGCAAGAGTGAAAGGAGCCAGCCATTATGCCTTAGAGACCCTGTATTGATCTTAGCAGACAAACCACTAAATAGGAGTTGACTGCTACACAATGGAGGATTAATTCTCCTTTCCGCACAAGCCTACAGTGGGCATGTCAATATGCATTTATAAACCTCCCTCTGTGTGGAGAAGAGAGCAAAGAACCTAATAAACAGATTAATGTAGGAAAGTCATAAGTGGCCATTTTTTTTCTTAAATTAAACTCTATGAAATAAAATCAGAAAAAGCAATTTTTATATAACTTTCTAATTTTATTCATTTTTTTGATTTACTGCTTATACATAGTATATTGCTAATTATTTTACAGTTTAGAAGGAATAAAATGTGGAAAAAAGTTTTTCCTTTACCTTAGTGAGGCTTTCTTATTGAAACATCCCAAAAGATTATGGAAGATTTGACACAAGAGTGAACTAGGTAATTATGAGCTTTTGCTAGCCTAGAAATATGATAATCTTAAGTGGAATTTGGCTTAGCCTTACCGAGTAAAAAAGTAAAAACTCTCTTAGCTAATTATTTGTCTGAGTGAGCGTGAACAAAAATTTCACATTAAAAAAAGAAGTAATTGTCATTTTAACTTGATTGTTTAGGTACTGATACAAGTTAAACTCCCTCATTTGTAATTAATGAAACAAGTCAAACAAGTCTACAGCTGGTTTTCAGGAAAGAGTAGAGAACTCACATGGGAAGCTGCATGTTGGCTTTAATATCAAGTCAGAAAATATTTTGAGTCCTATAAAGTGTTGTCACTCTATACCTACTCAAACATAATACCATCAATTAAAAAGGATGTAGAACTGTGGTGATGTGTTAACTTTAAGATCTTTATCTTTCTCATGATATGTGTGATGTACTGTTCAGTAGTGGGATGGCTAGGTTGAATAATTTCTCAATTTTCTTGCTCAAAAACCAACATAATTTTGCAGTAACAGTAATTCTGGGGTCCTAACATAATGACTTTGAAAATAAATGTAATGATTTTGTTTTAGCTGTGTTTGTGCCTTTATATACGGAACATCCACCCTTCAGATGTAATATCTTCTGAGAGCAGGAGCATCTCATTATCATGGAGTAATGGATGCAGATAAGAAGAACACCCAGAAGTTGTTATTAACATGAAGTAAATAGGTTAGTGTAGCAATATTTCTTATTCTTTCATAAATTGGATATTTAAAGCCTAAGTAGTATTAGAAGGGCAGGACTACCCTTGAGCAATGACTTACCTTACATGGTTACACAACTATCATATTTTTTTTTCGGAATTAATCTTAACATTTCTAAAAAGAAAAAGAAAAATCTTGGGGATGACAGAAACAGTCTTACTGTAAAAACTGTGCCAAATCCCTGCCATGTGCAAGCAGAAAGATGTGAGTCATCCAAAGTAACTGCCTTTACCAGCCAAGAGTCTCTGTAATCAACTTTGATCGGCAAAGGCTGTACTCTTTCTCTAATGAAGGTGAATGCCAAGGGAAGTCAGAGAAATGAGTGAGAGGTATACGTGGGGTATTTGGTCTACACTATCTTTAGAATGTAAGTGCTTGATTCTCAATCACTAATTTCTGATATCCCAGTATATTTAGTATTTCAACAAGTTATTCTGTGATTTAAATTTTATTTAATTAACTTGAAAAGTGTGTGTGGGTATTATATATATATATATACCCGATACAACTAAATTTCAGATTAGCAAAAGATAACAGGATCATTTGAATGGAGGGTTTATGTGGAGGCACTTGTCATATATATATGGTGTTCTGTTCTCTAATTAGGAATGGCTGCATGTTATAAAATGAAAACAAGAAAAGAAGGATGTCTTGACTCCCAAAGGATAGGAATGCTACCGTAAAGAGATTTTCTAATTTTATGTTCTATTTCATTATGCCATTGTCACCCCAGGGGAAGGTAAATGACATAAATATTAAATGTGAGCAAAGAATATGACATAGAAAGAGCAGATATCTGAATAGTGCTGATGTTTTATTATTCTAAATTAATATACACTGCTGAAAAAAGTGCAAAGATTTGTTGTTTCTGTGGAGAGATATTTGCAAACACAATATTGGCTCATTCTGCAATGCTCATTCATACAAAGTAATCTACAAATTATAGTTGAATGCTTTTTATATGTTAGTTTCATTGTGTTCTATACAACCAACTTATTTTTTACTTGCACAATCAGATAGAAGCAGTAATTTATTTTTTTTTGTCAAAACTTACTTATCTAAAGAAAGGTTTATCTCACCAACTTTAGCTGGGAAATTAAAATTTCCAATGATTGAACATCTTAGTAGCATTCTCAATGGAAGCACATAAAAAGATGTTTACTTTAGGAAGAAAATAAGCGAGCTTCTTAAGGGAGACTGAGGCACTGTAGAACTGAATTATATAGCAAATGTTTGATTTTCTTATATTAATTGTATATCGATTATCATTAGAGATTAAATAATAATTGATGTGCTCAACTGGGCACTGTAAAAGATATGGTATCCTCCAGTGAGCAAAATATTTCTTTACTCATTAGCCCTTCTTGAATAAATTATTGCAAAGAGAAAAATGTTTATCACAAAGCCAATATTATTACTGAGCTTGTTTGTATCTGCTATATCTGAATTTGCTTCTGATATTCCAGAAAAATTAAGCCAAACCAAAACAAGACTAGTATGTCAAAACAATCCAGAATTTCCAAAATCCATACCCTCACATTTAAGACTAACTCACATAACTAATATGACAGCAAATCCTCTCAATGACAGTGAGATCTACAAGTCCCAGTTGTTACTTTAGTTTGTTTCAGGAAAAATCTGATACAACTAAATTGCAGATTAGCAAAAGATAACAGGATCATTTGAGTGGCGGTTTTACGTGGAGGCACTTGTCACTATTCATGTCCACCTCTGATGTCATATTTGCCCAGATTTATGCCCTGCTTGAATTTTGCTAAGAAAAGTAGCCTACTGCTACTGATTGCTGAACACTAGAGTAGCTCTTTCCTACTGTTTCACAGTTGATGACATTTTATTTGAAGGAACATGACTGTGAGTTTTTCTCATTTGGCAAGACATGAAATCAGAAGACCTGTGGTCAAGTTCAGCTCTGTCTCCTGCTAGCCATGTGACATTGTACTCAATAATCTAGCTTATTTAAGATGGTTTCCTATGTGTGGAATGTGGAGATACGAATATTCACTTCCTACTTCCCAGTTCGTGATGGAGATTATTACACCAAAGTGTCCTATTCAGATCCAGGCAGACTCTGCTCTTGGAGGCTGAGTTGGTGCATGAAGGTTCATGGACTTCCTAGGAGCTTCTCTTATAAAGGGCTGAGCTTTAGTCCTCCTTGGCTAAACAATAAATAACATTTATTGGACACTATGCTAAGAACCTTATATGGAAAAATACATTTATAATAAGTTCGTAACCTCACAATGAGGTGGCTATTAATATTACACCTTTATTACAGGTAAGGGAAAGGAGGCTTAGCAAGGCTAAATTCTTGCAGGGATAATCACAGGAGAGGTGACAAGGGCTACGTGGGCATGACCTCACATTTTTAAAAGAGCTGATATGCAGTCTTATGATCCTATTTATAAATAAGACTACATCTACAGGTGTTGTGCATGCTTATTAATGGCAGAGCTTAAATCGTACCCAGGCATTCTGGACCTTGCAGATGAAAATAAGTCTTTCAAGAAGGAAATCGGGATAGGTTACACATTTGTTCAGAAAATTTAGGCTGAGCCATCACTTCAGAAACCTGTAGCTGATTTTTGAACTTCTAATTTAAGATTACTATTTCTTTTCGTTTCCTTCTATTTTAAAACCAAATAAAATTTATTCTCTTAGATGGACATGTTTTGCACTTTTCATTATGGACATTTGTCTGTTCTCCTTATCTATTAGTCTTTTATTCATTTGTATTCCTCTTACACTACAAAACTAAATCAAAAAGCACATTTCAGGCCAGGCGCAGTGGATCATGCCTATAATCCCAGCACTTTGGGAGGCCAAGGCAGGTGGATCACCTGAGGTCAGGAGTTCAAGATCAGCCAAGGCAACATGGTGAAACCCTGCCTCTACTGGAGAAAAAAAAAAATGGGCGTGGTAGCGGGCACCTATAATCCCAGCTACTTGGGAAGCTGAGGCAGGAGAATCACTTGAACTGGGGAGGCAGAGGTTGCAGTGAGCCAAGATCACGCCACTGCACTCCAGCCTGGGTGAAAGAGCAAGACCCCATCTCAAAAAAAAAAAAAAAAAAAAAAAAAAAAAAAAAAAAAAAATTCAGATATCCAAAATTCAAAGAAAACCCACAAAATAGAAGTTTTATGAATTAAATAGACTCTTCAGATACATGTAAGAATTAGACGTACCACGACAAAAAAAAAAAAAAAGCTTTCTTATTTCAGTGCTTTTGTGGTTCATATTGACAGAAGGTAGGACAAGGAACATCAGCTAGGACCGATCAAGTCAGCTCCTCTTCATCTTTTAAATTGGAAGGAAGCACCTGAGACATCAACTATTGAATGAAGCATAGTACTCACCTTAATTTTGCTTTAAATTATTTAGTCTTTGTTACACAATAAGCTCTTTTACTACTCACTTTAGCCTGTGTATTTTGATTTGTTCATTTATTGACTTGCCTGATTATCACCCAGTATTTAAATAAATTATGATTCTAACTATAAATATGGACTTTGGTGAACCCTTACATTAAAATAAAAAATAAACTCAATCTTACAAATCATTTTTGAACTGCTGTTGCTCAGAAACTGAAATCTCAAGGAATAGAACCAGAATATTTTATCAACTAAACCTGAACAGAACTTCTATAAATTACAAAAACTATTTAAAGCCTTTTACTTGTTCATAAAGAAATACAAATAATTAATGTCAAGTCTTCAATTACAAGAACGGGTATATCCTCATGTGATTCAATGTAGGGAGCCCTCTGGGTCCCCTTTCTAGCTTAACATTCTCCATCGCCTATTTAGTTCTACTTGTTTTCATAAGGGAATATATTATCTTTCAACGTGGGCCTCTAGAATTTCTTAAGTTTGAAAAAGTTCATCTTCATAGCTATCAGATGTTAAACTGCTTTAAGCATCTTTGTAAAGGGAATGCAAGTCATTGCAAATACAATGTTGAATTCATTGCTTTGCATATACTAATCTTTGGTTTTACTGAATAAATAATAAATATTACATAGAATGCAAAATATACACTCAGAAATTTAAATGTGTATAAGGACTGTACTGATGAAATCTGTATCTTTGAATTTTTGATCAAATGCTAAATTCAGTGTCTTTATGTGAGATATGACATCTCTCACACAATTCATAAATCTAATTTGTCATCTTTTATTTAATCATGTTTATATTATGTAACAAATGTATATAAAATATATATCATCTACATTTCGTATTTTTGTGTCATATGCATAGTTCTAATTGTAATGTAATTTAAGAAAATACACTTGTATATTTTATATCACCAAATAAATTGTGGAAGAAAAGTAGAAAATATATAAGAAACAATGTATACAGAATAAAAATGTATAATCAAGGGCATACGAATATACTGGAGCTAAATGACTAATGAAAATTATAAAAAAGATATAATAGTTCTAGTTTGGTCAAAGCATACAGACATTATCTTTGGCTTTAGTGAGCTTATCGAGAATGAATTGGGTATGAATGCATGCTTTGCCAGCCCTGGGTGCAAATTATAATGCTGCCATTGATTAGCTATGTGAGTTCCTCAACGTTTATAAGACTAGGTTTTCTCATCTGTCAAACAGACCTAAAAACTTGTTTAATTTTTTTTTATACAATCTAAGTACCAACCTTAGATTGGCTCCTTAGGCCAGGACAATTCCAAACTGTGATGGTAAATAAGATAAACTTTAGTATAATTGCTAGAACATATGCTTTCTGAACTGGGATTATGTCAGGAGAAACTGGGGAAAAAATGGAAAATGAACCCAGACTCAAAGGACAGTGAAGATATTGACCTTGTTTGATTGTCTCATTCTTCAAAACAGGCTGAAGAGTACAAGGTTCTTCTCCTGGCTAAAATATTTGCAGCTATATGATTGTATAATTCAACTTTTGTTCAAT
Organism: Homo sapiens; assembly: GCF_000001405.40. Taxonomy (NCBI): domain Eukaryota; kingdom Metazoa; phylum Chordata; class Mammalia; order Primates; family Hominidae; genus Homo; species Homo sapiens. The sequence goes on along the minus strand of NC_000007.14, from coordinate 120,710,405 downwards.
TTCAATAATGAAGTGGGGGAGAAAATATAGCTGCACTAAATTACCTGCTCCCTGCACAGATTTGAATATTTAATACCTCAATCAATGGCAAAGCAATTATAAATGTCTGCAAATAAAAATAATTCCTTGTTCCTGGTGTGCAAACATATGTATGTGCCTCCTTTGCCAGTTACAATAAAAGTTTGAAAAGCGTCTTGGGAACTACTTGTCATCCTTCATTGTCCTCATAGTGTACTGAAATCAAGTATCTTTATCTTGGTAAAATATGACTCATTACTGTGGGAGTTTGGATATAGTGTCACTAGACACAAAGCAGTAAGATGCATTAGACTGTGAATGTATACAGGGCCAGCTTCCTGGGTGTGTAAGCTCATAAAGGCCTCATGCTTGGTTTAATGGTCTGCTGTTGCTGTCTGGAAATTCTTAATTTTATCTTTGAGCTTGTGTTTTGCAAGTGAAATGCAATGGGACAATGGAGTATGGGCACAAACTCAGGAATAATGCACACCATGCATGGAAACCATTCCTTGGTGCCCCATTTGCAATTACAATGTCAAATGAGCACAGAATTCTGGAGAACCCATGGTATGTAAGAGTTCAGTAAGATTCCAAGCCAGTGCTAGGTAAGAGTGTCACATCTGCCTGGAGTAAGTGGGGGAGCTGACAGCCCTGAAAAGCCACACTTTCTTCTTGAACTAGAATTAGCTTCAAACATATAAAGAAGGTCTGGCATTCAAAGAAACATGAACAACCAAGGTACCCTTAACACATGTTTTCTTACTCCTGTTACTTTCCTTTCTTAACCAAATACTTAGCTGAAATGACGACATAGAGGAGAGGAGAAAGATAAAACAACCCTCAGCCTCTTTTTCTTTCAATCCTTCCTTGTTCACCAGCAAGCTGAAGGTAGAAAATGTTCATCTAATGTGTGCATAATTAAGAAGTGACATAAAAACAATTGAGTTAGTTCTATGCAGTGTTTCTACTGTTCTGGTAAGAACAAAATACATATGCATATCCAAGTTATGAAATAAGAATTGTGCAATTTTGGTGATTCTGCATACAAATTAAATACTCATATTTGCATTTAAAGCTGGTATTACACAACATAAAGATAAGTGGTAAAATTCATGGTAATAATTTGAAGTTTTGTTTTCTTTACTTAGAACCACAGTAAATAGCAAATAAAAATATCACAAGTCAAGAGAAAACTGTGGAAGAAAGGAAAAAAGATTTATATTTTAATAACTTTAATGGCACATTTTCCTTGCTTTTTGAACAGGAGCTCACGGTTTTATTGTGTGGTGGGCCCTGGAAATTATGCAGCCTTGGTAGCACGGACAGGGTAACATGGTGGTTAATTTCAAGGGCTTTGAATACACAGAGAATTTGATTTGATGATGTTTTGCCACTTACTTATGGCCTTAATTAACTTTTCTAAGATTCAGTTTTCTCATTATTTATTTATTTAACCAATCTGTGTATATAGAGCCTACTGGGTAAACAAAACAGGACTCTCTACCCTTATGGAGTTTACATGGTAGAGAGGAAGACAGAAATTAAACCTATAAACAAAAAAATTAGTGCATAGTTGCACATTATGATATGTGCTATGAAAAAAGACCAGCATGTCTTAAGCAGGTTGGGAGGGTATTAAATTTATTTATTTGGGGTGGTGAAATATTTTAATTCAGCTATAAAACATTAGTAGGAAAGATAATTGGGAAAAGGGTTGGGAAGGGGAAGAAATACAAATGCCTGTCTCACAAGACATCTATGAAAATTATATGATTATATGATGTGTACAAGAAACATTAATGTGGTCCTGGAAATAGTAAAAAGTGAATACATAATACATTTTATAATTACTCAAAGGCTTATGTAATAACATTTTTAGTTAGTTTGTAAGATGATATTTAGTTTTACCTTCACCATCCATCCATATTAGACATGTGTGTAAATATTTTTCTAGAAAGTTCATTATTGACAAAATCACTCATTTAATGGTATTTAGCTGACCTATTTGTACATAATACAATTACATTCTGTTAATTTTCTACTCGTTCAGCTCTTCTCATGCACACCTATCAGTTTCTAATGAGCTTACCTAGAAGGTTTGTAATTTATGGTCTGAGTATACTTGTCACCTGATTGAGTTATGTTTCATTGCATTGTATACAACAGCATTTCAAAGAAAGCTATTGAAGGTATTTCTTTTTTGTCTTCCATTTTCTTTTACTTGTCACTGATTTTAACAACTATTATGAAAATTCAAAAAGTGTCTTTCTGCTCTTTGAGTTGTCACTTTTGTTTTTCCCTTTCTGACAATCATATTATTGGTGTCTCTTGTACTTGAAAAAACCTCTTGTATCATCTTGCTTAATGAAGCTTTTTTACCTTTTTTACCTGAAAAAACCTCTTGTATCATCTTGCTTAATGAAGCTCCAGTTCTGACTGCAGGCTAGCTAGTTTCTTGCTGAAGCAGAGGAGGTACCCAGGAAAGGCTAGCAAATGGAGAATTATCTGTGGGCAAACTCTCTTAACAGGTGAAGTTGGTCATTGCTGTCACTTCGCCTACCTTATCAGTAGTTCTCCTGTAGTCTTCATTCCTTGACCACCCAGAGCCCTCAAGCTGAACTCTCAGAAACAATGTCCCTCTACTTCAGCCTTGCTTGTCATCCCTCAACAGCATCTTAAGTGATTGACCTATCATAATCTGTCATGCACCCCAACCAGAGGCAGATGTACAATGAAGTTGATAAATCGTAAGCTTAAGTGCCCCCAGGAGTCTAGCAATGTGCTCACCGTGCATATACATACTTGTTTAATTCTCCAAAGTAAGATATTACAACTACTGTAGGTTAGTATTGCTATTGTTTTTCACTTCAACTTTTGCTCCTTATTTCCCCTATGGACAGAGAGTGTTTGAGTGTTTTGGGATCTGACTAAGGGGGAAAGTTGGGTATACATTTAGCTTGAGTTTTGTGGGCGACATTTAAGTGACTCGCAGTCATTTCCATGAATAGTTATTATTGTTATAGTTGTCCTAGTGTATGAATTTTTCCAGACTGACACTTACCACCCTCCCTGCACCTGACACAAAGGTACAAATGCTAAAATTTGTATTGTTATATAAGTGTATTATAAATCACCTGGCATTGGAAGTATCTAGATTTCTTAGACTAGCCAACAGCTGGTTTGTGGAAAATTCTTCCAAACATCATATTTGTAAACTGGTAAACAAAAGGTTCAGTTCTAATTGATGTTAAACCAAAAAAGAAGTTCTCTCCTGATAGTCATAGAATTGATAAAGCAGGGTTTGCTGCATTATGCAAGTTTTATGAAATCATAAAATAGAATTGATCAGAGTTCCTATCTTTTTAGAAAATAAACCTGTAATAGTACTACACATGGTGAAAATGCTTGTGTTTTGTACCTCAACTATCAATTAGACAAAATACATTTTGACAATTAGACAAAAATAAATTTTGATCAACTATGCTAAAGATAGTTATTTTTCTATTCTCTCTATAGAAAACATTATTAATATTATTGTTACACAAAGTGGTGAGCACTAAGTATACAGCCTGAAAATGTAGGAAAAAAGTATTATAGATGTGTGTTAATTAATTCACAGAAAGTATTTTCTGGCTTTTGTGACATTTGTGCTACATTCAACCTTCTTAAAATGTGTAATTTGTTGTACTTTCTTTTCTAATTTCAAGCAAATATTCACTCTTCTATGTAATTCTGTATTCATACCTGCTATCTTTTGAATGTGTCACCTTCAACATTCAGGCCAATGTGATAGCATTAAAAGAGGAGGCCTTTAAGAGGTGATTAAGCCATGAGACCTGTTCCATTGTGAATGGGACTAAGATCCTTATAAAAGAGGCTGCATGCAGCATTTGGCTAGCTTGCCCTTCTGCCTTCTGCCATGTGAAGACACAGAATTGCTGCCCTTCAGAGGATGCAGCCTTCACCAGACAAATAAATCTGCAGGCACCTTGATATTGGGCTTCCCAGCATCCAGAACTGAGGGAAATAAATTTCTGTTCTTTACTCATTACCCAGTCTGTGATATTCTGTTGTAGCAGCACAAAATGGGTTAAAACAATCCCCTTATTTATTTATTTTTTGGTCTAAAAGAGGGTTCTTAAAATTATATAATCTTCGGTACTCACAAAAGCTGTATCCAACCCTGACTCCAAGTCTATATACCTTATTGTCAGAAAATTAGTATTATGGGGGTAACAAGCATTTTGTGTGACCTTTTGTACTGGTTTTATGTCGGGGTACTATCCTCTCCTATGTATTCATCCCAGGGTCTTCCTACAGTCTAACCCTATGAAATAGATGGTGAACTGCATGGCCCTGCGCTCTGGATGTACTGGTATCCCACAACTGGGAGTGAAATAGAAGTTAGTCAATAAAGGACCCTCTGTGGGCAGAAGAGAGACAGAAAGGAGTTCAGGGAGCTGGGGACATTAGGGGTGAAATGAGAAAAGAAAAGAGAGAGAAGGAATCAAAGGCACTGATAGAAAGGGACACATCTTATGGGCAGAGAGATAGTGAGAGGGAGAGACTTTACATCCTTTTCAATTTCCAGTTCCATAGACTCTCAGTCTTGAGATTCATGAAATGCTGTGTAACCTTATTAACACTAATGCTTTATATTTCTCATTTATTTAATTGAGTTTTGAGTGGTTCTCCATTCCTGGCAACCAGGAAAATCCCCCAAAATAATCCTTCTTGATAAATTTGCATTTTATTGGAGGACTCTGGAAAACATTAACTATGATTGATTGAATGCCCGCTCAGTTATTGAATACTTACACCATCTCTAATCTTCATAACATTCTCAGCAGGTAGCCATTATTATCGACATTTTGCAAGTGAGAAAACAGCCTTGGAGAAGGTGAGTAACTTGCTAAAGGTCACATAACTGGAAAGTGAAGCTGGATTGGAACTCAGCTAAGTCTAACTGCAAACTGTGTGTGTTCTTTCCTTTTACCATGTTGCCTGTCAATGTCTACAGCCAAATAAATTACTTTCTGCTGGTGGAATTTTATACATCATATTGAGCACATGATTTTTGAATGCAAGGACAAGAAAAAGCCATCCAGATCATCTAATTCAACCACTCGTGTTTACATTAAGATCATCAAGGTCTTAGGAAATGTAGCCCAAGATTTCAGAATAAGTGTCACAGCAGAGTTAAGCACTTGGGTCTCCTGGCTTCCTTTCATTCAATTTTACCTCTCCTGATAGCTTGAGAGAATATCAGACATAGCCTAATACTATTGTGCTTGAATTAAAAACTATTTGCTTCTGGTAAACTCACATCTAATAACTCATTTTTTATTCCAAAAGAGAACATTAATAGGCAGTATTAAAGGACTTAAAATATGAATTCTTTTTAAAAAGGGTTTACTTTTTATTCTACACGTTCATTTAAGATTTACTCTTTATATCATTTAATTCATTTTAAAACTAGAAAGATAGTAATACTTGCTATCATTTATCAAATACCTGCTATGCTCTACATGCATTATTTCTAAACCACCCACAATGTAGTAATGATATTTAGAGGGACAATAAAACTTAGATAAATGGAGTAATTTACACAGGGTTGCTCCAATGATAAAAGGCAAAACAGGATTTTTAACCCAGGTCAGGCTGACTACAAATAACAAGTATTTTACCAATTTTGTTGAAGCTTAACACGTATAAGATACAAAATGTGGTCATTTAGACATAGTTCATATTATTCCCTTGTTATTACGTGTTTCTTTTCTTACTATCTGCAAATGATTATAGCTTGCCATTGAAATCAGTGATCTGGTCAATAGCTTTTAAATATTCTTTGAACAGAAACCTTGGTACATAAATACTTAGGAGCTGTGAATTTTCCCACTGAGCAGGAATTGCCTTTGAAGAAAAGATTATTAAAAGAGAAACAACTCAGATGACCAGAGCTTTAAGATTTAAGAATCATTTCTGTATTTTAAGCTGAAGTCCAGGGATGTAGAAGATTTATTTAAGTCTGTAAGAAAAAAAAACCTGAAAATTTTACCATCCTGAATAATGTATCATCCAAAAATAAACCAGAATATTATGAAATTCTGATATTTTAGAAATGTCTCTTTCTAAAATTGCTCCTTGGCTACGTTATGGTTGATTACATTGATATTGATTTTTGTTCCTCTTAAATAAACAGATAGAGGTTATAAAGGTAATAGTCTTTATCTGGACTTTTGCACTCAAGATTCTATTAGAAGGAGAGTAGACAGGACTGGATAGTGTTTGGCCAATAGTCATTATTATGTGAGATAAAATGAATATAAATTTAGCATAGTGCTTGGCACATAGTAAAAGCTCACTACGAGTTAGCCATTGCTATTTTTATTATTGGCCATAGAAAGATGCCAGGGAAACCATCAGAAATGTGGATGACTTCCTAAAATGAACAGAGCATTTTGTCAAATGTGTCATGAGATGTCCAAGTGAGTGAGGTTCATAGTGAAATAAAGTGGTTTTATGTTGCTACAAGATGGGATTTGGTTTTCATCTGGCTTTGTGCCAGCCATGTCACAGCCCTTGTTGGTTACTGTGGAAGTCCTGTCTGACCTACTGATGTGACATCGCTGACACCACAGTGTGGCCAGTGTCACCTGCAATGTATCAGCATTTCTCCTCCTGCAGGTGCCACATACCTCTAATAAATAGCTACTTTCTCACTCTGGGGATGCATTTTGGTTTCTCCTCTTCTTGAACTTAGGGCCCCAATTCAGGTTCTAGTGCTGTGTAATAACTGTTCTTCTGAATGTTACAGCAGATGAGTGGGCTTATATCATTTTTCCACTTGTAGTTTTCAAAAAAGGGAAACTGGCAAGCCAAATGCTCTGCCAACATAGCCACATCGCTCCCAATTACTTTAACCATAAAGAGTGAAAAATACCGTTCAATATCTAGATAATTATTCTCAATAGGGTTCACAACCTTTGAAAGGCAGTTTGCCAAGGTCCTGAAAATCACCATCTGGAGGTTGATGGCAAAATGCTGACTCCTGTCATGAAGTAGCAAGATGGAAGAGCACTGACCTTGGATAATTCCCAAAGGAAATTGCTGATGAAGGGTAGGTGCAGCTATGATTTTGTTGTTAATTTAACAGGGAATTGGTTGCAGGGTATCCAGCTGATGTGCCAGTGAAAATTGGCGTGTGTGAAAATTTGACTCCTGTTCAGATACTTTCTCTCTTTGACAGCCGCCATTCAGGAGTTTCTAAACATTGCTATTTAACCCTTCAAGCACGGGACCACTGAGGACATCAAGATTACACCTTCCACATTTAAGGCTATTTTCTATTGCTTCCAGTAACATATTGAAATTCTGTAAACAGAGCAAAGATGATAAATAATCACAATGATTAATTACTACTACTTCCCAGGCAACTGATTTTTTTAACTTTTATTTTAAATTCAGGGGTACATGTGCAGGTTTGTTATATAGGTAAACCTGTGACGGGGGGGTTATTGTACAGATTATTTTGTCACTCAGGTATTATGCCTAGTACCTATTAGTTACTTTTTCTGATCTTCTCCCTCCTCCCACCCTCCACCTTTCAGTGGTCCCCTGTATGTGTTGTTCCCCTCTATGTGTCCATGTGTTCTTATCATTTAGCTCCTGCTTATAAGTGAGAACATGTGGTATTTGGAATTCCTTAGTTTGCTAAGGATAATGACCTCCAGCTCCATCCATGTTCCTGCAAAGAACATGATCTCATTCTTTTTTATGGCTGCATAGTATTCCATGGTGTATATGTACCACATATTCTTTATCCAGTCTACTATTGATGGACATTTAGGTTGATTCTATGTCTTTGCTATTGTGAATAGTGCTGCAATAAACATTCACGTGCATGTGTCTTTATGAGAGAATGATTTATATTGCTTTGGGAATATACCCAGTAATGAGATTGCTGGGTTGACTGGTAGTTCCGTTTTTAGCTCTTTGAGAAATCACCACACTGCATTCCACAATGGTTGAACGAATTTACACTCCTATCAACTGCATATAAGCATTCCTTTTTTCTGCAACCTCACAAACATCTGCTATGTTTTTGACTTTTTAGTAATAGCCATACGGAATGGTGTGGGATGGTATCTAACTGTGGTTTTGATTTGCATTTCTCCAATGATCACTGATGTTGAGTTTTTCTTATATGCTTGTTGGTCACATGTATGTCTTCTTTTAAAGTGTTCATGTCCTTTGCCCACTTTTTAATGTTTTTTTTTCTTGTAAATTTGTTTAAGTTCCTCTCAGATGCTGGATATTAGACATTTGTCAGGTACATAGTTTTTGAAAATGTTCTTTCATTCTGTGGAGTGTTTGTTTACTCTGTTGATGTTTCTCTTGCTGTACAGAAGATTAGTTCAATTAAATCTTATTTGTCAATTTTTGCTTTTGTTGCAATTGCTTTCGGCATCTTCATCATGAAATCACTGCTTTTTTCTATGTCCAGAATGGCATTGCCTACGTTGTCTTCCAGGGTTTTGAGAGTTTTGAGTTTTACATTTAAGTCTTTAATCTTTCTTGAGTTAATTTTTATATATGGTGTAAGGAGGGGTCCCACCCCCCAGTTTCAATCTTCTGCACATGGCCAGCCACTTTTCCCAACACCATTTATTAAATAAGGAGTCCTTTCCTCCTGCTTGTTTTGTCAGCTTTGTCGAAGATCAGATGGTTGTAGGTGTGTGGCTTTATTTCTGGGCTCTCCATTCTGTTTCATTGGTCTGTGTGTCTGTTTTTATACCAGTACCAAGCTGTTTTGGTTACTGTAGCCTTGTAGTACAGTTTGAATTTGGGTAGCGTGATGCCTCCAGCTTTGTTATTTTTGCTTAGGATTTCCCAGGCAACTGATTTAGAAAAGATGAGCCTCCTTTTGAATATGAGCACTTGGCTATCCTAATTTCCATTCTAAATTCACCTAGCGCCTACTTTGCTTCTTGTTCCAGTCTCCCTATCAGGCAGGAAGAGCTTTGAAGACTTTAAATATGGTGGAAATTGCTATTTACCTCCTAATAAAACTAACACCTATTTTCCTTAGTAACAGAACTAGAATTCTAATTTTTTTTTTTTTTTTTTTTTTTTTTTTTTTTTTTTAGCTAGGCATTACAGCCATTCAACTAGGTTATTAGTCCAGCTAGCTATGACCATGGGTCTAAGCTCTGGCCAGTGAAATATATGCAGAAATGTTGAAAAGAACTTTTGTGAACTTCCCTTAAAAGGGACAGGGAACTTCTTTATTTTTCCCCTTTCTATCATCTGCTACTTTGAACACAAATGTAAAAGCTGGAACTCCCGCATCCTACTTCACCCACGAGTACCAGTGCCACACCCTGAGGGTAGGAGAGTAATGACATGGAAAGAGCCTGGGGCCCTGAAGATTTTATGGAGTCATCACATCAGCTGTCTACTTCCCTTTATGTAAGAGTCAAATATACTTCTATCTTTTTAATGTTACACATCCTAAACTAAGCTTGACACAGAGCATAATGGATTCTACAGACATTTTTTAGCATTACATTTATTAGCTATTGTCTTCCCTTTCATGACTCTTTAGAAATCTATGTTCAATAAATACTTACTGAACAAATAAATCTTAACCATCAAAAAACAGCTTGTACTACACCTAGAGAACTGAAAGAATTGATTTCAACATTTGTTTATTTCATGAAGGACCTTGCCCAGCAATTAAAATTGTCTTAACTTTAATAAATTTTTCTATTTTTTAAATTCTCCAAAGTTTGATGTTGAAAGGGGCCATAATGTTTTGATGATTATTTATGTCATGGGTTGTAAGAGCATATCTAAATGGGCTATTGGCTTCAAACAAAGAAAAGACTAAGAGATAGCCTGTTTATGATGTTAAGCCTTATGTGACGTCCACAAATAGAAATGTGGCTTTGTAAATTGAGCAGGCTGTCTCTCAGTTAAGATGTGTCACACCAGCTTCAATAAGGTCTGGGGCAACTTCAGGGGAGTTAGTTGAACAAAGATAACTTTACAAGTGTTTAAACTTATATGAATTAGCCATATGAATTTTCTCCCTTTATACGGGCTCATTATTTTCAGTACATATGTTTGCTCTAAACATTGCCATTAAACAGTAACCCTCTTTTCACCATTCAATGCTCATCTACTCTACTGTTCTATTTATATCCTTTTCTTTAGAGATAAACTTTGTAAAAGATTACTCTAAACCCACTCATATTTTTTCTGATTTATTTTTTTCTTGACCAATCTATGGCATTTCCCACTGTTTTCAATATCACCCCTGAAGCTCTCTTAATTTTCAGCTTCCATGAGAGCTCTTGTCCTGATTCTTCCAACTTAGCAGCCACACCCTATTCTTAACTACTTGTATCTTTTCTTCCTCCATGCCCGAAATATTGTTTTTATTGGGGTTCTACCATGAGTTTCTTTATATCTTTTACATAAACATGTATATCAAGGGTTCACATAACATGTATTTTCTGATGACTCATAATTGTACATTCTATTACCTGAAATTGACAGTTGTATTTCTATACTCATTAACAAAAACCTACCAATCTAAGACTGAACTTACCCAAGTCAAATGTCAAACTGTTGCCTTCTCTTCCTTCAAGAGTATTCTTTCTTTGACATCACCATTTGACATTTCTCTGACATCACCATTTTCCTTCTCTATCTCTCTTTGCTATGGAAAATTCATTCATCCTTTAAGATTAATAACAAATTCCACCTCTTCTTGGAAATTCCTGACCTTCTTGGGGGATTTTTCTCTCCTGTCCTCCTACTCTTTGTCTCCATAACAACAACTTAATACTTGTGTTTAATATTTTCACCTTGTGTTGTCACTAATTTATTTGTAAAACATTCCCACTCCACTGTTAGTCACTGTTGAGCAAAGCTTCTGGTTGTTTGTCTCTGTATATTTGGGTCCTACCACAGTGACTCATACAAATAAGAAGCTCAAGAAATGCTTTGGAATAAAGGAATGAATGTTTCCTTAACCTTTGCAAATTGATCCATAATTTGGACATATTATTCATTGATTTAATAACTTTTTTTTTTTTTGAGATGGAGTCTCACTCTGTTGCCCAGGCTGGAGTGCAGTGGCGCGATCTCGGCTCACTGCAAGCTCTGCCTCCCAGATTCACACCATTCTCCTGCCTCAGCCTCCCAAGTAGCTGGGACGACAGGTACCCGCCACCACACCCGGCTAATTTTTTTGTATTTTTTAGTGGAGACAGGGTTTCACTGTGTTAGCCAGGTTGGTCTCGATCTCCTGACCTCATGATCCGCCCACCTCGGCCTCCCAAAGTGCTGGGATTACAGGCGTGAGCCACCGTGCCCGGCTGATTTAATACCATTTTCATGTGCTAGACTTTAATCATCTCCCATCTCAACAAGTCTCCTGTTTTAATAAGTTAAATTCTTATTAAATTTAAAGACTTTTTAAATATAACAGAAATACCTACATGAATTTTTGAAAAGTCACAGTGGTATGTTCTTATTTTCCCATCTTTTGAACCCAAAGAACACAGCTGATTTATTGGTGGTAAGGATGAAATACATAGCAGAATCTATTGCCAAATTCCTTTTGTGGGGTAACTGTGATCTGGAAAGCTGGTCTACCTTTTGGGTCTGACATTAGGATTTGCACTAATCTGCTCAATTAATGACACAGTCTAGTACCAGTAGGTACTCATCAAATATTTGTTGAATGATTTTGTGCATGAATAATTTCCTTCATTATTTCAACCTGAAATAGTATGTAGACTAGCTTATAGCTCATAGTAATCACAAATAGCTGAAACTGACTGACAGTGTAATGCCTGCCAGGCACTTTTTCTTACTGTTTTATATGTATCATCTCATTTAATCCTCATAACAAGCTTGTAAAGTGGACACTATTATTATTACTTATATGTAACAAATTGGGAAACTGAGCCACAAAGAGTTTTAGAACATTGTCCAGAATTTCCTTATTAGCAAGCAATTGAGCTTAAACTTAAGCCCACCACCTGGCTCCAGTATGCATGCTCTTAAGTAATTTGCTATAGATGCTCTGTGAGAGACAAAGGGTCTCCAAATGTATTAAAAGGATAAAAGGTTGAGTTCGAGACCAGCCTGGCCAACATGGCAAAACCCCATTTATACTAAAAATACAACAGTTATCTGGGCATGGTAGTACATGCCTATAATCCTAGCTACCCAGAAGGCAGAGGCAGGAGAATCACCTGAACCTGGGAGGCAGAAGTTAGAGTGAGCTGAGATTGCACCACTGCACTCCAGCCTGGGCAACAAGCCAAAAAAAAAAAAAAAAAAAAAAAGGGCAAATCTATATATCCAAATATGCTTCCCTAAAATATGAGGGTTACAGTTAATATAAATAAATTTTCCTTAACATTTTTAAAAGAAATACATATAGTGATGTGATGTTTAAAAATCTATGACCACGATTGGGTGACCAGTAAATGAAGTCTCTTTATTATTTTCTAAAATGTCCACTAATTTTATTTGACACCACTTGATACATAATGTTAAGAATATTTCTTCAATCTTAGGTCCTTCCAATTATATTTTATTGTTCAGTGGCGTGGTGCTTCCACTTTAACTCTATGTCATAGCTTTGCTAATTGTTCTTAGCATTATCTTATCATTATCCCCACAGCTTCTACTTTTTATTCTCTTGCAGTTGGTCCACTGGGGTAAACTTACTGCTTCCCTACATTTTTGCATTTTATATCCTTTCATGTTTTTATGTAATTTCTCTGAAGGATAATCTGTATATCATCACATGCATGAATTTCATATTAAAGTATACAGCAAAAAAATTATACTCTGTAAAAGCTGTTAAATCCTGTTTAGCATATCAGACTAGGGACTCTTTGTTATGAGGAATTCTGGTGTTCTTTTAAAATATCCTCAAGCTCTACTTTAGTTTCTAAAACAAATAATTATAATAAAAAAAATCTTCACATACCTAGATAAATCTAAAAGGGAATTCTTTTACCCATCTAGGAAGAAAAAACATTAAAATATTAACTTTTAAGTGGTTGGCATTTGAGAAATCAAAACTGGAAAGATACTTAGTTAAGTAATGCAAAAATTATTGGTTGCAGTATAAAAAGTTATCCTCTGATTTCTTTACCCTATAGCAATCACAGCTGAAAGGAGAAAACACATAAACCATATCTGTAATTAGAATGAAAACTCACTCATTTATTAGTGCTTAGGGAAGATTGATCCCCTCAACATGTTCTCTTCCTGGGAGAAAAATGATGACCGTTTTACTGACTCAGAGATTCAAAAGCTGTGTAAAATTGAATGTTCTCAAGTTAAAAAGAAGATAATGTCGTTATTTGCAGATATATGGAACTCTAAGTTTTAAAATATTTAATTAGATTTACTTGATGATCTAGAAGCATTTTATTTACTGACTGTTTTAATCTATTTTGTGTTGCTGTAATGGAATACCTGAGACTGAGAATTTATAAACTATAGAGGTTTATTTGGCTCCTGATGCTGAAGGCTGGGAAGTCCAAGAGCATGGTGCTGGCATCTGGTGAGGGGTTTTGTGCTTTGTCATTCTAAGGCAGAAGACAGAAGGGCAAGAAAACGCAAGAGCAAGAGAGCAAGTGGTGGCTGAAGAACTCACTTTCATAACAAGAACCTCTGACAGTAACTAATGCACTCTGGTGGTAAGGACATTAATCCATGTATGATAGCAGAACCCTCATGACTTAATCACTTCTTTTTAGGCCCCACCTCCCAACACTGTTGTATTGGATAGTAAGTTTCCAGCATATGAACTTTGGAGAACACGTTCAAACCATAGCATTGATCAAACAATACAATTTATGGTTTGGGTTTAGTTCACACAGTTTTGTAACATGGCCAAATTTAGTATGGCAGTACAACCTAAGAAGTCACAGAATACTTCCATCAAAAGAATACATGCTGGGTAGGATCTTTGAAGGACACTCCTAATTGGCCATGGGAATGACTAAAGTAATCTTGGCCCTGGCAGTCTTAGCAAAATGCTCATTTAGCCTTCAGATCAGACTGTATTTTTCTCTTGAGGAAAAAATGTATTTTAATACAGTGAAATGATTTCCTTTTACCTATTCATTACCGACCAAGTATGTTTGTCTGCAATCTTTATGGAAAATAATATAATATTGGGTTGTCCAAGAAAAGTAAAACCAGCTTTTTCTGAAAATAAATTGTAGTTTGAGTTAAGTAGCTTTATGCAATAGAAATGTTGCTTGGGATAATGACGTTTCTGGCTGGCTGCCTTGTTTGATGTTCCCAGGAGTGGTTTCCATTGAAGCTATTAAATAAAAGGATTGATGTAATATGAAACTCAAGTCAGTGGTGCCCCTTATATGAGGATTAGTTGACTCTTTGATTTATTTTGGCATTTCATTTTACACCTCTTTTTGAAATCAACTCATAGCAACTTCCATCTATAAACTACTCAGTGGTCAATCAACTTCCATCTATAAACTACTCAGTGTCCTTCTACTTTGAGATACTTTGCATTCTGATTAATCTTATATCATCACAAACTTTAGTAAAAAATAAATAAATCAATAGCTTTAAGTGCAGAGGGAACGGATTGGAAGGCTTTCTGTAGAAGAAGAAAATGAAATTTCCATTTCCGCTGTCATCATCATCACCATCATCATAATCAACAAATGTATTTATTAAGTTCACATATGCATTTGCTATTTCTTCCTTTTCTTCATTATAGTTTCACTTGAAGGCATATACATTTGAGGATTACTAAAAACACACTAATTTAAATCTAACCCAATTACTCTCCTTCTTAAAAAGCATCAGATATTATAGTAGACAACCAGCTTATGTGACAATCCACTGGCACTCCTTCACAAAATATGTCTGACATAAAGTGTGAAATTTCATAGTCTCATTGGCAGAGAAAATATAAAATATTAAACTTAGCATGTTTTCTATTGCCAAATATTTCTTATAATTAAGGACAAACATACTTTTTCTGCATTTTGTTGTTGTTTCTTAAAATTAAAGTGGGCAAGTCAGGCAGTAAACTTATGGGATACATATATAAAACAAGCCATTGAAATATCAAGCTCAGTTCAAACTAATATATATATAATATATATAAAACTAATATACATATATAACAGTTTGAACTGAGCTTTTTTTCTGTTTCGATTTTTATAAAACAAAATCATGCTACATCATGTATTTAGCATCGTGGAGTACTCAGTAATGAGATAAGAACTATACCCCTAAGGAATTTGCAAACTTTGCTGGGAAATCAAGGATCTAGTCATCAATCCAGTTTACAGTATTTGCTAAAATGTGTGTGGTAGGCAGAGGAGGTTGGCCAAGGAGGAGAAGACCAAAAGTGCTACAGTAATTCAGAAAGGAGGTCAGATTTAAACTGGAACTTGAGGTTGAGGTTAGGGAGAAATGACAGGAATATTAAACTGTATTCCAACCTGGAGCAAAGGTAGAGAAACATAATAAAACATGGCTGGATTGGTGTCACTGCACAGACAGGTAATGGGTTTAGGGAGTAGTGGTAGTCTAGGTCATACTTCTGAGTATGCCCAATGCTGACGGTCAACTTCAGCGTTAGCCAGTTTACCAGTACAGCACAAGGGCAAACACCTCAGAGTGTGGTAGGCATCATTGGGGGTAATAATGTCAACATGAAATAGAATTATGGTGGTCCTTCTAACCCCTTTTAGATGTAGTCATTTCATAATTGGAGGCAGTACAACATTATTATGAAAAAAATATCTATAGTTCCACTGGAACAGAGGCATCTTCATTTGGACTTGTCATTATACATGGCCAGGCTCGCATAGGAAGAGATGCCGGTCCTCCAACTTGGTTCTGTATTTAGCCCTTTTCAATAGAAGAAAGGATTTATAAGTCATCATTATTTATTTATGGATTGTGCCTGTCTTAATTAAACCCAGGTGCCACGCTATACAGTCTACATGCACATGACAATACTTTGTAAAGATCACCTATATCTAGATATAGGTGTCCAACATTAAAAGGGTTGTATCCTAAAATATCAAGCTGAGGTGGCTCCGCCCCACCAAAGTGTGTTGATAAGAAACAGAGCCAAACTTTTTCAGAATTCTGGGAAATGAAGACAATTATTGCAGGAAGCCAGAGACCCTACACACAAATAGGCTTAGGAAAGGAGGCATCAACATGGCTTGTCAAGCTTCAGTTCTGAGTCTAATTCCTTCAAAGCAGACAGGAAAGATCCTTTTTGTCTATTTTCTTTTAGTGGTGCAATCACAGCTGACTGCAGCCTCAACTTCTTGGGCTCAAGCATCCTCTCGCCTCAGTCTCCCCAGTAGCTGGGACTACAGGCATCCACCACCCATCTCGGCATCCCAAAGAGCTGGCATTACAGGCATGAACCACCGCACGCATCCTTCTATTTACAGATGGTTATATTTTTCATCTCCTTTCTGGCCTTTCTCTGCCATGTTGCTATTTCTGTTGCTCCAGTATAGCAGAAAGGAGAGAGGCAGATCCACTGCAGATTCAGACAGGACTATGGTCTAGCTGCTACATGCCAGTGCTGTGACTGCAACCTTTTTGTGTCTCAGTTCTTAATTCTGTAAAATAGGCTTGATAATACTTTTTTGTGAGGATTAATTGGGGTGGTGCATATAAAATAGCAAATACAGAGCTAGATCTGCAATAATCACACATTGGAAGCCAGTTAACTTCCCTGCCTCTTTCCTTTTTCCCTCTTCCTCCACTTCATCTCTCTTTCTTTTTATCCTTCCTTTCTTTGGTTCCTTCCTCTCAATTTTTTTTCATTATCCATTTAAAAATATTTTTATTTTTAAAAATAAAAATACTTCCCATTTGCTAAGTACTATGTTTGGCACTAAAAATAAATCAGTGCCTTGAGGAGGGAGAACGATCACTGTCCTCATCAGCTCACCACCTAATAAGACAGACAAACATTAATCAAAGCAGTGCATGAATAAAAGTAATGAATTATACCTGTTAAGTACGAAGCGGAAGTACGTGGTGCTCTGAGGATGAATAGTATGATTATTAATATCTTTTCCTTTTTCCCTTTCAATATATACCAACAGAAAAATAAACTATGCTAGAGTAGAACTCAGAAAATGAATAGAAAGTGCAAATGTTTATGTTTTGGTATATTAAGCTTGAAAATACATGAATGTTGGTACTCCTGTACTTTGAAATTCCTAGAATCAGGAAGTTGAATAAGGGACATCACAACCTAAATAATTCTACTTCTTGTTTCTATTTTATGCTTCATTGGCTCATCTTTTTTGTGAGTAGTTGTTTTAGTAGGATTTGGTAGGTTTACTCTTCCTTTGATTAAATGAATAATAATTCCTTTTTCCTTTGCGGGGAAAATGTACCTTGGAGTTCAAAACAGTGGGTTGTTCAGAAACTCTAAGTTCAATCACATTACAACCAATCAATAGAAAATAAAGCACCTTCTTTCATAGGAGTTTCATCTTAATGAGTAGAGCTGAGGCAGCTTCACAGTGTGAAATGCCCCACAGGGGCTGAATCCTCTCCCAGGCCCTCTGGCTTGGAGAGAATAGAGAACTCAAAGTCCCCATCGAGGTGAGCGTACTTGCTGCAAAGTGACAGGAGTCAGCAGTCCCAAACAGTAGGACACTTTCTTATTGAATAATAATTCTTTTCTTGTTAATCCTAGAAGAGATGGGTTCTTTGCAGGGGGCCTTGGAATCTAGGATGAGATTAACTTTGTATTAAAGGACTGTGCCTGGGAAACCTCTTTTTCTTATTCACCCAGTCTGCCAAGGTTGAGGAATTTGGGTCCTGTTGGTGTGTTTATCTTACATCAACATAATGTAGTTTAACATTTTCTGTCATTATAGTAAATGACTATATTATGGACAAACTTGCAGGAGAAAAATAAAAGATAACTAAAAAAAAGTTTGTATTAAGGAATTTAAAGTTAACTGGTCCCCAAGCACCACAGTCAAGGACCATCATTTTGGAAGTTGCCCTTGGTACAGATTATTCAGCCATAATGATCTTTGTTGCACTAGGAGATGGACTTCATGTAATATTGGCACGAACATGTTACATCTCTTCTCACTGCCCATCACCAAACAAATGAAAAAGCTTCCTTTGACTTCACTTCCTTTCTCAGCTACCTCCTCATTTGTCTCCCTCCCTTTACAGCACATTCCTTGAAAGAATTGTCATTGCTGATGCATCTCCTTTCATTCTCTCTCTGTTGCATTCCAGTGAGACTTTCTACCCCATGATTTCACCAAAACTGCTCCTTTAAAGGTTCTCTAAATTGCTAAATCTGAAGGTCGGTTCACAGTGCTCCTCTCCCTTGACCCAGAATTTGACACAGCTGACCACAAGGTCCTCCTTGAAACATTTTCTTTCTGCATTTGATTTTAGGACTCTGCATTCTCCTTATTTTCCTCCTACCTAACTGGTCTCTGCTTCTTAGTCTCCTTGTTGCCTCAACTTCTTTGCACTGGAGTGATTCGGCTCCCAGTATCAGCACCATTTCTCTGTGATATTCACACTCCTTCCCTTGTTGATGACATCTAGTCACTGGCTTTATAATATTTATACCTGGATGATGCCTAAATGTGTACCTCCAGGTTAGACCTCTTCCTCGGGTTCTAGACTCACATAGCCAACTGCCTATGTGTCTCCACTTGGTGTGTAGTAGGCATCTCAACAATAACATATCCACAGCTCCACTCCTAATCCTCCCCTTCATTCTGTTCCTCCCTGTCTCCCCCAGTTTACTTGAAGGTAGCACCATCTGTAAGTTGCTCAGTCCAAAAACCTCAGTCATCCTATACCTCTGTCTCTTACAGTCACTGTCCAATCTGTCAGAAAACTATGCCAGCTTAATATCTGAAATATATTTACTGTCCAATCTCTTCCCTACATTTCCTTTGGCAACACCCTGGTTCAAACCACCATCTTCTCCCCCCATGGTGATTGTAATAGCCTCCTGAGTGCTCTGCCTGCTTCTGCCTTGTCTCTCCAAGTCTAGTTTAGCCTAGTAGCCAAAGAGATCCTGTTACAGCAGATGTTAGAAATATTGTATAGCTGTTACTTCTTTGCTTCAAGCCTTCCACTGGCTTCCAATCTGGCTGTAGGTAAAAGCAGTCATTGGGATGGTCCACAAGGCCATACATTACCTGATCTGGTTAACTCCCTGGCCCACTCAGTGTTAGCACAACTCCTTGGCTGTTCCTCATAGACCCCATACATGCTACTGCTTCAGGACCTTTGCACTTGCGTGGACTTCTCTTTCCCTACTTTTAAGTATTTACTTAAATGTCATCTTCTTGGTGTAGACTTTTCTGACCACACTACTTAAAATTTCAACATCCACAGCGCTCCCTACCACTCTTTATCCTCATTCTCGTTTTCTTTTTCTTTATAGCATGCATTACCCTCTAACATACTATGCATTTTACTTTTTTATTTTGCATACATCTGTCCTCCCTCCCACCTCCCACTAGAATGTAAGATCCATAAGGGCAAAGGTTTTGTCTCTTTTATGCATTGCTGTATTCTCATGGCTTAGAATAGTGCTTAGCACATGGAAGTGGTCAATAAATATTTATCAATATGATCAATGTGATTATTAGGAATATAGCTTGTTATTTGTGACTCTAAAATGCATTCTAACTCTTGTCAATGTGTTTCTACTTCACTTCTTACACCCATCTGTTCCAGTGTCCTGCCCTTCACCAGGTGAATGGGAAGGCAAAGAAAAAGGTGTCAGTGATGCAAACAGGGTATGTCACTGGATGGTGTTATAGCTCTGGTGCCACTGCTAGCTGACCTCAGCATGTCTGTGCAAGCACGTGGTTCTCCTCTCTGCCCTGATGCCACTCGTTTGGTGATATTTGGAAATAATTAAATACTTAAGGTCAGGACCTCTTTGAGAGTTATTGGTGGATTTTCTTTCTTTATAAGAAGTATTACATAAAAAGTAATAGAACTATATTTTTGTGTATGTATGTATGTCTTTATTTTAAAAATAATAAAGCAAATTTAAAAGCCATTCTAAAGAAGGTATTTTTTTTCTGTATGCCTTATATTTGTGTCATATATTAGCCCTTCATAGACAAGTACTAGGGCACATAATTGTTTATTGAATGCTTGTCATTTAACCAATAAATAACATTTCCATTTCTTAAATAAAAAAGTGATCTTTGAAAAAAGAAAACATTTTCTAATACCAGAATCACAAAGAAAGGTTTGTGCTGTGATTTACAAGGTACAGGAGAAAAAATCAGAAATCAGAAAGGGTCCAGGAGAATTGCTGATTTGACTAGAACTTCTACACACTTCTCTCCAGCTGGCAAAATGGGTTTGAGAGACAGGCACTAGCAAATACTCTGTAAGTGTTTCAACTCCCCAATACTGATAGAGAGGAATGAGAAGCCCGTGGCTTAGCTGAAGGATGCTCTGGGGAATTCATTAATGGAGAATATTCCCTAAATTAAAAGTTGTTTAGTCTTTGCCCTCATTTCATTTGCCTCTTCAGTAGGCAGTATGACCTCTCTTTAGAAGGAGAAAAAAATGGGACTGCAAAAGGAACTGGGCTTATGCATATTCCGTGCTACAAAGAAGCACAATGTTCAAGCATGCTATCTAAGTAGTTTCAGAGAAAGGGATAGTGAAGATTTATGTCTAAATTATCATATAAATCATAATTACTAAACCAGATTATTGATCCAAAAATAAAATAAAGGACAACCTGCATTTTACATTTTATGACTAGTGGTTTGTTATGTGTATTTCAAGTAAATATTAGGTTTAAATTATGTAAATGGTGACTTTATAAACATAGTCTTTATAAACAAAAGGAAAGCAATCTATGAAATCAGATTATTGAGATGGAACCATTTTACTTTAAATATAAAATTAAATATCTATTTCAATCTATGTATTTAAGGCATCAACATTTAAAAAAATAAAATTTGTATTGCAGCATAATTTACCGTGATTCAAAACTGATGACACAAAAAGAAAACAATGCCACTATTTCCTCTTATTCTGTATTGTGCTTGTGGAATATTTTTATTTTGTGTCCTATGTTGCATTTTTCGTGTCCAGAAACTAAAAATGCAATGTGATATTGGAAGTGAATATCCAAATTCGGCCCACTACTGTGCATTTTTCTGCTCACACTCCTGTTTCTCATAAGATAAGACCCTGTACTACAGTGACACTCTGTGTGTATTATAGCCATGATAAGGCTCTCTAAAGAACTGAAGAACAGTGATGCAGAGGGGGCACCAATTGGAAGAGAGAATTGAGTATGTGGAGTCTTCTTTTGAATCCATCAGAGTTATCTCATCTGCAAAAATCTTATTTTCATTTTCAGGGTCTGGTTACTGGCATCCATGAGGTAAGGCTTCCCTTCCTCTTGCTCAGTTTTCTAAAAGGAGATCATTTTTGATACTCTTAACACTGGGAAATACAGACAAAAGTACATCTTTAGAGCAGTACAGTTACTTCTATTTTTGTAATCATAACCAGGCTTAAGTCTTGTTCTTTTAACATTTTTTTTCTTAGAGGATTATGCCATGAGATCAAGATGGAAGAATCTTGAAACAAAAACTGAGGATGATAGACATGGTAAGCGTTTTCCCTCTGCTCCATCAGACAAGACTGTGCTGAACAAGTGATCAACACTAACAAATCCGTGGCAGCTTAATTT